>NC_000003.12:115220725-115523755 GCF_000001405.40 Homo sapiens | reverse complement strand
TGCATGAGTTGGTTCTCAAGAGGTAGAGCTGAAAGCATAACTCTGAGCTATTCCACTGCCAATGGGCTTTCAGGCAAGCAGAGTTGATCCAAAAGGAATTTCTGCCAAGAGCAGCTGTCACAGTAGCAGAGAGGAGCCACTGAGAGGTCACCCAGGAGAGAATGGCTGATGTCATTTTACAGTAGAGATACCCATCCTCTTTTTTAACATAGCTAAGTAGAGAAAACAAGAGATAATTGATCAACTGCAATTCTCCCAGAAAAAAAAATAATGGCAGTTTCCTGCTGAATAAGTTAGTGACGCAAGGGAAAGGAAGGGAGATCATGTTTTAAACAGTTTCTTTGCATCTCAATTCATATTCCAATATCTTTAGTGGATGGCAAGAGGTAGGCAGAGGCTACAAATACCTAAGACAGAGATTGCTAAATGTTCACCAAATTGTCATTTTCTTTTTGATCTTGGTCCATAGACAGACTACATTTCTTAGCCTTCCTTGCATTTGTTCTCACAAACAGTATGAATGGAAGGGATATGTGCCACTTCCAGAACCAAGGTATTTTAAGAAGAAAATGAACTACTTCTATCCTCTTTTTCCCACTTGTATTCAGCCATGGAAGATGGCAAATCCCTAAAGGATGGCAGAGCCACAGTATAGAAGAAGCCTGGGTCTCTGAATCACCACATGGAGAAAGCCATTTGCTGACAAGGGGTAACAATCTTGAACTTTTGGGTGAACAAGAAGTATGCTTTCATTGCATGAAGCGACTACACAATTTAGATGTGCTAGTTACAACAGACAAGGTCATCTTAACTAATATATACCCCAAAATACACCCCCTAGACTTATGACAATAGATGATTGAGCAAAGTTTAATGAGACAAAACCCTTGGTGAGGAAGACCTATGATCTCATTTGACAAGATCATACATGATATGAAAGAGGATTATCATCAACAAGAGTCATTTTCTAAAGTTATATTCCCTCTTCACACAAGTACTTTGGAGACTCATTGCTAGTATCATCAGGGCTCTGGGAGTAAGAGCAATGAAGGAAACATTCAAGGTAAGATAAGAACATATAACAGGGATGTGATTACATTGCCAACGCATAATTGCTCCAGGATGAGCTGGAAAACCAAGTTTCTAAGTCTACAAACCCGAGAATAAGACCCCAGGGTTTAAATGGAAAGCAAAACATGGAGAACTTCAGTATAGTCAAGCTAAATTCTGCCTCTAGCCTTTTAATCATATCAGATGTTCACAAAGAAGAGGATGTTATATCAGAAAAAAGTCATGGCTAACTGCTGGTCAACTTCCAGTCTATTGATATAAATTAGGTAGGGAACCAACTTCTTTAAATATTCAAAAACAATCTACCTGTAAAACCTAAAAACTATTTTATTTTAGGGTTTTGGAGCATGGAGTAAAGGGCTGGCCTTTCAGGAACTGGTAAAATCATAACAAAATTATTGTAATGGTAATATCATTTAAGGGGTTGTTTCCAATTTGGGATTCTGATCACCATAATAAATTCTCAAAAGTCGAATGGAGATGAGGGCTGATGAGCTATTTTCAAAATCTCAAAATGCACTAATAAAATCCATATATCTATCTATAGGAGATTGTGTAGCACTCACTATTTGAAATACTTGTGTTCTTTGATTCGACAGGAAATATATTGTCTAGCATGGCAACAATGCTGGTTATCTTACATCGATCAGAGAATCCGAACAACCATTTTAGATGTCTTAAAATATACTAGAAAAACATTAATTGTTATTTAACTAATGTTAGATCAAACCTTTTAAAATATGGGACCATTATTTTTAAAACAACAATAAAAGACTTTTTGCAGAGAAAAAGGATAACCAGAGTCAAAGTCAGGTTAGAATTGAGTCATTCAGCTGCCATTTTATTTTATTTTTTTATTTTTTATTTTTTCAAGACAGAGTCTCACTCTGTTGCCCAGGCTGGAGTGCAGTGGCATGATCTCGGCTCAATGCATCCTCCCCTTCCTGGGTTCAAGCCATCCTTCTGCCTCAGCCTCCCAAGTAGCTGGGATTGTAAGCATGTGCCATCATACCTGGCTAATTTTTGTATTTTTAGTAGAGACAGGGTTTCACCACATTGCCCAGGCTAGTGTCGAACTCCCGAGCTCAACTGATCCACCCGCCTCAGCCTCCCAAAATGCTGGAGTTACAGGTGTGAGCCACCGCACCTGGCTTAGCTGCCACTTTAGATTCAAATAAAATATATAAATGTCCTCAGCATAGACTACCTTAAATACTGTATTCTATTCATCTTTGAAATGGAAGTAATAGCTTCCTCAACACCTGTCTTTTTTAAGAGCATTCTTGGGAGATTGGTAAGAAAGCCTATAGAAAAGTAGATAGTGGGAAGGAAGGAGGAACAGTGGTAGAGAGAAAGAGAACTCTGTGTGTGTGTGTGTGTGTGTGTGTGTGTGTGTGTGTGTGTGTGTGTGTATAGTTGTGTAATAGCAAAAGAGAAACAGACTGTCATGGGTATGTGCCTTTCCCACTGTGGAAATAAATGAAGACCACCCAGACCACCCAAATGAGAACAAGCAGAGGCCCTTCATTCAGAGCTTGCTACATAACAAGAGATTCAGCCACCATCACTGGTGTTTGGCAGAGACTCAATGGCAGGCAGAGGAGTAAGAAAACTTTATAATGAGAAAAAGGGAAGGTTACAAGTATGCTCTGATTTGAGCCTATTGGCATGGGAAGCTGGATGCAGCCTAACTAGAAGTGGGATGTTCTATGTGATTGGTTTGGGGAGCATATTTGGCTTTCTCTTCTTGGTCCTGAGTTGGAAGTGGTGGGAGTTGGTTGTGGGGAGGGCAAGGGAGGCAAAAATTAGGGAAGCTGGTGGTCATTCACTGCTTCCTGCCTGTTCTGGGTTGTTTGCTGCAGAGGTTGTGGTTTGGCTTCCTGCACACTGGTTGCTGCAGAGGTTGTAGATCAGGGTTCTATTGTCATATGTGATCTGGCCATTGTTTATTTGTATATGGCCTCTCACCTCTCCTCCACATTATCTCTCACACAAATGTACTAAAACCCAGTTTTAGGCCAGAGGTTGTATTTTTTCTTCACCTTCCACTACTTACTGTTTCTACCTCCTCCCTATTTCTTGCCACCAGTGTTTGACATGCAATCCCCCCAGCCTGGCTAGTCGGGTACCTTCATCTGACTATGTAAACACAATCCTCACATCATGGGCAGCTTACGCTTCATTTCTGTCATTAAGTTTCCTTGGGCAACATTTGCTTCAAGAAATTTTACTTTTCTTTAAACTCCTGCTTCATTTAGAATTTGTGCCACATCATTAAGCACTTGATTATAACATGTTTTTAACTGATTTTCATTAATTTGTATATGTTAATCTTATCTTCCCAACAAAATGATAAATTTGAAGCCTAGTATTACAGCATATGCTTTCTCTTATATTTCACAATAGTTTGCAGGGCTAAGTTCATGAAGTAAATGCTCAGTAGATAGTTGCTAATTGAATATTTTCTATACATAGTATTCAATTGAAGGGATAAAATAGAACTGACTCATAATTGTATCCACCACCATTCTGGGTAGTGATTTTACCTCTATTCATCCCAATTTTCTTTTTTAAAAATTGTATTTATTATTTTTTTAGATGGAGTCCTGCTCTGTCACCCAGGCTGGAGTGCAGTAGCATGATATCAGCTGACTGTAACCTCCGCCTCCTCGGTTGAAGTGATTCTCCTGCCTCGGCCTCACGAGTAGCTGAGATTACAGGTACCCACCACCACTCCTGGCTAATTTTTTTTTTTTTAGTTTTTTTAGTAGACATGGGTGTTTCACCCTGTTGGCCATGATGGTCTGGAACTCCTAATCTTAGGTGATCCACCCGCCTTGGCCTCCCAAAGTGTTGGGATTACAGGCTGAGCCACTGCACCCAGCCCTAATTTTCTTGAAATTGGAAGATTTTGCACATTAAAATTTCAGAACCCAAAAGGGTTTCTTTCACACCCAGTGAAAAGGAGGAAGGATTCCAGTGATTCTTTTTCAAATTTTAAACCCTGTATAGCAACAGCAAACCTTCTGAACATTCATGAGATGTATATTGGGTTTTCCAACAGAAAGAACATGGGGTCCTAGGGGTCAGAAGAAAATATGAAGGGTCAAATGGCTCCCTGAACATCCCTGGGAGCATCAGAGCAGTGGTGGAAGAAATGGGAATTCAGATGAAGAGCTATATAAACTGGACAGTTTCCTAATAAGAATTCACATGTTTTCTGAGAGGGCTTCACATAAATTAAGAATAGCAACTGGAATAGAATCAAAGAGAAGTTGTGAATATCTTTTCATCCAAAACCAAAACAAAGATATATATGGCACATATCTTAGTGTGTGAACAATCCAGTTATGTGTCTACATACGGGAGACTATTCATTGATGCAGCTTTATCTAGATGGGAGAGAACTAGTGATGTACTGGAGCAACTCATACCAGCCCATAGAAGCTAATTGTTCAGTTTTCAAAAGTTTTGCTAATTGTTAAAGCATTGGCAGCTTGAAATCAGCCATGTTGAGAATACTTACACCAGGAAAATTAGCAAACTCTACAACACAGTGCTTTTCATTTCAAAGCACACTAATGGCAGAAGAGTGGGATTACCTATCTCTCCTTCCATAGAGCACCATCAGGGAAGAGGGGGTGATGACCTGTCAAATTCTGTATCTTCCAATTTTCATAAAGAGTTCTTTAGAGTCAGAAGTATATGATATTAGAGTTGTATAAGACTTTAGAGGAACTAAAGTCCAGAAACAAGAAGTACCTTGCCCAAGGTATGTATCTTACCTGATCACATAGGAAGTCTGAAGAAACACCCAGATTTTCTTACCCTCACCCATTACTTTCAGGAAATGTAGTGTCTGATTATTCACAATGCTATACTCTCTTCCCTCCTTCCCCTCACATCAAGGAAAGCTCCTGCTGTTAAGGCCAGATCACTCTCTTTTGTCAGAGCCCAGCTCATAAAATGCTATTAAGTAAATTACTGATGACCTAATTCCCAGCTGCAGGACACATTCCATTAGAGGCAGGCTGCCTGCCAAGAAGTGTCAGCGATGACTGGATGGCAGGAGTGATTGAAACCATCCTGCCAGGGATGGCTGGGCCTCTGAGAGTGCAGTTCATGGTAGGGAGGAGGTGCTCCTATTCCCCAACATGAGTCCTGTGTCTTTTTCTGGGAACTGAATTCATCAGCCTCAAAAAGAACTTTCTCAAACTAACAAGGGTCACCACTGCAGAAACAACTGGAGGTAATACCTCCTCTATTACAGATGTCTAGAATAACAAGCAAATTTAACCACTATCATCTACGGCACAAACTTGCAAAAGCTGTCCACACCATTTTTTCTTTCTTGCTTGCTTTAATTGTCAGGCTGCCCATTCCTCCCACTTCTGTTCTATTTTCTTAAAGCACAACGAGTTCCTAGTTGACAGTATGGTGGAGAAGAGTAGAAACAGCATGGTCTATTTATTTTATTTTTAATTCACCTAGTATTCACAAATAAGAAACGGGTATTTGTAGAAAAAATATATCATATATAAAAAGTAGATAAGTCCCAGGCAGGCCATTTTTTAGCTGATATTTACTTATTGCAGATTCATACAAGGGTTAAATTAGATAAAACACTTTGCGTGCTGCTAATAAACAATATAAATGTAAAAATACAATTCTGTTAGACGTTAAAGTACAAATGGAATAGTATTTACATTTCAAAGGAACTTTGGGTTCAGTCAGCCTTTATAGGTATAAGAAATGATGTAACAGAACTATCACTGGACTAGCAGTAAGGAAACCTGGGCTCCAACCTTGCCTTTATCACAGTCTCTAAATGACTGTGATATTAGAAAAGTCACTCATTTCCTCCTGGCTCTTGCTTTCTCATCTGTGAAATGAAAAGGTTTCCATTTCAAATTAAAATGAGAGTAAACCAGAGGATCAATATGGTTTGGAACTGGGTCTGCACCCAAATCTCATGTCAAATTACAGTTCTCAGTGTTGCAGGTGGGGCCTTGTGGGAAGTGACTGGATCATGGGAGGGGATTTCCCCCTTGGTACTGTGTTGTGATAGTGAGTGTGTTCTCGTGAGATCTGGTTGTTTGAAAGTGTGTAGCACCTCCCCCCGACCTTGCTGTCTTCCTCCTTCTCCAGCCATATTAATAGGCTCACTCCCCCTTTGCCTTCCACCATGATTGTAAGCTTCCTGAGGCCTCCTCAGAAGCAGAAGCTGCTATGCTTCCCGTACAGCCTGTGGAACTCTGAGCCAATTAAACCTCTTCTCTTTATAAATCACCCAGTCTTAAGTATTTCTTTATAGCAGCATATCCATATGCTGATAGTGATATGGATAATGAAGTCCAGGCTAAGGAGGTCTCAGATGGAAATGAGAAACTTATTGGGAACTGGAGTAAAGATCACTTTTGATGTGCTTTAGCAAATAGCCTGGTTGCATTTTCCCCTTGCCCTAGGGATCTGTGGAACTTTGCACTTGAGAGTGATGATTTAGGGTATGTGGCAGAAGAAATTTCTAAGCAGCAAAGTGTTCGAGATGTGACCTGGCTAACAACCGATGCTTATATGTGTGAGCTAATAAGTGACCTAAAGTTGAAACTTACATTAAAAGGGAAGCAGAGCATAAAAGTTCAGAAAATTTGGAGCCTAGCCATGTGGTAGAAAAGAAAAGCCCATTTTCAGGGGAGGAATTTCCAGCAAGTTGCAGAAATTTGCATAAGTAAAATGGAACCAAGAACTAATAGCTAAGACTATGGGAAAAAGGCCACAAAGACATTTCGGAGACCTTCACAGCAGCCCCTCCTATAACATGCTCAGAGGCCTGGGAAGGAAGAATGGTTTCATAGGCCAGGCCCAGGGCCCTGTTGGCCTAGAAAGCCTCAGGATACTGCTCCCTGAATCCTAGCCACTCCAGCTCCAGCCATGGCTAAAAGGGGCCCAGGTATAGCTCAAGCTGCTGCTTCAGAGGGTGCAAGCCATAAGCCTTGGTGGCTTCCACGTGGTGTTAAGCCTGCAGGTGCTCAGAATGCAAGAGTTGAGGCTTTGGAGCCTCCACCTATATTTCAGAGGATGTATGGAAAAGTCTGGATGTCCAGGCAGAAACCTGCTGCAGTGGCAGAGTCCTCACAGAGAACCTCTGCTAGGTCAATACAGAGGGAAAATGTGGGAGTTGGAGCCCCCACACAGAGTCCCCACTACTGGAACTGTAAGACCCCAGACCCAGAATGGTAAATCCACCAGCAGCTTGCACCCTGAGCTTAGAAAAGCTGCACGCACTCAACAACAGCCCATGAGAGCAACTGCAGGGGCTGATCCCTGTAAAGCCACAGGGGTGGAGCTGTCCAAGGCCTTGGGAGCCCACCCCTTATACCAGTGTGTGCTGGATTTGGGATATGGAGTCAAGGAACATTATTTTGGAGCTTTAAAGTTTAATGACTGCCCTGCTGGGTTTCAGACTTGCATGGGGCCTGTAGTCCCCTTCTTCTGGCTCCCTTTTGGAGTGGGAGTATTCACCCAATGCCTACAACCACATTTTATCTTAGGAGTAACTAACTTGTTTTTGATTTTACATGCTCATAGGCGGAAGTGCCTAGCCTTGTCTCAGATGAGACTCTGAGCTGTGGACTTTTGACTTAACACTGGAAAGAGTTAAGATTTTGGGAGACTGTTGGGAAGGCATGATTGGATTTTGCACTGTGAGAAGGACATGAGATTTGGGAGGGGCCTGGGGCAGAATGATATAATTCAGATCTGTGTCCCCACCCAAATCTCACCCTAAGTTCCAACTTTAGATCATTTCTTAGCTCACACATATGAGCATAGGCTATTAGCCATGTCATATCTTGAACACTCTGCTGCTTAGAATTTCTTCTGCCACATACCCTAAATCATCACTCTCAAGGGCAAAGTTTCACAGATCCCTAGAGTAGGGGCACAATGCAGCCAGGCTCTTTGCTAAAGCATAGCAAAAGTGATCTCTACTCCAGTTCCCAATAAGTTCCTCATTTCCATATGAGACCTCCTCAGCCTGTACTTCATTGTCCATATCACTATCAGCATTTGGGTCACAACTATCAACAAGTCTCTAGGAAATTACAAATGTGGAGCTGTAATCCCCAATGTCAGAGGTAGAGCCTGGTGGGAGATAATTGGCTCATGGGAGCAGATTTCTGCCTTGGTACGTGTTGCCATAGTGAGAGAGTTCTCCTGAGATCTGGTTGTTTAAAAATGTGTGGCACCTGCCCCACCTCTCTTGCTTCCTTCTGCTCTGGTTGGGTGAAGTGCCTCACTCTCCCTTTGCCTTAAGTCATGATTGTAAGCTTCCTGAGGCCTATCCAGAAACAGAAGCTGCTATACCTCCTGTACAGCCTGTGGAACCATGAACCAATTAAACTTCTTTTCCTTATAAATTACCCAGTCTCAGGTATTTCTTTACAGCTGTGTGAGAATGGACTAATACAAGGATCCTAACCTCTTCAAGGGCTTAAGACGTCCTGTTCTATATCTTTTTTTCCCCTTAATGTCTTGTTTCACTACTTGTTTTTCCCCCTCCATCTTTTCTACTATTTATGACTCAATTTCTTTTTTATGTGTTTATTTTATCCCTTCTGTCTCTTCTTTAAGCTATTAGTGATGTCAAGTGGTCACTCCTCAAATTACTAAACTCATTTCTAGGAATTGCCATGCCATATTGACTATCATTACAAAAATGTACCATGCAAATACATTTGACTGTGTTCAGATGACTGAGGTGTCCACATGTCTATGGGTGTTTATTTGAAGTAAAGAAGCTAGAGGATTATATTCAGTTATCCAGAAACTTGGCAGAATGGCATTAAAGAAAGTAAATTAGGAGTCCAAAGATTCTGCAGTGAACCATGTGAGAAGAATGAAACAATAAAAATAAAATAATTTGACTCTTGGCTTTCTGCCCTTTTTCATTAAAAATTGCTAATATTCTGCTTCATTGCCAAAACTCTGGGAAGATGTTTTTTATTATACCTATATTCCTCAGCCAACTGAGAGTAGGGCCTTGAAAACAAGCCCTTCGTAACTAATATCTCAATGACACAGAAACTATGACTAGTTTGAGCACATGTGGCTTCTTTTTCCTGTCCTTTCTAGAAATAATTGCCCTCCTTTAATTTCATTTCTGCCTGATATCTTCCATCCAAAGGCCAAGACTTAGCCTTTGGCTTCTGTGTCCTTTAATGTATTCCTGAATATCTCCTAATTTTCTAATGAAAACTTGATAGTTCATGACCGAGCAACACGCACTAAGTTCAGACCATAAGTGTTACATATTTCAAAAATTTCTCCAACATTTGTGATGGAGCTGCCAATCATCTCTTAATTCCTATGTGCCATGACTCTGAAAATGAGCCCCAAATGGCACAAATACCTTCTTTATTTCAGCCCTGTCTCAACTACAAAATAATCTCAATGCCCTTCATATGCCTATGGTTCTCACTCAGCCTAAACCCAAATACATTTTAAAGCGTTCTTTCTCACAATTCTACCTTCTGGGTTTATTTTTAAATGAAACCATTAAAGCTTGAACCTCTAATATCAAAATAAAATGGGTTAGGCAAGTGGTAAAAATGGAATAGAAGCCAAGCCAGAGTTTCCTATAAGTTGCAGCAATAGCAATACGTCATCAGAGAGGGAAAAAATAGGAAAATTAGCTTGCTCTGTCACTTGACAATTTTACAGAACTGGAATTTTATATGGAATAGGCATTTGGGTTAAACTTTTTCTATTCTACCCCTGCAGAACTTTTCCCTGCGCTTCTCTCCTCTGCATCTATTATAAAAGTCTAGACCTCAGAGGCAACTAATATAAACTGCTTTCCCCTCCTCCTTGTATCTAATTAATTTCACCTTCCTTGGAGTTCCCATGGTATATATTACCTGCTGCCAGGCACCATGAGTCATTTGTGAACATATCCGCCTCCCCAGCCAGAATGTATGCACCTTGAAGGCAAAGAACATCTCACTCATTTTGCATACACTTGGCTCGAAGTAGTCCTCTGAAAGTGTTTATTAAATTGAATTGCTTTCACTTTGTAAGATTAGCAGGCACTTTGATTAATGGCTTTTTCTTTTTTTCAAAGACTTCCTTTTTTGGTGCAAACTCCACGTGACCCGCAGTTATCTAGGGCAGTAAGTAATGTTCAAGTGATTATAGCAGAAAGCTAAGATTCCACCAGCGCTCTGGGAGTTGCAGGGGAGATCAGCAGAATCACATGCTTAATATTTTAAAGAAGTGGCATGGTCCTTTCATGGAGGTTTCTGCCATCGATCCCTTCCAAGGATTCAGTCACTCAGCCACATTTAACATTCACTAGGTCAGACCTTTATTCAAGCTGACGTCATCTGAACCCTCGTGCAATTCAATCATAGCATACATTCTGCCCAACCTCCTCCTACTCCTCCCCCAGCCTCTTGCTAGGGTGTCAGCCAATAAACAGCAGTTAATCCAGACCCCAGAACTTTTCGAATCCGTCTTTCCAGAGCTTCTATTTAGTTATGCTGCAGGGGAAAGGGTCGAGAGTGAAAGATAGAGGCGTGGCCCCTCCCATAGCAGCAATGAATCTTTAAGACTTGAGTCTCTGGGCAAAGAGAGAACTCTCCCTTTCTTCTTGGAAATGAAATCGAGCAGCACTATCAGCCAGGGGCCAGCCACATGAAAAGGGATTCCTAGTTGCCTGTCCCTTACTCCCGGATGTCAGAAAGAAGTCGGATATTTCTCACGCAAGAAATAAACACCCCTCTGCCCGCTGCTGCTTCCTCTGATTTCTCCGCGAGCATGAGATGACTGAGTAACGCAGCTGGATTTTTCTAGTCCCCAGAGTTCAACACCCGCCCGCTCACCTCTACCATCCTCTCTTCTGTTCCCTTCCTCTTTTACTTCCCCTTCCCCCACTTTCCCTCATTTAAATACAAACGCTTAGGTTTCCCTGCGCTCCGGAGCCGCCATTGACATCAAGCAGGGTCTCCATAGAAACCAGGAGGCGCGCAGCGGGCTTCTGCAGCCCCAGCCCAGGATTCCCAGGCAGAGGTGTGGCTCGGTCCAGAGGAGCTGCGGGGAGACCTTCTCCTTATTAATATGAACCTGGGGAGGAGGAGAGAGCGTTTAGGCAGAGAGGGCACGCGACGAGGTAGAAACAGAAGGGGCTAAGGGAACAGATTATCTATTAAAAATGTTTGGTTTTAGCCTAGGAACATTCAGAGGAGAAGTAGTCCAAGACACCCCAGGGTCAGGGTCTTCCTCCTCTCAATTTTTCATGTACTCAACAGATCTCAGCTTAATGTGGAGATTATTTGGGGGAGCCAGTTTCCAGTGTTTAGTTGCAACGAAGCAGCTGCCACGCCCTGGACTGCATGCAGCAAAACATTCTTCCTGAAAGCACTTAAAACGGGCAAGAGAACCACACCTTTGCACTCGTCTTTTTTTCCTAGCCATTTTACATGTTACCTCATTTTATCCTCACGAAGGTGGCGTTATGAACCCCATTTCATAGACAAGGATGCGCATGAGACGGTGGTTTATAGTTATTCTGTCCATAGCCTTACACCTAATGTCTTGAAGAAAACTCTGCACCTCCAGAGTAAGAGAGTCTTTATTTTCCCTTCTCATCCTCATTCTTCTTTGGCGGTCACTCCTCTGACCTTCTCCCATCTTTCTCCTCTCAAGCATGGTCATAAAAAAATTCTTCTGAAAGTACATCATAAGGCCCCATTCCAGAAGAGGGGTCTTGCCCTATTCCTGGAAGCAAAGAAGAATTTGAATAAACAGGACTTGCTGAATTCCCCCCATTTTATTACCACTAGAACATAGGTTTTTGTTCTCCAATCACACTTCTGTATGGCTGTCCATAAAAATACCCAGTTTTCCCTGGGGTCTTTGGGTCTTCATTTATGATGCCTGCCATGCCACATAAAACTTTGGTTAAATAAATTTGTTATGCTTTTCTCTTGTTAATCTGTCTTCGTTATAGGAGTGTCAGCTGTGACCCTTTGATGGGTAGAGAAAAGATATTACTTGCTGTCCCTTACAGTTTTTTTGCTTCACATATTAAAGATTCTTGTACTAGTTTCCTGTTGGTGCTATAGTAAATTATCACAAAGTTTTTGGCTGAAAACAACACAAATTTATCTTTATCTCACAGTTCTGAAAGGATGTCAGAAGTCTCACTGGTCTAAAACCAAGGTGTCTGCAGTGCTGTGTTCCTTTTGGATGCTCTAAGATAAGAATCAGTTTCTTGCCTTTTCTGGCTCTTGGGAGCTGCTGGCATTTCTTGGCTCACAGCACCCTTTCTTCTTCAAAACCAGCAATAGCATCCCTCCAGCCTCTGTTGTCACATTTCCTTCTCTGGTCCTGACCCTCCAGCCTCCTTCTTTAAAGGATCTTTGTGATTACACAGGGCACACCTGGATAATCCAAGGATAATCTCTCCATCTCAAAATCCTTAATTTAATCACAGTTGCAAAGTACTATTTGCCATCAAAGATACTATATTTACAGTTCCAGGGGATTAGGAAAGAAGGAATTATTCTTCCTACCACAAACCTCATGTCTTTTATCATCTTAAAAATAATGACACTTTAAAAATCTTTGTCTCTCCTAAATTGTAAATCAATTTGTCTCTTTCCTAATACAGTCAAGTGTTTTTTTTGTTGTTGTTGTTGTTTATAAACAAACAAAAAAAATCCATTCTCACTATGTCTATTTCCTTAACTACCATTTATTTCCTTACTGTTAATTAGCTCCCCACTATAATTTACTTCTCTCTCCATGGTATAAAAACTCTTCTGTCAAAATTCAAAATTACTTTCAAATTGCCAATTTCATAGACATTTACTAGTCCCTTCTTACTCTACTTGTTAGTAGCCTTTGACTTTAACATTTTCTTTTTTATGAAATTCTCTCTTTTCTTGGATTCCGAGACAATACTCCTATTTACTGTCCCCCACTGCCCTCTCCACACCCACCCACCCCCCCAGCCCCACCAACTCTCTTCTTAAATCTTTGACTTCTACTCAATCCTTTTTGTGGACTTCTCTTCATCTTCCTGTCCTTAAACATGAATGTTTTCTACAGTATTGCTACTCAAAGTGTGGTCTGCATACTTGCAGAATCAACATCACCTGGAAGCTTGCTGGAAATTATGATGATTAGACCCCACTCCAGGGCTACTAAATCAGAACTTGTATTTTTACAGGATCCTCAGGTGACTTGCACACACACTAAAGCTTGCGAAACACCGGTCTTGAATTTCATACTTGATCCTTTAATATACTCCCTGAAAGATCTGATCTACCATTCCATCTCTGGCCATAAGCCTCAAATTTATGTCTTCAGCCTATATAACCTTTTCAGATTTAACTCATATATTGAGCTATCCATCAGACATCTTTCTCTAGATGTTCCAAAAGCACTTCGAATTCACCCTATTCAAAATGAGCTCATCATCTCCAACTGCCAATGTTCTATTTTAGTAAACAACATCTTTTTCACCTAAATATCCAAGCCAGGACATTAAAAACCCCTTCGTTTCTTCATTCCCACATCCTCACAATCATCTTGCCATGTTAATTTTCAGAAATATCTTCTCTCATCTTCAACCATCGCCAGTGATCTACGTCATAGTGGTATCATCTATCACCTCTGAATTGGTGTCTTTTTCTGTGATAATACAAGAGCCTCTTGACTACTACCACTCCCAAGTGTTTGAAAGATTCCTAAAACACACACACACACACACACACACGCACACACACACACATCATTTGATCCAAGCAGTCCCTGGTTTTAAAACTTTGCTATCATGTGCAGAATAATGTTCCAGCTCTTCAGCATGGTGACAAAGGCTCCCTTGATTTGGCCCCTAACTCTCTTTCTCACCAGCAGCCCCCTTCCCACATACATATTCTGAACTGTATGCATTATTTGTACCACATAACTTTATACTTCTCCAGCCTGTGTAATTCCTGCTACTTGACACAAGCTCCCAAACACTTTGCAACTGATAAATTCTTACAAAATCCTTCAAAACTGACGTACCATATCTTTTTCTGAGTTAATCTCTGCTTCTTCTCATAGAAAGGAGTATTCACTCTTTTATACATACTACACTTCTTTATAAATACGTACATATACTTCTCTGTTGGTTACAACACTTAGAGCAATGTTTTGAAACTGTAACTACATGTTTCCTTGTCTACAAAAAAAGTTCACTGAGATGGTGATTTTTTGTTTCTTATCTTTACCACTTTGCATAATGCTTAGCACATAATAGGCACTCAGTAAATGTTTTATGAATTAATGAATAAAATCAGTTAATCAATCAATCAAACAGCAGCCCTTGGGTCTCAGATTACACAGGCATGAAAGTAAGAACCCTGAACCCACTCACCCCACTCAGCTTTCCACTAGCAACTTAAAATGAAAGAGAGCCTCAAGCCAGTGCTTTAAAGAGTGCCTGGATATCGAAATAAATTCCACTGTGTAATGATACTTTCTCTGGTTGTTGGATTTTCTCTTAAATTAGCTGGAAGACTAAAGGACATAAATATAAATGAGTGCTGCAACGTGATTATAATTCAGCACCTTGATTTTACATATAAACATGTTTAAAATGTAAGAATATGCACAATTTATAGTTACGTGCTTTTAAGAAAGTGGTGGGTGGGTTTCTTGTGATTCAGCATCCTAACCACTGGTTGCCTGTACACACTCAGGAAGGTGTGGCTTTCTGCGTAAATAAAGAGGCCCATCACTACAGCTATTTCTCTGAAGCAGAGTACACCCTGGTCTATGAAGCCCCCATAGGAACTACTGAGACTCACTGAGAAAAGTGTTTTTCCTCCCATGTCTGGACAAGGCAGTTCTTGGTTTCCGTGAGGAGCTTCAGGCTGCCATGGCAACTCCCAGTCCTTTCTTTACTCTTTATGTGTGCTATTCTACCAGGAGAGGTAGAAAGCTGTAATCTTTTCCACTTCCCTTTTGCTCCTCCCCTTTCTTCTGTACTTGGTCTAGGATGGCAAGAGGTTAACACTAAATTCTGCTTGTGATTGTTCATTCCTTGTGAGTCTGTGTCTGTGCAAACTGCAGTGATAGAGACAAAAACCACCTGGATTCTAGTTTTTTCTCTAGAATGATGATGTGAACTCTTAATCAGAAGAACACACAGTTCTAGCCCCAGCTCTTCTAGTCAAAATGGAGAATGGGAGAAAAGGGGTTTAGGCTATGGTGGAGAGAAACTAACTGGGTAAACGCCAAGGATTAGGATGAGCTTACTGGTATGCATAATCCATTTCAATTCAAAATTGGGGGGGTCATAGAAGACCCTAGAGCAGAAGTTCTCAAACAGGTCTGCATGTTAGGACCTACATCACAGACTTTTAGAAACACAGATACCCTGCTCCAGAATGCACTAGATCCAAACAGGAGGTGACCCCATATGATCAGCACCAGAAAAAAACAGAACAAAGAAATAAAGAATGAAATTCTTGAGGGATAAAAAACAAATCAAAGGCTGGTTGGAAAAATTGACGTAGGATGTCAGGACAGAGAAAAAGGGAGTGGATTGTTTTATCAATATCTTGAAATCAAGGTCTAAGACGTCAAATGTAGAATAAAAAAATGAACGAGGCCCTCAAACTGAGTTAGGATGTCACTATCAATATTGTACATACCACATACCCCAATCCTTAGGCTTAGTTGTTCCTCTCTCTAATGCTGCAGTGTTTTTAATTGTATTATATAATGTGCTACTTTTTGAATTGTAATTTGCTCATTTATTTGTTTTAATCACAAGGGGCTAATGCTTCTTTACAAAGAGTAGGTTGTCAAAAAGAAAAGGTTGAATGAGATATTTAATAATCAATGCTTTTGGTGTTGTACTTGATAGTGTGGCAACAACTGAAGGTCAAAAGTCAAAAATATTTACAGAGAACGAAAAAATCCCAACCCTAATCCTTGACATGTAAGAATGAAATGCTTCTACACATTCTTGTTAAAACCAACATGCCCACTTCTGGAAGATACTGACTAGATTTGGGTTACTGTTTTGGAGACCTGAAGTCAATGTTAACTTTCTTTCATTCTATCAAGAATGTCAGTAGTAACTAGAGGTATCAATGAGTTGATCATTTTATAGTAAATAATGTGCCATCATTTTTCCAATTTTAAATTCATTCAGTCATTAAACAAACATTTTGTTTGAGCAAGGAACTGTGCTAAACATTTGAGAATAAAGTGATAATTGTGTTTGTGTGTGTTGTGGATAGATTGTGATTTTATAACCTTTTTAAAATGAGGAACTATCATGCATGATACAAGTAAACATGAGTATTTACAGATATTAATTTACAACATATATACCTTACAGGAGGTGGTATATGTCAAGTACCGTGAAGGATCCATGATTTTGCCCTACTTGCAAGATAATATGTCAGTCTGCATAGTTTTATGGATGCTGACAGAAGATATGAAACTCCTGGTTCAGAGAGAAAGGACTTTATTACTAACAGCACAGCAGTAGCATGAGATTCATGTTTGTGTCAGCTCTCCATGTCCTCTAAGACTCCCAAAGGTGACATAGGTAGCTGACAAAATCTGAGCTTATGAAACCACAATTCTTTTTATAGTGGGCGGCAAGCAAATCTACCCAATCTTTGACCTAGACGGAGGCTGTATTAGTTTGTTCTCATGCTGCCAATAAAGACATACCTGAGACTGGTAATTTATACAAAAAAAGAGGTTTAATGGACTCACAGTTCTACATGGCTGGGGAGGCCTTACAATCATGGCAGCAGGCAAAGGAGGAGAAAGATACATCTTACATGGTAGCAGGCAAGAGAGCTTGTGCAGGAGAATTGCCCTTTGTAAAACCATCAAATCTCGTGAGACTTATTCACTACCACAAGAACAGTATGGGGGAAACCACCCCCATGATCCAATGATCTCCACCTGGTCCCATCCTTGACATGTGGGGATTATTACAATTCAAGGTGAAATTTGGGTGGAGACACAATCATACCATATTATTCTGCACCTGGCCCCTCCCAAATCTCATGTCCTCACATTTCAAAACCAATCATGCCTTCCCAAAAGTTCCCCAAAGTCTTAACTCATTTCAGTATTAACTAAAAGGCCACAGCCCAGCCTCATCTTAGACAAGGCAAGTCCCTTCTGCCTATGAGCCTGTAAAATTGAAAACAAGTTAGTTACTTCCTAGATACAATGGGGGTACAGGCACTGGGTAAATACAGCCATTCCAAATGGGAGAAATTGGCCAAAACAAGGGGTTACAGGTGCCATGCAAATCCGAAATCTAATAGGGCAGTCATTAAACCTTAAAGTTCCAAAATGATCTCCTTTGACCCCATGTCTCATATCCAGGTCATGCTGATGCAAGAGGTAGGCTCCCACAACCTTGGGCAGCTCCACCCTTATGGCTTTTCAGTGTACCCCCTCCACATTCCCCCCTTCCTGGCTGCTTTCACAGGTTGGCATTGAGTGCCTATAGCTTTTCCAGGTGCATGGTGCTAGCTGTCAGTGGATCAAACATTCTGGGGTCTGGAGGATGGTGGCCCTATTCTCACAGCTCTACTAGTCAGTGCCTCAGTGGGGACTCTGTGTGTGGGCTCCAACCCCATATTTCCCTTCTGCACTGCCCTAGTAGATGTTCTCCCTAAGTGCTCCACCCCTGCAGCACACCTCTGCCTGGATATCCAGGTGCTTCTATATATCCTCTAAAATCTAGGGGGAGGTTCCGAAACCTCAATTCTTGTCTTCTGCACACTCACAGAACCCACACCACATAGAAGCTGCCAAGGGTTGAGGCTTGCACCCTCTGAAGACATGGCTTGAGTTGTATGTTGGCCCCATTTAGGTATGGCTGGAGCAGCCGGGATGCAGAGCACCAAGTCTCAAGGCTGCACATAGCAGGGGGGCCCTGGACCCAGCCCAGGAAACCATTTTTTCCTCCTAGGCCTCTGTGCCTGTGATGGGAGGGCCTGCTGTGGAGGTCTCTGACATGTCCAGGAGACATTTTTCCCATTGTCTTGGTGATTAAAATTTGGTTCCTTGTTGCTTCTGCAAATTTCTGCAGCCAGCTTGAATTTCTCCCCAGAAAATGGGTTTTTCTTTTCTACTGCATCATCAGGCTGCAAGTTTTTGAAACTTTTATGCTCTGCTTCCTCTTGAATGCTTTGCTGCTTAGAAATTTCTTCTGCCAGATACCCTAAATCATCACTCTCAGGTTCAAAGTTCCACACATCTCTAGGGCAGGGGCAAAATGCTACCAGTCGCTTTGCATAGCAAGAGTCACCTTTACTCCAGTACCCAACAAGTTCTTCATCTTCACCTGAGACTACCTCAGCCTGGACTTTGTATTCCATATAATCATCAGCATTTTGGTCAAAGCCATTCAACAAGTCTCTAGGAAGTCCCAAGCTTTCCTACATCTTCCTGTCTTCTGAGTTCTCCAAGTCTGTAAGAAGTTCCAAACTTTCCCACATTTTCCTGTCTTCTTCTAGCCCTCCAAACTGTTCCAACCTCTGCCTGTTACTCAGTTCCAAATTCACTTCCACATTTTGGGGTATCTTTACAGCAGCACCCCACTCTACCAGTACCAACTTACTATATTAGTCTGTTTTCATGCTGCTATAAAGACATACATGAGACTGAGTAATTTATAAAGAACAAGGGGTTTAATGGACTCACAGTTCCACATGGCTGGGGAGGCCTCAGAATCATGGCGGAATGCAAAGGAGGAGAAAGGCACATCTTACATGGTTGCAGGCAGGAGAGCTTGTGCAGGGAAATGCTCCCTTATAAAACCAGCAGATCTCATAAGACTAATTCACTACCATGAGAATAGTATAAGGGAAACCACTGCCATGATTCAATTATCTCCACCTGGCCCTGCCCTTGACACATGGAAATTATTACAATTCAAGGTGAGATTTGGGTGGGGACACAGCCAAACCATGTCAGAGGTATCATTTTTATTATAATGGACAGCAAACAATTTTGTTCTTTGCTCTGGAGCATGACAGTATATTTTCCAAGGCTGTCTGCTATATAAACATCCTTGAAAAAGATAGTCTAGAACAAAAATCTGTGAGTTCTGCTCTCAGGATGTGCAGAAACTCAAAGGATTCATGGATAACTGTTTTCCAATAGTATAATGATACAGTATAGTGTTTACTTTGATGTATAAAGAAGAGGACAATTAAAAGGAAGAGTAAATTGAGAAAAAAAGATACCAAAAAATAAACACAGCTAAAATAAAAAATCCTATGTCTAATTAGGCAAGAGCAGGAGCTACAGAAATGCAGGTAGAACAGTTGACCTATGCTTAAATCATGGTGAGAAAATAACTCAAAAGCTTTCTGTGGGAAACAGAAAGTATAAGAAACTTTTTAGAGAATATAGAGGTTATCTGAAAGGGCATCTTCCGGTTGCAGTGGCAGCTTGAAAGGACATTATTCCTTCTAAAATTATGTTTCTAAGAAATAGTACCTAGCAAATCTGTAATGAATTAGGGTAAAGGTAAAAAGAAAATCGAAGTTTATCTATGTGGCTATTACAAAGATATAGTCTAAAGCTACTATTCTCTACTTGTAACGTGCTGACTTACAGAAAATGGGGGTGGTGGATGGTCACCACTGTCCAGCTTTTTGGAGAAATTTCAAACTGGATCCTTTTAATCCTACCCAGTTTGAGGAGCTTGAGACTTTCCCTTTCATGTCCTCATAGCCCTTCTGTTTGAGGGGCTAATGGGTGTCCTAAGGTATTGAAAGTGGGGAGGAATTATTATATGAGGGTAATTATAGTTGTATCAAATAACTGAAAAACCTTAGGGGATTAAAGTTCATTTGTCATTCACAAAATCCATTTCTAATGCCCCTAGTCAGGTGATATTTTAGTCAGTTTTGCTGCATTCATATAGAAACCCCAAATCCTAGTGCTTACAACAATAGTCCACATTATATAGTGGTGGCTGCAGATGTTTTGTCTCTGCTTGATTCCATTTGGCTCTACTCCAAGTGTTTTTTTATTCCTGGGTCCAGGATAAAGAAGAAATCTCTCTGTGGGATGTACCATTTTCATAGCAGGAGGCAGAAGCAAAAGAACTGGCAGAATTTCAAAGTGCCTCCCAAAGCTTCTGGAAGGTGGTAGCATGTATCATGTATGCTCACATCGCATTAGCTCAAGCACATCGCACAGTTGAGCTTGACATCAATAGGCAGGGGTTCTTCCAGTGAAGTGAATATACCTGTGAGTTATAATATAACTTATGATGGATTGTTGTCTTGGAAAACATTTCTTCAAACTGTCACCCAGGGATCTTTCCTCCATCTTAGGGTAAAACCATTGTTTAGGGTCTCTCTGAGAAAAAGATAAAAGTAGTGAGTAGGAAACCTTCGAGAATACAATAGACATGAGCTGTGTGTTTGGGGGGAAGGGAGGTCCAAATCCAAAAGGAAGTTCAAAAAAATATATATGAAAAGAGAGAAGAGGTACCAGTCAAAACATGGCTTAGCAATTGCTGACCATTACCATGGTACGCTGAGGGTTGGGTCACTCAGGACACTCAGGGCAATCTTTCTAAACACTAGACAGGGAGGAGGCAACTGCAATATGTTTTTCTGTTTCTAACAGTTCACTAGCTATCCCAGGCAAGATTGAGTTCCTTTTCCTTGACTCAAGTTGTTCAGCTGGGATCTCTAGATGAAACCCATCCTTCTGGTTCCCTCAACTGCACAGGCAGGTACACCTATTTCCTTTACTCTGTAATCCTGACTGGTTCTGCTTTTAAATGAACTTTTATCTTTATATTTATTAAATGGCCAGAGTTGCCACAGTAGAATTAGAAAAGTAAGGAAAGGCAGTAAGCCAGAGAATTATCATTTTTGAAGAAAGAATTTCTCATTTATTTTTAGGTAGAAGCAATAGAAAAAGCTAAACTGACAGCAAGTGATTGGCAGAAGGCACCTGGGGAAGCTGTCAGTCTTTTAGAGGTTACTCTTTCTCTGAACTGGAATTCTACATCCTAACTCATCATATGGGTAAATAAGAGGAGTGTGTATCTATATTAAGATTCAAATATGGAACAGGATCTTGAGGAAATTATTTACTCACGGGAGTCCCAGTTTTATTTGTTCCCCAGTCCCTAACTAACTTCCAGCTTCCCATGATTATACTCCAAACATACAGAGGTTCATTATTCATCTATTTATTTGTTTATTAACCTCATTTCAACATCCCAGCTTTGAATTGAGAGCCCAAAGCTGTTTAAATAGCCCCATTATGCTAGTAAAATCCTAGTGCTTTCAGGAACCACAGGGAAGGCTACATGCAATTGGACCTGGCACTTTAATTGAAATTACTTGCGTGCATCAATGAATAAAAGAACGCCATGGTGACTAAAAGCATTGCTCATCATGTTCCCTCAATTCTTTATACCTTTTCTCCAAAAAACTACTCTGTCGATTCTTTGACTATTTAAATGTCATTGTTATTCTAGCCACAAATGAGTTTTTGACATTCTGAATAAACAGTTGGCTTGCATGGTCCAAATGGGAGGAGGAATGTCAAGAAGATGCTCCTGAGAGTGACAGAGAGCATGGAAGGACATGGTACGTGAGACCATCTGAGTCAATTCTGTGAAAGGGTTGGAAGCAGCAGCTTTATCTCTACTGTAATGGATAAACTCCAGATCTCGGTGGCTTTATAGAAGGGCATAAAATCCAAATGGCTGCAGGGGAGGGACCCTCTTGTTTGGTAGACTGCCTTATGAGTAGTTCATATAAGGGGACTTAGACTCTATCTGTCTTGGGGCACTTTCCTTCTCCAGAGTCTCAGATTCCTCCCCATTCAGTCTATGGACAAGGAAAGAGACAGTAGGGGATCCTGATTCAGGCCTGGAAATGGCATCAATCACTTCTTCCCATATTCCGTTGGCCACAACTCACTGCACGACCCCACCTAACTGGAGGCAGGGGATGGCTGGGAAACATGATTTAGGTGAATGCTCAAAATAAACAGGATAGGAATGTAATGAACAGGACAGTTTTTGCAACCAGTTAGTCCTAAAATTAAGAATGCAATTAAAGCGTTCTTACCTTGGTTCTTCAGTGTTTACAAATTATTGCTGAACACCTTTTCCTCCATCTTTGTGGGTAAAGCTGCTGCCTGAGAAGATTCTACAGTGCTTACAGACCCCTGAGGGCCAGGTCTCCCTCCTACTCACTCACCCCTGTCCCCTGCCCCACATGGTAAAGGTACTGCTGATGACAGTAAAGTGTTTCCTTGAGTGGGTGAGGGGCAGGCAACCTTCTATAAAATGTTGCTTGGGCCTCTGAATTTATAATAGTACCACTGTCCACTTTTCCAGCTTCATCCACTTCTATGGTATTCCAGAGCTAATTTCTTTCTGTTTTCTTAGCCTACAGTGTAAGCTTATTTTGAATACCAGTGCCCATCCTCAGGATTTCCTGACACTCTATGAGCAAGACTGCATGTCCATTTGAGGATATAAAATAGGTTTAAAAATAGTCTTTCTGTCCCCACGTATAACTTTTAAGAGAATAAATATAGGGATATTCTTGTGTGAGATAAAATTGATGCTTATCCCCTGCCCCAAGCTTCCCCCTCATTTTTAATTACTTCCTTCCTCCCACTGTTTTCCAGACTATCTGAATTGTATCAGTCTCAGGCATATGGGAAAGTGGGTACCACCGGATGGCTATTGTCAGTCAGGAAATAGCTACCATTCAAACACTGTTTGCTAATGATGATATTTGATGTGATAAAGTGGATGTGAATATTAAATTTGAACCATCTAGGCACCATCTCAGATTTTAAAAGCAGGCATGAGAACTGACAGCTTTGAATAAACCTCTTTCTTTCTATTTTCTGTGATTCTGACATATTCACATTCCACTAAATAAGAGTGAACACCACTACCCACCCACTCACCAGGCGTTCACTTTATATATAGCTATAGATACTCAATGCAAAACAAAGAATAAATGGATTCACGTAACATAGCGTTTGTGGTGGGGTTTTGAGGAAAGCAGGGGCTTAAATTTCTGTATTTAATTTTTGGTCCTGGTCTTGGTTCTACAAAGTTATCTTAGTTAAGGCACTATACATGCTTGTATCTAGGCTACTTGTGCATTCATTCATTTACTCATGCATTCAATATTTATTGTTTATTTTGTGAATACCTAGGACTATGCTAACTTCTAGGGATACGAAGTGGAATGATCTTGTTTTTGCATAAGGAGCTTCATGGGTACTATTATAGAAGCATACAATAGTAATTGTAATGTCTGGGGAAGGAGGAGAGTGCTGAGTGTTTGCAGCCCTGAATGGTCTTTAAAGATGTGGTATTTTCCAGACAGCAGACTTTATCTTACATATCTTTGTACTGAGTGCTCATCCTGGTCTGGCTACATTGTTTGGGAAACTACAAATGTGATGAGACCTAAGGCTGCAGAGGTTGTTAGGTTTTCAATTTTAGAAGGCCTTATATATTGTGTATGGATTTTGGCCTTCATATCTGAAGATTTTGTGAGTAGAGAATCATAGGATGGGTTTCTCAGAACTCCTTTCATACTCACTGTCATGGCGGGGAACACAAAAGAATTACATAGATTCAGAGGTTATGTCAGTATTTGGCAACTCTTTCATTTGTTCACTCTTGGGTCCTTAATTTATAAAATGAGACATTTCACATAGTCAGGGTTATTCATGTCTATTTGTGTTCTCTGTCTGAACACATTCCACATTTTAATCATGGTGAGAGAAAACATTACGCTTGGCTGAAAGTTCTATTATTCATTTCTTTTCACTCCTTGGGTATTGTGAAGTCTCTGAAATCAAAGCTATTGGCACTTAATTTGAGACATCTGGGAAGTATAACCCCCTAGAAAAGAGATGGGATGTCATGGCATGTGCCTTGGATTCTCTGCAGACATCAAAACGTAGAACATGAAAAGGGAAGACGTGGAAGGCCTTCATTTTGCATGCTTCCAAGGGCAGGGGCTTAGCATTCTAAACACGTTGCACTTGGTCCAACCACAGTGGGACTCCCTGCTTGCTTTCAAGTTCTGGTTATAACCTACTGACTTCAACCACTGACCACCAACCACTCTCATCTCAAGAAATTCTGGCTCAATAGTCACCTAATTCTGGCCTAGGTAAGTTAGTCTTTAGGATGCATTTGTTTTCCACACAATGTCTGGAATACAGTGATTTGTTGTCACCCACTAAGAATGCCCACTGCCTTTTCCTTGCCCTGCTACCTCTACTCAGAGGCCCCAGTAGTCCTGGAAAAAATTAAAGCTTACAAGACAGCCTAGCATGGATCTCTTTTCCTTGCTGTCTGGGAAAGGTCCATGATCTGCTCTCAAACCCCCAAGTCCTCCAGTGATATTGGGCCTGGAGGACCTTCCTTGTCACCCTCCCACTATAGGTGTTCTGAACCACGCCAGTGAGAACTGGCTGGGTTGGTTTCCTCTCAGAGGATATCAGAATCCACTGACCTCAGCAGCTATCTAACAGCCTGTAGCCAAGTACACCAGCAGCTGACTCCAAGAGAGCCTATGTTATCTGTGCTCAAGGCCTTTTCAGCTCTTGTTGTACTTTTCTTTCACACCACTTCCTGTGGATAGGTGGGCAGAAGGAAATATTTTGCAGGAAATAGCCACATTTTATTCTTTTCCCTTTCCTTGAGCAGTCTTTAACAATTTGGGGGACTGTTTAGTTTTTAAGAGTTCATTTAGAATGGAAAGTTCACTGAGAAACCCCA
Source organism: Homo sapiens (assembly GCF_000001405.40). Classification (NCBI taxonomy): domain Eukaryota; kingdom Metazoa; phylum Chordata; class Mammalia; order Primates; family Hominidae; genus Homo; species Homo sapiens. The sequence goes on along the minus strand of NC_000003.12, from coordinate 115,498,842 downwards.
GCCCACGTTAATCCCAGGTAGAATAATTAACAATTCCTATGTTTAAAGCTCCTTGCACTAGTATTCTCTGAGCCAGTTCTCCAGTGCAGAGTATATGCAGGTCAGCTCTTACTAACCTCACAGACATTCTGGAGGGTGGCTTATCCAGCTTTTCAGTTCTCTTCTTGTCCAAAGATTTGCTCAACAATGCTTAGGCATTAAGACCAAAGACCAGAATGTTAATTCAGTTTGGGAAAGTTGATGACCTCAACCCCTGAGAGTGGGAGGCTGACGGCTCTGAGAGATGTCATTTGCCTTCAGCATTTCTTAAGCTCATGAATCTGGTATTTTTGAAGCATTATAATGCAATTCCCTAGTTAAGGTTTACATGCTCCCTCACTAGCACCAGAAAAGCACTCCCCCTCACCAAATCTTAACTTGCTACTTGCAATAGGGTCCTTCTCCCTAACTATATTTACTATGTCATCCAAGGGCTAGAGCTCTCCCTTCAAAAATGAGGTCATCCTTTTTTAAGATGGATGAAGAGGGATGGATTTGTGGATTATGTTTCATGGCCCTCTTAGGAAAATCAATTAGGGTCAACAGACTGGGTTACCTTATAAAAATTACATCAAAATCACTATCCCGCTCATATGTTAGCCACCACAAGAAACATATTTCTTGCATGATTCTAATTCCAACCTTATGATGCCTGCTATCTTCTAGTCTTAATTATAAATTGAAGATTTCCCTGACATCCAAAGCACCTAGGAAGAGTTTCTTTCTGTCCTCCTAAACCATTCTGTTGACAATAGAGTCTTATATAGTATTAAGAGTGGTGTTGGAAAAAATACTTTGTTCTAGTCTATCTGTGCTAGTATGCCTGTGATGTAACTTAAGCCTCAGCCAGACTGACATGTTAATATTATCATGAATGGTGGCTACATACAATAACAGTATCCGTCCCCTACTGGCCCAGCTCAGTCTCTTCACAGCTATTCCCAAGCCAAAACTCCTTGCAAATTCCTTGATTGGTATCCAGGGGCTGTTATTGGAGTATGGCTGTCCCGGATGACTCTGCAAAGAAAAGTTCTGGGTGCAGATGAAGAGACAGGTCCACTCTTTTAAGGACCAGATAATTGAAGTACTCAAGTCCTAAGTGAAGGCAACCTGAAAGTGCCTCCCATAAGAAGACAGTCTTTTACTGGAAAGAATTCTAATTCAACAAGTTTCCTAGGGGTTTCCACAGTGCCTTTCACAGCAACTCAGCCACTTCAAGGCTCTTCTATCCCTTTTTATCAATGTTTATGTATGTTCTCAACAAATAATGATTGAACACCCAGTATATGGAAGACATCATTCTAGGCCAGTGGTTCTCAAACATTAACTTGCACCAGAATTGCCTGGGGGGCTTCTTAAAACACAAATTGCCAGAATCTTGTTGCCAGAATCTCTAATTCAGTAGATGGGGGTAAGAACCAATAATTTGAGTTCCTGACAAGTTCCCAGGTGATAAACATGCTGGTCTAGAACACATCTTGAGAACCATTGTTCTAGCTACTACAAAGAAAGGAAAAAGATATAGACAAATTTCTATTCTCCTGAAAATGACATTCTTTTGTATTCTGTCACAATAGCTACTTTGGTGGATTAAAACTATAAACAGTCCAAACCATTAGAATGAAGAAAGCTGGCTTTCTTTCCTTCAGTGCAGGATGGACTGTATCTTAAAAAAAAAAAAAAATTGCTTGGCCTCCGTTCCTTAGGAGATGAAATGGTTTCATTCTTTCCTACAGAATGGGTCAAATCACTTTTTATAGTGGTATAAAGCAAAAGAGAAAACAAGTTTAATTCTTCATTTTTAAAACAGATAAACATTTCATTTCACATGAGTTTTGCAAAGAATTCTATTGTGAAGAGTGGATTGGAAAAAAAAGATGAAAGGTGTGAAAATTTAGGATTATTATAGCAAGCTTGATGAATAAAAGATCAAATTCTGAGATAATACAATAATAATGTAGATTGGTAATGGGAAAATCCTGGCATGGCTACTGAGAAATAAGGCTGAAAAGCAGGTTAGCCAAATCATAACAGGTAGTTAGAGGACTCTAAAAAATATGTTTTCATAAAGAAAATCGATTCTTTGTAACAAGCAGTATACACAGGAAATCTGAGGATAAAGTAAAGTTATATGATTATTTTAACTACAATAAAAAATAAAAACAATTGGAAATTTTAAGAGAAGCATATGTGAAAGTATAAAAGTCATAGTACATATCTGAAGTAAATAAAAGTGAGGCAGGATTTTGAGCAACTGATGTTCCTCCAAGAGATATTCTTCTTCAGGAGGAATTTCTTTGGCTTTTGACCCAAAGAAAACATCACCTTCTCCACAGGTCATTCATCTTCAGCGAATAACATTTACACAATTTATGTAATTGTAATTTTTACAATCAATCACCGTCATAACCAAAGCATAGATATATAATGGACACTTACATTTTACCTTGCATGGTAAAGAGTCAAAAATAGTGTCTATAGTAGGCCTAGGTAGGTAGGTAGGTATTAGATAGAAAGATGGGTAGATAATTTGATAAGTAATAGATAGATGATAGACAGATATGATAGATAGGTAGATAGAACTGATATGGCTTTAAATCTACTGTTTAAAGTTATAAAGGTAACCAATAGAAAAGCTAAAAAAATTAAATCGTGCACGAAGAGAGAAGGGAACAGGATAGTATCAAGGGACTAAATTCTTCATCTTTTGTAGTTGATAGTTAAGATATAACTGTTTAGAATTGCTAAATAAAATAGCAGAGATATATTATTTGGAGTAATGTAGCTTACCAACAGAAATCTAAAAACAAAGGTGTCCACAAATGTCTTTGAAGTAACACTATGGAAGAGGGAAAGAGAGTTTATTCTTATTTCATGCCTATATATGATTCTTGGATTTTAATTACCACTGCTTTTATGACTTAAAAAACCAGTCAAGATGGGCTAGAAAAATGAAAATTTGTTTCTACATAGAAACTACACCCAGTTTTCACAGCTGTAAGATGAGCCAGATAATCAATGTGTGGATCATCCATAAGCCTCATTATAGCCAGTAGCTTCCACACCCTCTCCATTGTCACAATAGCTTATTTTCTTATCCACTACCAGCAAAATAGACAGAATTGATTTTTACATCTTTTTCCCTGACCACATACTGGGGGGTTCTAATGAGCAGCAAAAAGACCAAAAGGAAAGCTACTGTAGAAAGGGAAAAAAATCTAAAGACCCCACTGATTCTCTGACTTGAAAATAGGTCCCCAAATAATTGGGAACCGCATCAGGGAAGGCATGACTACCATAATTCAGAGCTCCTTCACACCATTGGAAGGATGGATTCCTTTACGAATCCAGTAGGAAGTTAATATGGTCTATAGTATGATGAAGCTAATTTTAAGGTCAGGATTAGGGTAGATCTACTACAAAATTTTATTATCATCTCTAATAAAATTCCAATGGCCAAGTCTGGGGCAAAACTTAGGAGGTGAGCTATGGGTGCATTGCATCATGGGTGGGACTCAAATGTACTTTCATGACTGAGGTGTGAGATTGGTAAGTAAATTCACAAACACTGTTTTCAGCTGAACTTTGGGTAATAGCTGATTCAGATCTTTGTATTGAACAAGTACCAAATGCCTCTCACATTGTATCTGACGGTTTGGTGATCAACTGAATGGAGTGTTATGGGAAGGAACAAGAACTCCTACTGGCTAATGTAAGAGTGCAGACAGGGAAAGTGTACCTTCCCATCTGCTGCCTCTGGCACTCATTAATCACGCTGGCATTTAAGAAATGGCAGGGCAGGTGCAAGAGCAAATGCTGCTGGGAAAGGGAAGCTATAATAAGGAAGCAAATGAAGGGAGGATTTGTTTTTCTGAACAACTGTGTTATGTACTATGAGAAAGGAATGAGGGAAAGTGTGCCTGGCCCAATGATGAATACACCTGCAGCAAGAATATATTTGTATTTGCAAAGTTCCTGCCTCCACCCCAGAACCAGAGGAGACAAGTATATGAAATTTTAGAAAAATGTTTTTATCCCTGCTTCTAGTTATTAATGATTCAGAAGTTTTGAGGTCTAGTCTCAGAACAACCTACTACAGGATCAAGTAAATTTGTTGTTTAATGATTAAAGAATGGCTATTTATATGTGGTTTTTAATTTTCTATTACTCTGAAAAATCCCCAAATACCAGATTATTTGAGTGGATGCCAGGCTCTGGAAAATCTTATTTCAGGCTAGAATGGTGAAGTTTTTCTATAATACTTATTGGGGTTTGTACAATTTAATACTATAGGGAAAGGAAAATTCTTTTGATGACGAAAGGAATGATAAGGATGAGCACTGAATTTGGAGCCAGGTGGCTTTGGCTTAATCTCAGTACTACCACTCTCTATAATCATTCTCTCTCTGAGTTTAAATTTTCTCATCCAATTTTATATTTAAAAAGATGTACTAGGCAGTGTCTTTCTTTACATCTCTAAGACTACATAGTTGTGTGTGTGTGTGTGTGTGTGTGTGTGTGTGTGTGTGTGTGTGTGTGTGCTTTGAAGGATAATTTCTTAAATCTCTTAATGTAGAGAGCTGAAATGTTGGAAGTGTGGGGTAAAAGTGGATTCACCATGGAGTCATTTAATGAACAAAATAGAGAGAAAGACATAATTGTGATTGCAGGTTTAGCCTGCAAAGCTAAGAAGATAGAATCAGTAATTGAATAATGCATAACTGTAACTTAATCCAATTATAGTTTCAACCCTCATATTCCTTTGCAGTAAAGTGAAATCGTCATGCCCATTACAATAGAATACTGCAGGAAACAACACAAGGTAGTGATGTTTGAAAAGATATAAAAAGGGGAAAGACCTTGAGTCTCAGTGTCACATTCTTTGGAGAAGAACTTAACACAGTACAGAAAGTAGTGGCAATAAAAACTTACACCAAGAATCTAGGGAGATTTCTTTTTGGCAGAGTGAATGATGGGAAAAGCAGAACAGAAAGATAGAAAGAGAAACTGTTTCATCTTAATTTATTAGTTAGAAAAAGAGAGCAAAGAGGATGGAAGATTCTGAGCTCAAAACCTTTGACTAGAAGAATCATTATCTACCTGGCCCCAACACCACCACTATAGCCTCATTGCCAATTATTTACTACAACATGATACTTTAACACTTAGACTTAACCCGTGATCCACAAAAATTTTAGAAAGCTTCAGTAGAAATTTCTCTCTCTTTTTTTTCCTATTTCTTCTCCTATATTAGTTACATTTTCCTGGCTCTTCTTTCCACATGAACCAAAGAAGATCTTACACCTGAGAGTCTAATGTTATTTTGAACTATGTGTAAATTCTAATGTAATATAATAAAAATCTATATTGTATCTCAAGGAATGCCCTATATAGAAATGTCGCCAAAACCTCTACATTAAGAGAGACCTGAGTTGGATTATCAAAAAGGATGTGCTGCAGGTTTTAAAGAATGTACATAGAACTCCCTTCCATATAACAGTCTGTGGGATAGATTGGATAGCTTCCTCTGAAAAGATGAATTAGATTGGTTAATTGTTTTGGCAGTTAATATCGTGCTCTCTTAGGCTATCATTTTTAGTGTCTTTTTCGCTATGATTTAAAGCTTTTTAGTTAAATCTCACATGTTTATACCTCACTTCCCCATCTAAGTTCATTGAGAGCAAAGGCCACTTATACTTTCTTGTATTGTGCAAAGAGTTCCATACCTTGCAGTAATAGGTGCTCAACCACTAAATGAGTGCTTAGATTGGCTGACCTATAAGTTAACTAACAACCCAGAAATTCTGATTTTATCACTCTGGTGATTCTTTAATTTGATTTGTTCACATTATTATGTCTGAATATCAAACTTGTGAAACAGCTTTAATGAACAAATGAGACTCATTTCTAATAAACATTTTCTATTTATATGTCAACAGACATTAAGTAGCAAAGCCCTTGAAAATACTTTCTCTTATGTAACATTGTCTACTTTATCAAAATGTTTAGCAAACATACTATGACAGATATTGTTAATAAAACCCTAAGTCCATGTGTTCACATTAATACATTGTAAATTAGAAGTGCCAGAATTAACTCTTTTTACTAAAATATAAATAATTTCTTCCAAGCCCAGAGCATTATAATAAACAAGATGTTTACTCAACTTTCAATGTAGACCAGAAATTTTCAGTTTTCGAGAGCAGTGGAAGCTTTTCAAAATAAAATGTTTACCAATCCCTTCAAGTAAAATTGATAAATGTATGTCATTAATGTGAAAGGATTTCATAGTATCAAATTCACAACACTAACATATAAATTCCATTAATAAGATCAAGACATTTTATGAAGACAAAATTTAAAATTAGTAACCATAAAATCTTAGTCTCAACAATATAGTTTATTTCCACACTTTATTTTGGGTATGTGGTAGTAGGAAAAATCTGACTCACAGGCTAAGAAGTAACAGTGAACAATAAAATATTTCTTAATGATTGTTGCTTCTTCATCAGGATATTTCTCAATTAAACCCAATTAGAAATTTGAAAAGGGAGCAGATGAGAGGATCTTTTATGTAGGAATATAACACTAATATCAACCAAACAACAGGATTATTCTGAAATGATTTGAATGATCATTCACTCTTAATAATCCTACTATTGTAACAACTTTAAAAACCATTTGCTAAAATACACGGCGCATATTGAGGGTGTAAGTCTGACTGAAACTGACCATCAGTGAGGAGGGCCCAATCAAACATAATTGAATTGGATGGTCCAAATCTGTAATGGTTGAATCAAAAAATTACTCTCTCAGAGGCAGTGAAAATCACTTGCATTTTATGGAACAAAAGTCATTAACTGCCGGGGAGGAGATAGTGCTCTTATGCAACTGAAAGGTAGGCACAACAAGGAAAGCTCAAGCAAGAATAAGCACATGATGTGCGGTATCTGACCTTTTCCAAAGGGCGTTTACATCATCTTCTCTTTTAGTTTCTGCTGAAGGTATAAAAAGAGATCCTAATGTAAATGGTTTTGCTGCACTTCCATCTACAGACCAAGAATTTCTCAGCAAATAGAAGTTCCATTAAAAACTTATTGCATGGTGCTTTTATGATGATCGAGGAAATGAATGGGCATTGCAAATTCTTATTTTGGGAAGAAAAATTGACAAAAATTTTTGACAAAATTTTGGGAAGAAAAATTGGGAAGAAGAATTGGGCATTGCAAATTCTTATTTTGGGAAGAAAAATTGACAAAAATTGACAAAAATTTGACAAAAATAACAAAAAATGCTATTATATTCCCATCATTAAGTATTTAAGATATCGTATTAAGTTTTCTATCTTCACAAACATCCTAGATATTTGATGAATGTGAAAGGACAACAGTTGTTTCAATTGTTTTCTAACCAATTTACATGATTTGCCTATATTAAGTTACAGGTTTCTAAGACAAATATTCTTTTTAAACTCATTTATTTCTTATCATATCTTATATCTTATATTACCTTATGAATTCAAAAGTTATTACCTGTGGCTCCTGGCTCTGGGAGCAGAAGTGTGTGTGTATGTGTGTGTTTGTGTGTGTGTACCCACAGGGATGTTATTGTATAGAAAAAGCGTTACTTTATTGTCACCCTTGTAATCAGCCTTTGGTTTCACTGGCTGTAGAAGTTCAGTGCTGACTCCTAAAATCAGAAGTGTTATGGATTGTGCAGACAGCCCCTCCGCTTAAGTGCTGGGGATCTTCTACCTGAAGTTCCCTTGACAGTACAAATGCATCTGCCCAAGCTGGTCTCTTTTTTTGCCATGAACCCTAGGCCTATTGGCTGAGATCTCCTAGCTTTTACAAACAATTTTTGCAGGCAGCATTGGTGAGAACCTTATGCAATTTTCCCTAGATGTACACACCAGTCTATGGAAAATAGTTGCATATCTTTGGCTCACCGAGCACAGCATGCAGTCTCTCCCAGACACAGCTACCTCTATTTGCCTCTTGTGAGAGAAAGCAATTCCAGACATGGCCTCTTGCTTGTGTCAAACACAAGTTCACTGTTCTTTCTTCAAACCACAGGAAAATCACTTAAGCTCTTTGGTTGGTCCCATTGAAGTCTCTTGCACCTGTAATGTGGGGACAAAGCCCCATCTTCCACCTTGAGCAGGGTAGGGGTGGTGAATTGACATGACTTGAACAACTCTCCAGGGAAAACCTTTCTCAAACTCCCAACTTCCCTTTTCTGTATTTTCTTTTATAAGCTAAAAGTATACAGTCAGCTAAGGATTATAAGACCAGTATTTTCAAGCCGCCTTTGCAAACCCTTCAAGTGTGGTTAATCCTTTCACTTTGAGCTATGAATTTGGAATTTGGTAACTTTGTTTTGCTCCTGACCTTTTGGGGACTCAGTGTAAACAATGAGTTTAAAAGAGATTCATTTTAACATAATGCTATATGTAAAGGTTTTTTTCTATAATGATTTCTAAATATATAAAGGATGTATGTATGTGATGTTTCCCATACTCACTAGTTTGTACCCAGAAGTAGAGCCTGCACCAAAGTAATGTGCCTGAGACTTGGCCTTTGAATGAGCTCTGTAGACAAGAGCAGCAAAGATGTGCAGGTGTAGATTTTTTTAAAACTATTAATATAATATTAGAGTTTTCTTAATCTATGACATGTTACACAAAGCTCAAATGTATGCAGAGTAATGACAGAATTATTATTCTGAGGATTTGCATGAAATCCAGGTCATCTCATAACATAAATAATGGGTGCAGTGTCCAATACATTAATTTATATAACATGTTTGTGTGTATTTGGTATCATTTACTACAAGATTAGAGTTTTGTAATTAAAAACACATTTAAAAGATGAAAATATAATGAGACATTTTTAAAAGAAGGTACAGAGGAGAAGACAATGGCTTCTGGTTATTTTTATGTAACTGTTATTTTAAAATTTGCTAAGTTCTTTTCTGCATTTTTATTATCACCATAAATAAAGAGTATTTACTAAATAGGTATGGTAGAGTCCCTACCATTACAAAAGTTGAGGTCTATAATTGTGTGAGCATATTAAAAGTAAAATATTGATATAAATACAGGAAATTTTCATTTTTTGATTTGTGATATGCATATTTGATAACGGGCCTACCCCCACAACTTGTCTTTAAGTCCCATGGAATACAGAAATATTTACAGGGGTCCTAAGCAGTGGGCAGATCAAGCAAAGCTGAACCATTGTGAAGCTGGTTTATTAAAGGAAGAGTAGAGGTGGGGAGAGGTCTGAACCTCGGGAAAAGCCTTTCCTCCCAGCATCTATCCTAGACCCAGACCATCAACTAGTGTTTCACTTAGGTTAAAAAGTGCAAATAATTTCGGGAATTGTTAAAGCCCAGTTTTTAATAATTTAATGTGAATTAGTGTAATTGAATACTTTCAAGAATGAACTGAACTGAACTCCGAATCTCCTTTTCCAATCTGTTAAACCCCTACCCACTGGATTAAAGTGAGAAGATAAAACAGCTTATTCAAAATAATTGAACAGTAGGCACCTGTTGTTATTTTCTTTCATTTCCTGAGATAATTTAGCAGCCATTTATCCACTCAGTTCAGGAGTTTACTTTCAAATTTTCTCTCTACCAGGAGAAGAAAAAGATCAAGCTTCACCAACATTTGCGGCCATCATGAAGCTAGAAATTTAATGGGTTACTGGAGCTTGTGGGGAGCTAGTATGTATTGTGAAATTGGCTTCGTTCAAAGCTGATTATAAAACCATTCCTGCTCCCATCCCGCCTCCTGCCCTCACCCTGCCACCCAACACATACACATAAATCACAACTTTTTCTTCAGCTTTCATTTAATCAATCATATTAGTAGCCCTGAAAATAAATTAACTTGCTGATTTACCAGGGGTATAAAAGAAATCAAGTATGAAATAATCTTTTTGAATCTACGGATAGATGGGCAAATGTGTGTCTGAGTGTGTCTGTGGCAGTGGGGATGAAGGGTGGAGTTCTGTATATGTTTGTTGTATTTTTCATTTAATAGGAACATTAAGGGGATAGAGGAAAGTAAATTTGACTTCTGGAAATAAAAGCAACCCTGAAAACTGGGAGTGAGACAAATGCAAATTTGATAAACAAAACAGATTTTTTCCAGGTTTAATTATTTTAGAGGACCATATAAAATGCTGATATGGCATTTTTGTCTTGCAAGCCCCCTTTAGGGCCTCTGCCTTCAAACAAATAATACAGGACAAGCCTATCAAAAAAGAGGCTCAATTCCAGATTTCTACCTTAAAAGAATGGAAATGGCAGGATTGTCATTTCTATTTTATCTCATGGATATTATTTGCTGCCAAAAAGCTTATGCAAAAATAAAAATAGAGTGAGCTGGGGGTGAGACGGAGAAGGGCCTCACTTGTTTTGAGTGCCTATAGTGAACCAGTTACTACATTGGTATTTTGCATGCATGTTATCCTTTATCCTGGAATTACTAGGCTGATAAAGAGCATGAATGATTTGACAAACTATGTGCTAGCAACAACAATCTAGAAGTGACATTAGCCATGAAAGCCTTCATGATTTTGACATTTAACATCCAGGGCAGGTCCTGTGTGGCTAATTAACAACTAAGGTCATTCTGACACTGTGTGGGCAAGTGCCTTCTCACAGCTCATCGGGATTATCCTAGGTCATATATGCTGTCTCACACCATGCATTAAATCTCTGCAAGAGCACATAATTTCCATCTTTGAAACCTTTACATTTATTTAAAATCAACACAATAATAATGTTTCTCTCAAAAGTAGACAATCTTAAGCCAGCTTTTGTCTTACTCCCACATTTTCTACTATTTGGGTATAATTTCTACTGTCTTTTTGTCATGTGATATTAGGTGTTAGATTAAAAATATAATCACACATAATTTAAAGTCTGGCTAGAACAGCAGAATTTATGTGAAGACACTGAGCACAGTGGAGCATTCTCAGAGGGATGGAAAATGGCTGACGTGTGGAAGCTGAACATAGCGGAAAAGGGATGCAGGAAGTTATTCACATGATTGAAATCAAGGAAGAGCCTTTAACCTGATAAACTAGGATTCTTTTCTCAAACAAAAAGCATGACCCAATTTTGTTTTGGGTTGTTGAGATCTGTGAGAAATTGCATTTCAACTTGATAACTTGGTAGATGGGAAAAGAAATTTGAGAAATTATGGGAATAAGGCAAGACTTCCTTTTAGTTCCTTTTAATGCCAATATTGTCCCTAATTGTTTGATGTCAGTTCATGCTAAATGAAAAAAACTGCAGAAAACAAAAATAAAAAAAGAGATTTGGGGATGCAGCAAAGACTAATCATAGTCCTGAGAGCTCGTAGCACTACCAATAACAGAAAGAAATGTATGCATTGGAAAGGTGGAAACAAAGTCCAGCATTGCAAAGTGCAAAGTCAAAGTGGGTGGAGGTAGGAGGGGAGAAATGCGACCATCCTGAAGAGGTTAATTTGGTGGCTATGCTAGGGAGGTTTTATTTTATTTCATTTCATTTAGCTTTTAAATTAATTTAATTATTTTTGCTTAGACTTTGGAAAAGAAGATGAAAAGAAAATTTGAAAACATCCTTTCTGAATGATGTCCTCTCAGGGTTGGGAGAGATCTTAAAGGAGAAGTCAGTCCTTTAAGTTGTGACACTGCAGCATTGGCATTCTTTCTCCAGGACTGCTGACGAAGGGACAGCTCCTACCTTGGCACTTCCAGGGACTGTCACATTGTCGTTGTTGTTGTTAGAAAACTCTTCCAGAAACTGAGTTACAATTTTTCCCTCTCACTTCCTATTATTGATCTTCATTCTGTCTTCTGGAGCTACACAGAATAATCACAATCCTTCTTTTCCAGGGGAACAACCCAAACAACCTTGGAGAGAAAAGTCAAGGCAAAATAGCAAAGTGATGGGACTGTCACTATTAAAGAAGGATTGTGAGGTACTTTCTCAGGTAGATCTAACTTTGAAAGGGAGAGCTAGGAAAGATGCACGATAGAAGGAGAGGGAGCTGAAGACTAAGTCAATTTCCAAATGAAGAGAAATTACAATAAAACACACGAGCAAAGTGGTATTCTTATAAATATGAATCGGAAGAAAGGAAGCTGTTCCTAGCATGAAGGATGTAGAAAATAATGCTTGGAATCTAATTGGAGAGACAGGAAAATATATAATAAGTATGCATAATAATACAATGCATTGAAGCTAAGATTAAACTACAGCAGATCACTGTCATTAAATCATGATTCATGTGGTTACTGTTGTACTTTTAGGTTTTGGAGTATAAAAAGATGGTCTAAACCGCATTCAAGCTTCATTCTGTAGAAGGAAACAAATGAGGAGAAATTAGGCAGCACTATCAGCATCTCCAAGGTAAGAGTAAACCAGTGTGGCCCCTATGATCTCCACTTCATGGTAGTCATGCTTTTGTGCATGTAATCTTCTATTCCTTGAGTGTAGGTAAGACTGTGACTTTTTTCTGACTGATAGAATACAGAAAAGGTAACGGGAAGTATGTAATTATGTTATGTAAGATTGGTATGCCTGTCTTGCTGGAAAGCTCACTTTACCCTGGCTTTCAAAAAGCAAACTACTGTGTTGTAAGCTGCTCCCTGGAACCCTCAGTCTAGCAGTCCACAAGCCACTGAATGCTGTGCACAGCTATATGAGCAAGCAAGTAGACCCTTCCCAGGTTGAGTCTCAGATGAGACCACAGCTGGCTGACACCTTGATGGCATCCTTCCATAGAATCCTGCTAAGCCATATCTGGATTCCTGACAGAATCTGTGAGATGATAAATGTAAATTGCTTCAGCTTCAATGTATGTAGATTGTTGTAATATTATCACATAACAATGGGTAAATAATATTGCCAGCTCAATACTCTTCAGGCAAAGGAGCCACAGGAAGAGTAGATAAGTATTGGCAACTAGACTGTGTTCCCAAGCAGAGAATTGTGCCTTATTCTGGACTACACTATTCTGGACTTCTGCAGGAACATTTAGACAGATCTTTTGCTATTAATACCAAATATATGATGTATGAATGCATATCTTTGTGTTCATTTAGCATATGGAATTTTCCTACTTATAAATGTTCCTTCTGAGAATGGGGATATTTCATGGACAGTCTTTTATTAAATTTTGAAACCCAGCTGGTTGGGATGGTTTCTACTCTTTTTTACAAAGCTTCAAAGGACTGGAAAAGAAGTGGGCAGTAAAAATGAAATCTTTTCTTCCTGTATGGAGATTAGAAACAACTTGTCTATCACCTGTAGTTTTCTTAGAAGCTTCAGGGTAGAGAAAAATAAGTTAAAAAGAAATTGAGTTCCAGTTGCTTCTTATCTCACCCCCATGACCATGGAAGCCTCAAAAGAACTGAGGGATAAAGAGAATAACTCTTTATTAAAGCAATAATTTCAGGAAATTGAAATAAAAGACAGCAAACGATATTCAGATTTGTTCCCATTTTTCCTTAACCCACAGAAATTATTATTGGTAAAACGTCACCACTAATTGGGAGAGAAAAACTGTTATTAATTGAGCTTATAGTTTAGTGTTTGATAATGATCTGCTTTAACGCATTTCTCTCTATGACAGAGATCACTTAATTTTTGTCTGTAAATTCAGTTTTTTATGGGCATCCCACATCTGAGTCTAAACATAAAAGCAGTCCCACCACAGCTCCCTCTCTTAATCTCAACCTAATTTCAATGAAATGAGGTTTACTATTTCTATGTGCCCCAGGCCCTCTTTTGTATTCAAGGAACTTGTGCCCTTTCTTGCTTCTTCTCACCCTCTTTACTGTTGAGTTCCCATCTTCAGTCTTCCAGGAAAGTAACGGTCCCTGTTAGCTACCAGAGGGCATTTGGGAGCCTGGAATCCTTACCCTAGACTCTAATGCAGGCTGAGTCCCCAGTCCTCACTGCTGGTTCTTCCCAGTGACTTCTGCTCTGCCTATGCCTCCTCCTTGCTGTCAGCTGTTAGACCACTAACCATCTGCCCCTAATGTTCTCTCCAGCTGAAGCTCTCCCTAGATTGCCCAGCCAAAAAATCAAGCTTCTAGGGTGTGTGGTCATTCATACATTGCAAGTTATTCAGAGAAATAAAGCAATTCATTTCACAATACTATTGAAAACATATTAATCTCAAATACTTTCAGTTTGACTAGGGAAATTATGTTAGGTAAAGAGTGCCTCACAGAACTTAAACCATTCTCCATTAAGAAGAAGCATGATGTAGTAGAAAATTCAATGGCTTTGAAGTCAGAACTGGATTTCAATTTAGGTTTTCTCATTTACTACAGGATCTTGGCTTAATCATATTTTTTTCCCTGAGCCTCAGTTTCATCATGGGGTAAGATAATAGTTTCAACCCACTTTACCTGAAATGTGAAAATAAAATCAATTATATGTAAGTGCTGTGTGCAAGAGACTATAAATTTTATGTAGAATAAATTAATGTTACTAAGAGAGAGGAGTAGTATGTTGAAATAGTGTGAGTCATTCTTTCCAGTCTTTTTCTTCAGTAGTTTAACTGAGATATAATTTACTTGTTGTAGAATTTTCCTGTATAATTACAGGGTTGTATAATTAACACCAAAATCTACACTTAGAACACTTTAATCACCCCCAAGATACCCCATGCCCACGAGCAGTAACGTTCTAGTCCCACCATCCTACTTTCAGCCCCAGGCGAGCATTAGTGTACTTTCTGTCTCTATATTTACCTATTCTGGACGTATTCTGGTTATGTGATCTTCTGTGACTGGCTTCTTTCATTTTAGAATAATGTTTTTTGTTTTTGTTGTTGTTGTTTGTTTTTTTAAGTTTGTTTACATTGTAGCAGGTATCAGTACTTCTTTTTCTTCAAGTTATTTAAAAAATCATAGTAAAATACCCATGACATAAAATTGAACCTTTTAGCCATATTTAAAAATACAGTTCAGTGGTATTAAGTACATCTATATTGTTGTGCAACCATTACCAACATATATCTCCAGAACTTTTTAATCTTGCAAATCTGAAACTTCATATCCATTAAATAATAAGCACCCATTTCTTCTTTCCCATAAATCCCTGGTAATCACCATTCTATTTTCTGCCTCTATACACTCTGTGTACCTCATGTAAGTGAAATTGTACAGTGTTTGCATTTTCCCAACTGACTTACTTCACTTAGCATAATGTCTTCAAGGTTATCCATGTTGCAGTGTACATCCGAATTTTCTCCTTTTTAAAGGCTGAATAATATTCCAATGTGTGTTTACAGCATATTTTGTTTATTCATTCATCCATCAATGGGTACTTGAGTTGCTTCACATTTTAGCTATTGTGAATAATGCTGCTTTGAATATGGGTGTACGAATAACTCTTCGAGACCCTGTTTTCAATTCTTTTCAGTATATGCCCTGAAATGGAATTGCTGAATCATATGGTAATTCTATTATTTTTGGGGGAACTGCAAAACTGTTTTTCACAGTAGCTATATCATTTTATGTTTTTATCAACAATGCACTAGGGTTCCAATTTCTCCATATCCTCACCAATATTTGTTATTTTCTGTTTTTGTTTCTGTTTTGTTATTTTGTTAGGATGGCTAATCGTAGCCATCCTAATCTGTATGACGTGGTTATATCATTGAGGTTTTGATTTGCATTCCTCTAATGATTGGTGATGTTGAGCATCTTTTCATGTGTTTGCTGGTCCTTTATCTATCTTCTCTTTAAGAAATGTCTATTCAAGTTCTTTGTCCATTTTTGAACTGGGTTTTTTTTTTGTTGTTGTGTCTTATGAGTTAACTGGTAGTTCATTCCTTTTATTGCAGAGTAGTATTCCATTGTATAGATGTACCACATTTTGTTCTCCATTTCTAGTCTTTTTAAATTAGAATGCCTTTTATAGTGTTAGTGTTAACACAAAAAGATGGCCACTGAACATCCTCATGTGACCATTACTGCAAGAAAACCACTCATTCAGTCAACAAACATCTGTCAAACATCTATAATATGTCGAGAACTGTGCTAGGCATACGATTTTCATAAGGACATGGATTTTAGGCCATAATATACACAAACATTCGAACATTTCATGCTTCTCAGGACTTAATACCTGCAAGGATATAGTTTAAACACAGATTGATATTATCACACACTCTTTGAGTAAAACTTTTCTAAAATCTAGAGAAGAAAATGACAAAGTCTGTACCAGATTCATCAATAAATTGCTGTATGTTATAGTACCTGCAAATGGATAGACGAAAGCATAAGAAAACGTCATTATAAACTTTGTGATATCTGCCCGAGTTTTTACCAAAAGGGTGAAATGATAAAAAATAAAACATTGCAATTGTAAAACATGTGAAATACTATAAAAGATAAATAAAAGATATAAAATGTAGTTTCCTGAGTAGATAAGTCAGATAAAAGTAGACCATCATGAACAAAGCCTTCATAATAATCAGAATGTGCAACCATTTTTTAATGATATCATGCAATTAAACAGTTTAAGAAGACCCAAATATAATAAACCCCAAAGTCAATATACTTGTAGATATTTTATATTTATATTTATATAATGTCTTCGATAACTCAGCAAAGTAAATTAATAAAACAAGGAGGCTCGCTCTCTCTCATAAAATAAAAGGTTATTTACCAAAAACAAAAAAGCATAAAGTAGCAAAAACAAAAAGGCTGATAACTGATGAATAACCCCATTACACACACACACACACGCACACACACACAAACACACACAAACTCTAGAAGTACATTAACATATTCAAAAACATTGCACATGCTTTCCTTTTTACCACTCTCTATACATATGTTGTGTTGAGTCCACCTCTAAATAGAAAGTATTTCATCTTTCTATTTCTCTCTGGTTTTTTCTTTTCACCTTAGTCTGGGACGCCATCAATGCTCACTTGGATTATAGCAATAGCTTCTTACCCATCTCCTTGCATATTCCATTTCACAGTAGCGAGAGTTTTTATGTTGCTTCTTTTGTTTTGTTGTTTTGTTTTGTTTTGTTTTTTTGCTGTTTTTGTTGTTGTTTTAAGACAGGTCACTCTGTTGCCCAAGTTGGAGTGCAGTGGTGCAATCATAGCTCACTACAGCCTTGATCTCTTGGGCTCAAGCATCCTCCCACCTCAGCCTCCCAAGTAGCTGGGACTATAAGCATGCACCACCACACCTGGTTAATTAATTAATTTTTTATTTTTTGTAGAGACAAGGTCTCCCTTTGTTGCTCAGGCTGGTCTCAAACTCCTGAACTCAAGCGATCCTCCTGCCTCAGCCTCCCAAAGTGCTTACAAGCATAAGCCACCACACCTGCCCAAGAGTATTCTTAAAATGTAAGCCAGATCATGTAGAGTTTCTGCTTGAAATCTTTCTATGCTCTTGTACTTTACATCTTTTCTAATGCTCTATGCCATCTGGCCCATGCTCCCAATCTCATCTTTTGCCTCTCTTGTCCCTCTCACTTTGCTCTCCAGACTCCAGCTATGCTGGCCTTCTTTCAGTACCTCAATACCTTGGATCTTTTGCACTTTCTTTTCTTCAGCCTGGACTGTCTGCCCCTCCCTACACTTTCTATGATTAGATCTTTCGGATCCCACTTCTTAAGAGAGGTCTTTCAAACTACTCTCTCTGAAGTAGCAACCCAGCACTCATTTATTTCTAATATTAACAAAATATTGCTCTCCTTTTTGACATTTATCCCAATTTGCAATTTTTGTCATTTATTTGATTAATTTCTTTATCATATGTAATATCCTACTAGACTATTACTAGACTATATGCCCCATAAGACTGTGTCTTTCTCATTGACCATTGAATGCTCAGAGCTTAACACAACATGTGGCATAAAACAGATATCAATAATTATTTATTAAATGAATATTTAATGGTGACTGTGTTATCTGGGTTTACCTTCCTCAATATTATAACCACATTTTTTATAACATCTAAATCAGACAGTGCCTTATTCTCAGACATTTGTATTGACAAATCCAGATAAAACCAACTCATTTGGAGACTCTGTATCTCTGCTGACAACCAAATTATTTGTGTTTCATAAGATAATTATTCTCTATGATTCTATACTTTAAAGCAAAAACATGGCTGAAAAAGCATTTGTCCCAAGAATTAAAAATCCATAACATAAAACTATGGAGTATTAGAATTAGCTGAAAGGCAGTAGGTCATCTGCCCAGTATGTTACTCAGTTTAGGCAAGGATCATCCCTCTGTACATCTCTTGCAAAAACTATCAAGCTTCGACATTTGCTAGATTAAAAAGTTTATTAATTCACAAGACAGTCTGAGGTCCAATTCCTAGAAAATTCTTCATTTACTTGATGACCGTACCCACCACTAGCCCTTGTTCCATCTTCTGAAACATCACAGTAGATATGCTCTTTCACCTCATGGCATCTTGGTTTTTTGAAAATAGTTTTAATATAAGTAATGACAGCACTAAGACTACATTTACCTAGATTTCAAAAGAAATGGCATGTTCAGGACTTGTGGTTCAAACACAGGGCACCTTAAAGGTACTGGTCTCTGCACAAAATAAACTCTGTCTCTTCTGCTCCCCATTTCCCATACAGTCTTCCATCTTAGGCCAGGGAAGAAACTGGTCTATTTTGTGATGATACCCGAAATTGAGAAAAATATATTGAATGATTGAGGAAGGCTGACTTTTCAGAACACAATAAGGCTATATAATAAAGATTGGACAGAAGCACCAACTAAAGAGAATGACCAACCCTAGAATGGGACTGACTTCTCTATATTTCATGTGTTTTAATCAATAAATTTAGGCATTTTGTTTTTATTTTTTTCTAACTCCTTTACTGTGAATTACTTACCAGCCTACTAGGAGATGATCATTAGCTTAGAGATTGTCACTTCATAATTCTATTTATAATAAAAATGGAAAACTAACAAAAATAAGCTCAATTAGTGAGCTTGTAATTATAAAAATAACTTTTTCTCTTAAAATTATGCTTAAAAATATTTTAGAAGCTAATGAAGGGGGGTGTGTATTTAGATCTATATCTTATGTTCCTAAACAATTTAAATGACCTGTAAGTGACAGTGAACAGAAGCCACAGAAGGAGTCTTGCATTCCATATTTCGCCATATTTCAATATTTTCCCAAAGCTACACATATTTCATGACTCCAGGACTTTTATACTGATCTCTACTTGTTGTTGTTAGCAATTGAGACTGAATTGTGTCATGATCCTTTTTACCTTTCAACCAGTGAAGACTTCAAGTTTCCTCACACAAATTATAGAATGACTTCTAGATATATACTACAAGGAAGAGAAGGTCATCTTTTTATTTAAAAAAAAAAAGACAGCAAAATCTTACTGACTCAACGTGTCTGGAGGAAAGAGAACATGAATTAATATACATTGGTGAATTGTACCATATAAGGAAACTAAGCTTTATTGATTTCAATTGTCTAGTGAATCTGAAATTTAGGAACATATTGCCAAGCACTGGCCCCACTGAGATGAATAAATTAAATTTGAAGAATGCTTTATGATGAACATATCAAACCCCAGCACACAGAGCTTTGGTTTCTCTTTATTTCTCAATTACATTTATTTATAAGTAAGCTGCCCTCTCAGTTCTCTTAAATGGGTAAATCATCTTTTCAGCTGAGTGTTTACTTTTGTCACTTTACTCCCCAGCTTACTCTCTTTATGAAGAAGAAAGACAAATTTTCCTAGCTGCAGTCCAGTTCATAGAGAGTTAGACTTAATGACTTCTAAGAGCCCTCCTAACACTGAGACACTGTAGGTACGGTGCAGCAAAAATTAATGAATTTCTACTGGTACTCACAATCTGAGTTAAAACATTCTTCCGTATTTGCTATGACTAAACATTTCTTCAGCACCTATTTGTGCCCTTTAGAGAAAAGATTGGGAAACTTTTAAAAGTTGTTAAAGCAAACTAAATATGGCCTGAGAAGGACTCTGTACTTCTATATTTGATGCCTTGTGGATGAACTGCAACCTAACTTAACAAGTAGACAAGACTGAAAACCTAACTTAGGAGTATGTGCCTGTAACAATAGTGGAGTCTTGGCCAATCCCAGCAGCGGTACTTCAACCACTGATACACTGCTGAGTGTTCAAACTGTGTTCAAATAAGCCAAATGCCAACTTCTGACCAATCCAGCTGTTCCTGCACCTCACTTCCGAGTTCTGTATGTCACTTCCCTTTTTTTTGTCCATAAATTTGTTCTGACCACAAGGCATCCCTGGAGTCTCTCTGAATCTGCTGTAATTCTGGGGGCTGCCTGATTCGCGAATCACTCACTGCTCCATTAAACTCCTTTAAATTTAATTGGGCTGAATTAACTTTTCTTTTGCAAGGCCCAGAGAGTAAATATTTTTGGCTTTGTGTGCCATATAGTCTCTGCACAACCACTCAACTCTGGTTGGAGATCTGTTGCCCTTTTTTATACACTGTTCTTTACCTGGATAAAGGCACCAGGATAAGTTTGCTTCCACATTATTATTCTTTAAAATTAGGACTAGTTAGCAGTTTATAACAGTCCTTCCAGGGTTTGAAATCTGTTTTCTTGTTTTATTTTCAAAGTTCAAAACACTTTTTAAAAGTTTTAGTTTCTTTTGGACGTTTGAGGTTTCTTCTTAAATGTGATGAAATGACCACATTGTAGAGGCTGACTTTGGAATCTTAGTAATATCATTGTATGAGTAAACTGGACCTATTAGTTCATTAGAACTCAACCTATTCAGTTCTCCCCATATTTTCCGTAACGTCAAAGTTCTCCTAACAACTCCCAAATGCCTGTGTCCTTTACTCTTTGTTCATGATCATTTCCTTGAAGATGACTAGACTAGCCCCTGTAAAACCTGTATGTTACAATTCAGTGTAATCATACTAGAGTTGTTGCAAAGGAAGTCCATCTAGGGCAAATATTTTCGTCAGTAATGAGAGTCTACAACTATTTCCTAGAAGACAAAATAACAGCAGATGGAGAGGCCACAACTGAGAAAACAGCCTTTTAAAAAAAATTTTACCTTAGAATAATAGATGAGTCTTCATTAAGAATGTTTGCAATGCAATGTGGTAACTTCATTAGCGAAGAGTATACAGAACAAGACTGCTATGCTAGCCCTCAGTGGCCAAAAGAGAATGAAGCCATAAAGCATATATGTATATATAAATATGTGCACTGTGCTGAGTGAACTATTATATATGTGCCAATTTCATTGGAAATTATTTCAGAAATATATAGTGTTAGATCAGCACTGTGCAGAGGTAAAAGGAACATATATATTTTGTGAAAGTCATCTAATACAGAACAAAATCTTTATACTCATGGAACTTGTAATACAGCAGCCTTTAAAAATGGGGATAACATATTCAAATATATATAAACACGTATTTAATACTTCAGCAATTTGTGGTCAGCCTGAATATAACCTTTTTTGAAAGAACCAACCTTAGAACACTAAAGACTTGATTTGTCAGGCCTTCTTTTCCATGGCTTTGCTTATATTTGCTCTCATTTAGCTCTTTGTACTGTTTTGGAAACATAATAGTTATTCACTGAATATGTATTCAACATCTGTCTTGGCATTTCCCTCTACACCAACTTCCTCTCTCTTTCTCCCTCTTCCTCATTTTCCTTAATTTTCCCTTTCCATTTCTACTTTCTTTCTGGGTATTGTTTTGTTTAGTTTGACACTAGAGTGCAGTGGCATGATCAGGACCCACTGCAGCCTTAACCTCCTGGGCTCAAGCAATTTTCCCACCTCAGCTGGAACTATAGCTGCTCGTTTTTCCATCTCCCTTGCTCTTATCTGTATGTCTTTCTTTTTTTTTCCGAACTTTAAGGCTAAACAAAGAAACTGAACTATATTTCTAATTACTTCTTGCAGGTACTGAATTTATTGTCTGAACTCTGTTTCTAATTTTGAAGTAAATGATGATGTTATATGTGTGTATCTGCACATATATACATACATACAGACACAACCACATACATAGTCATTACCTATGTCACTTAACCTATGTGTTCACATTATATGTGTTGCTTAGCAACAGGGACACATTCTGAAGGATGCACCATTAGGTGATTTTGTCATTTTATGAACATCATGGAGTGTACTTACACAGACCTAGATGGTATACTCTACTATACACCTAGGCTATCTGGTATAACCTATTGCTCCTAGTCTACAGACATACACAGCATGTTACTGTACTGAATACTGTAAGGAACTGTAACACAGTTACAATTCTATGTTTAGATTCTATGTATCTAAACATAGAAAAGGTATAGGGAAAATACCCTATTGTAATCTTATGAGACCACCATCATATATGCAGTCTGTCATTGACTGAAGCATCATTATACAGTGCACGACTGTGTATATAAAATGTTATGTTTTTCTTTAAAAACAAAGGCAACAAAATGGAGTTAATTTTATGTATGGGGCATTCCTTTGTGGTTTTTGTTTTTCATATTGTTTCTTCCTGTGGTCCCTCCCCTAACATAGCATCTTAGCTATTCAGCAATAACACCTTGACCTATGAATCTGCTCCTGACCTTTCAAAGATCAATACATCTCTACATTAGCCATTTTTTATCCTTTGAAATGAATGGAAACTAATGCCAAACTTTCCCTTTGCAACCATAAGCATTTTGGGAAGGTGAGAGGAAAGAACTGTTCAGTCTTACATTTTACACAATTAAACAATCTGCCACCTTGGCACAGTACACCAGGAAAATATATCATACCTCTGAATGGTTCTTTTCTAATGTCATTATCTACTCCAGCCACACAGCATCCAAATACCTCCGCCATCAGGAGAGCCCAGGCCCCTTCACGTAGTATAGGGCTCTATGACATTACAATACTTCTTATCTCACAACCTATTTCTGGGCTTATTTATATGCATGCAAAAGAGGGTTTCTGTCCTCTGGAGAGCTGGCAGGCACCCTGCGGTCTGATTCCTCTTGTCCCTGAACATTAGACACTCTGTTGCCAATGAAAAGCCGCCAGAGAAATCATGTAGATCGACAGTCTTAGAATTTCCACTTTTATCTCCGTCGATTAGCATGTTTTTTTTCTTCCTACTGTCAGCACGGAAAGATGACAAGTTAAGGAAAATGTAAAGTTAATGCTGATGGAAAGGCAACTTAGAAATAGAGAATTATACAGCTCAGTTTTCAGGAGCAAAAAGACACATTTCTACCGCTAGTTTCTCTCCCACAGAAGATTACAGAAGTTCCAGCAATATCTCACCTTCCTATTGTCTTTGATTATGAAATAGGAGGTGTGTTATACTACAACACTTTAATTACTCTTTTCAGTGCCAAAGTTCTTAAGCTAGGGACCCATGTTAATTGCCCTCACATTCCTGCCTGAATACTCCCTGCTGTGTTCTTACCCCTTCTGTGTTATTGAATTCTTTCTCAAGTGTCACCAGTGACCTCCTATTTATCAGATGCAGTCTCTCCTCAATTTTCATCCTCCTGGCCTCTTTATGGTTTTTGACACTGTTGAGCACCTTCTCCTTCTTTCTTAGTCTTCTCTTGGTTCTGTGACACTGCACTCCTTTGTTCTCCAATCTTGGCGAATGATTCTTCCTTGTCTTTGTTGCTGGCTCTTCTCCCTCCTCCCACAACTACAGATTTCTTCCAAAGCTATGATCTCAGTCTTCTACTCTTCTTCATCAACAGTTATTCCATCTTCTCATCTTCAAAAACCATCCATATATATATATATATATGTACACATATATATACACACATATATATATACACACACACATATATATATAACACACATATATATATATAGCGTGATGTTGGGCAAGTTCCTTAACCTCTCTAGGCATATATATATATTATATATATATTATATATATATACAGATGTATTATATATAATATATATATAATATATATATATATAGCACTCCAAGCACTGGAGTTGGGATTGTGTGTATATATACACACTGCACTCCAAGCACTGGAGTTGGTGATTCGGTGTATATATATATATATATATATATATATATATATATATATATAGAGAGAGAGAGAGAGAGAGAGAGAGAGTGTGTGTGTGTGTGTGTGTATGTATATATATACCCGCACTGGAGTATATAGACCCCACCAATCACCAATTCCAGTGCTACTCATCCAAACTACAATATCTTAATTCAAACTATGTAACAGAGCATATTTACTTGGATATAGAGCCACTAACATCTTAAATTCAACTTAATGTCAATGTGCTTAAAGGTTCCCTACTTATTTTCCCTTCTCTTCTCCCATTTGGTGCACTGTAATGTTTAATTTTATGTTTTACGTTGACTGGGCTTAGGAACACCCAGACAGCAAGTAAAGTATTATTTTGCAGTATGTCTGTGAGAATGTTTCAGAAGAGATTATCATTTGAATCAGTACACTGAGTGAAGAAGATAAGCCTCACCAAATATGAGTGGGCATTGTCCAATCTGTTGAGGAACTGAATAGAACAAAAAGGCAGAGGAAGAGTGAATTTGCTCTCTTCTGGAGCTAGGATATCTGTCTACTCCTTCCCTGGGATATTGGTCTTCCTGGCTCTTGGGCCTTAGGACTTGGACTCAGGTTTGCTCTATTGGCTTCCCTGGTTTTCAGGTCTTCAGGCTCGCTCTGGAATTATTCCCAGCTTTCCTGATCCTCCAGTTTCAGGCAGCAGATAGTGGGACTTCTCAGGCTCTATCATCACATGAGCCAATCTCTCATAATAAATCTCTTCCTGTATATCTATCTATCTCTTATTGGCTCTGTTTCTCTGGAGAACCCTGAGTGACACATGCACTCTATGTCTCCCCCAAACACCATCCACCAAAGGCACCGTACCAAATCATCTCTACTACATCCTGCAAATTGCTGCCTTAGTTTAAGGAATTCTATGACACTTTAATGCCAGCTTCATAAATTCAAACTCTTTAGGGTGACTTCTAAGGCTTTCAACATATGATGTTAATCTATCTAATCTTGATTTCCATGACTCTTCAACATGGGCCATAATTGTTGACCAAGAAAGTCTCTTCAATAGGCATATTGAAGAGACTTGGTAAGGCTACTCCACCAACCTCTACATCAGTTCTGATTCTCCAGCTTTTGTTCTTTCCTTCTAGGTGAAACTACTTTGCCTAGTCAATATATCTATTGGCTGATTCTAATTTCTCATAAGACAGACAGTTGTGTGATAACCAAGTATCACCTGGCAATAATCAGCGATTTTCTGGAGAGCCATTGTTTACTAGTGTTAAGAACTGGCCTTAAGGGTCAGTCAGGGTTGTGTTGAAACCCCTGTTCTGTTATTTACTTGTGATGTGATGTTGGGCAAGTTACTTAACCTCTCTAGGCCCCTGTTTTCTCACTTGTAAAATGAGAATAATATACTACCTACCACCCAGGTTATTGGGAGGAATACAGGAAATAATGCATATATTCCCCTTAGAAATAACCCTTTAGCACAGGAACCTCCCCTCAGTAAGTGCTCAATAAAGTCAGCAATTATTATATTTTTTTAAATTATACTTTAAGTTGTGGTTTACATGTGCAGAATGTGCAGGTTTGTTACATAGGTATACATGTGCCATAGTGGTTTGCTGCACCCATCAACCCGTGATCTACATTAGGTATTTCTCCTAATGCTATCCATCCCCTAGCCCACCAACCCCCGACAGGCCCCCGTGTGCGATGTTCCCCTCCCTGTGTCCATGTGTTCTCATTGATCAACTCCCACTTATGAGTGAGAACATGTGGTATTTGGTTTTCTGTTCTTGTATTAGTTTGCTAAGAATGATGGTTTCCAACATCATCCATGTCCCTGCAAAAGACACAAACTCATTCTTTTTTATAGCAATTATCATCTTAAATGTATCTGTCTTCACCCTGCTTCACCCAGTTTTATAATTTGTTTATTTCACAGATCAATTCTATGTGGGACTGAACATAACAATTAGCATTCTTTGGAGACTGAAAATGTACAAATGCTGGATGTTAATGAGTTGCTGGAGACTGAAAGGTCATACAGGTGCAGGATGGCAGGCAGATGTTGGCACCATAAGGGTAGGCTCTGTCTCTGTTTTGCTGGTCATTGTATCTAAGGTGGGCACAGTGATTCAAAAATGGTTAGCTCCTCAGACCAATGTATTGAATGAACTACAAAGAATCCCCAAATCTGAAATTTGAATTTAAAA
Source organism: Homo sapiens (assembly GCF_000001405.40). Lineage (NCBI taxonomy): Eukaryota > Metazoa > Chordata > Mammalia > Primates > Hominidae > Homo > Homo sapiens. Next base: position 115,472,511 of record NC_000003.12, on the reverse strand, counting down.
CTTAATGAATTCCTCAAGTTACGGCTTCTAATTAATGCATTTCTGCTAAGCCAAGGGGAGCCCCTTGAGAAACTGGTCCAGAGTTCTTTCTCATCGTGGATCATAAAGAGCTTCTCCCACTGGGTGACTGAGTGGATGGGAGGAGTCACTGGATTTATGTTTGGGATCTTCATTCACTAGCTTGGCTTCTGACTTCCACTGCATATTGTTAAGAGGTACTGCTTAAAAATAGTCCAGCAGTAATGTTTTATAAATGATTACTAGTTTCAAGTAGTTTCTTAGGAAAGAACATGATGCAACCACAGAAATGTATGTAATAAATCTTAAATGATTCTGTAACATGTATTTTCATCAAAGTATCTTCAACATCAAAATTAAGATAACAAGATATTCTCATTGCTTTTCTAATTATGTGGAAGCAGCACTTTCTTAGTATCCTCTACATATCTTTCTGGATGCTTCTTCCACATCTTCAAGGTAACTATTATTTTTATCTGTCTCACTCTTAAACACAGCTCTCAGGCTGACAGAAATAAAAGCCACACATGGTATTGTCCGTGCCCGTCGTTTTTTAGGGTTCGATATCACGCTTTCTTTTTTACTCTCCTGTTCTTCCTTTGCTGACATCTCCTATGTTCAGCAAGAGCTGAACAAAAAGAGTTATCTGATTATCACAGTAAAAACTATTGAGGTATAAATGACTGAGAGGCTCAGCATTCTCAGAGAGGCTTTTAAAATATGAGCCAATTAACACACTTGAATCTCTAACTTTTGAGCAGTTAGAATCTTAGATTTGGATATTTCACATAATCCTCAATAGTCAAATGACTCTTTGAAACTTTATTACAAGGAGGGGATTTATCACTGACAATGCTATGAAGGGCAAGCTGATTAATTGTTCTCAGAGTCATTGTAACAATCCATTTAGTGATAGCTCACTATCAGTAAGCTACCCCTCCTCCTACATGTCATCCTATTTTTGTCAGTTCGGTTTCCTAGGTGCTTCCATTTACAGATAATTTTTCGAGGTACTGTCATACATGATTATTAAAAATAATAATAAGACACAATCTCTTCTTTCAAGAAAGATTAGTCAGTTTTCCATTCTAATTGTTCTAGGATGGGGATTAGAAAACACAGTTTGAAAAGGTCCAGATTACAAATAGTTCAGGCATTGTTGGCCAAGAGGCAAAATCAAGGATTTTGTATGTAGGTACTTACATAACAAGAGAGAAAACAAATTTTTGCACATATTTTATTCATGAAACTAAAAACTTTATGAACACTGAAATGTGAATTTCAGTGATGATATTATGTGTCAAAAATAAAAATATTCTTTTTATTTTTTTCCCAATCATGTAAAAAGGTAAAACCCATTCTTAGCTTGTGCACTGTACAAAAACTGACTGGAAAGGGTGAATGAGAGTGGTGGTAGGAGTGGTGAATTTGGCCACAGTTTGTCAAAGTCTGCTTTAGAAAATGCTTAGGTTGCCCGAATTTATTAATCCAGGTTCCAAAAGAAATACAATTTACCACCAAATATCTTAGAATTGGGCACCTGTGATATGCTAGGTTCAGTAAGTAATTTACATGGTATATTGGTCGGGGTTCTCTCTTTAATGGTTGCAAATCACAAAAGGCTAAATTAAATTAGCAGAAGCAAAAAAGGGGATGTATACTGGCTAAAGTAAAAGGAGCAGTGGTGGAGTTGATGTTAGGGATGATTTCAGGTGAACCTGAGGCACTCATTGTCAGGATTTTCTATCCCTGTCTCCTCTCAGCTTTTCTCTGAGTACAGATTTCATACTCCGCCACTGCAAAAAGGTCTCCTCTACACAATGGAGAATACAGCTACAGGCAGCTTTAGGCTCACATTATGCCAACTCAAACCATCTCAGGAGGATGGTTTTTCCATCCCTGCTTCAGTATATATCAAGTCCCATGCAGGATAGCTGTAGCAAGCACTGTCAGCACTTCACCCATATTTCCTCGAGGTTAGGTCCATTTTCAATGTACATGTCTCCCACTGAACCGTCACTCCCAACAGCCAGCACCTGCATCACTTTGTTGGAGGACTTGCCCTCAGGCAGCTGGAACCAGCTGAGCCTGCACATACGGATTGCTAGAAGTGCCTGAAAATCTGTGTCCCTGGCAGGTAGCCTTTAAACAATGACTGACAGTTAGGGAAATATATTCCATCTCCTGCATCCAAAAGTGGGGGATAAGCTATACAGTTTTCAGAGCTTTCCTATGGTATTCAGCCAAAAGTACCTGTGCAGAAAAGAGTTAACATAGCAAGGCTGAAAATGCTAGCCTTAGAAAGGTCTGCTTGCAAGGTTAGCCCTTGGCTGGCATCTGGGAACTTTTATTTCAGGAGGATTTCCACCGTTCTCTGACAAAAGTCACTTTTCCTAAATTATTTGTACAAATAATGTGATTTATGCTAACACCTGCTTTCTTTTAGGGAGCTTGAAATTTTTGTACGTGCTTGACAAAGCGGCCCCTATGTGACCTCAATAAAAGCCTTGACTCTCAACCTCTAATGAGCTTCCCTTTTTGGCAACATTTCATAAGTAGTCACAATTTGTTTACTGGAAAAATTAAGAGTGTCCTGTGTGACTCCACAGGAAGAGGGCCCTTGAAAGCTTATGCTTTGTTTCCTGTGAGCTTCACTCTATGCGCCCTTTCTCTTTGCTGATTTTGCTTTGTATCCTTTCACTTTAATAAATCATAGTTGTAAGTACAACTATATGCTGAATCCTGTGAGTCCTCCTAGTGAATCATTGAACCTAGGGGTAGTTTGAGGGACTTCCCCAATACAGCACCCATCATGGGCCACTTCTTTTTTTTTTTTTTTTTTATACTTTAAGTTTTAGGGTACATGTGCACATTGTGCAGGTTAGTTACATATGTATACATGTGCCATGCTGGTGCGCTGCACCCACCAACTCGTCATCTAGCATTAGGTATATCTCCCAGTGCTATCCCTCCCCTCTCCCCCCACCCCATCACAGTCCCCAGAGTGTGATATTCCCCTTCCTGTGTCCATGTGATCTCATTGTTCAATTCCCACCTATGAGTGAGAATATGCGGTGTTTGGTTTTTTGTTCTTGCGATATTTGACTGAGAATGATGATTTCCAATTTCATCCATGTCCCTACAAAGGACATGAACTCATCATTTTTTATGGCTGCATAGTATTCCATGGTGTATATGTGCCACATTTTCTTAATCCAGTCTATCATTGTTGGACATTTGGGTTGGTTCCAAGTCTTTGCTATTGTGAATAATGCCGCAATAAACATACGTGTGCATGTGTCTTTATAGCAGCAAGATTTATAGTCCTTTGGGTATATACCCAGTAATGGGATGGCTGGGTCAAATGGTATTTCCAGTTCTAGATCCCTGAGGAATCGCCACACTGACTTCCACAATGGTTGAACTAGTTTACAGTCCTATCCAGAATCTACAATGAACTCAAACAAATTTACAAGAAAAAAACAAACAACCCCATCAAAAAGTGGGCAAAGGACATGAACAGACACTTCTCAAAAGAAGACATTTATGCAGCCAAAAAACACATGAAAAAATGCTCATTATCACTGGCCATCAGAGAAATGCAAATCAAAACCACAATGAGATACCATCTCACACCAGTTAGAATGGCAATCATTAAAAAGTCAGGAAACAACAGGTGCTGGAGAGGATGTGGAGAAATAGGAACACTTTTACACTGTTGGTGGGACTGTAAACATGGGCCACTTCTTAACACTGCACCCTTGCATGGCTTTCCCAGGACCACTTCCTTCCTCCCCAACTTTTCTCTAGATTTTTCTTGAGAACATTTCCTATTAAGTCACTTTTACATGACTCCCCATCTTAACATCCACTTTCTGGAAACCACGTCTAAGATTAATTCTGATTGTCCCAAGTCTTAACTAATTACTGTGATCAGGAAAATGAGGTCCTATGACTGCCCAAATCTTTGCCATATGCTCATAACCATTGCCAGGAAGAAAAGGACTTCTCACCAGAAGGTGGGGGAAGGAAAAGCAAGTGCTGGACTAACATAAATAATAGCTAAACCACAGGCAATATGGTCATGTTCCAAAATATAATGGCTTACTGGCTAACATAATATTCTCAAGTGAATAGTCTCACGTGATAATTAATACATTTCTTCTCCCTTATTGGCTTTTTTTTTTCACAAAGTGGGATTGTATTATTTCACAAAGACTACATTATATGAAATTTTAAAAAAAGCTAAAGCCTTATTGAAATGAAATCAAGTCCTCTTGCAAACCTTGCTAATAGCTAAGTAACTTGCTTCCCATATACCAGCTTTTTAGCACCTAACTCAACTGCAAATATGATCAATTATTTGCATCACAAAATTTCAAAGAAAACTCTGAATGTTAAACCCATAAAATACAAAGATAGATTTAACTTGTCAAGCTAAAATTTCATTATGAGTTTACTAATATTTGTGTTAAGAAAAAAAAATCGTCAGGAGATGGAGTTTCACACGTGCCCCATGCATCCCAAATCCATAAGCATTTTCTCAGTAGGTGTTTCTCTCCTATCCTTCAACAATTCACTCCTGGAGCATCTGCCTCTTGTTTTGCTAGTTAAGAAAAAACTAGGATTTCTTTTGTCCTTTTTTGAAAAAATCTAATTACAAAAGAGATACATTCATATTGAAAACATTTCAAAAGATACAGCTATGTGCAAATGAAAAATAAAAGTCCTTCATAATCTCACCTACCAGAGTTAAGCATTGTTAAGGCTTTTTAATGAATATGTATTTGCTTAGAAAGAAAGGATCATACTACTAACACCATCTTGTGATTCACTTTTTTACACTTAAAAATATGTCACAAGTACCTGCCTAGGTCATACTACTTACACAGAAATCCACCTCATTTTTTATGATAACCACATAGTATTCCATGTTATGACCATCATCATCAATCATTTAACTATTTCTCTATTAATTTTGGCATTTAGGTTGTTTCAGATTTTTTACCATTCAAACAACCACGCAGTAAAACATCATGGCACGTATTTATTTATAAATTTGTGAGAGGTTACTGTAGGGCAATTTCTGCAAGTTGATTGGCTAAATCAAAACATGTACTTTTAAATTTTTAAAAATAGTTTTTAAATTGATTCAAAAGAGACCAGACCTATTTGAATCCCCTGAGTAGTATATCAGAGTACCAGTTTCCCTGTACTTTCAGCAACGTTAAACATAGTTTAGGTTTCTAAAAACTTTTTCAACAGTGTAAGAAAAATATAGTTCTAATTTGCATGTTTTGATAATTAGTGACTTTGGGCATCTTTTCAACTGTTTGTTGGTCATTAATATGTCTACCTTAATATGTTATTTTTCATGTAATTTTTCTATTTAAAATTATGCTGAGCACTTTTTTCTAATAGAAGGACTTTATACATTTTGGATATTAACACTTTATTGTTCATATATGATAGAATATTTTTCTATTTTTATTTCTCCTTTAGTTTTTTTAATGCAAAACATTTAAATTTAAAACTCTAAAATGTTTCTGTTATCTAATTTGTTCATTTTACTCTTATGGCTTCTCATTTTGTTGGCATGTTAATAAAGTTCTATCCCATTTCCATATTACAAAAATATTTTCCTGTTTTTATAATAAAACTGGTACAACACATGCATCTTTCTCTTTGTATCGCTTTACTTCTTCTTTGAACCTTCACCTTTAAAATATTGTCCCTTATCATCAAATTCCACTTAATCATCACTTAGTCTAGCTAAGTACATTTCTTTCCTTTCATCTTTACTCAAAGCCAATCCTCCATTCTCATAAATTCCTTATCTGAATTTCACCCAATTTACCTAATTGGTTCCTCTCTATCCATCTAAAGCTTAAGGGAGTGAGTGTGCTTTTCAAGTACAGATTCATTAGCTACAAGCAGAGGATAAGTTCTTCCCTTTTTACATAATGCTTTCCTTTCCAACTAAATTAATGGGGACAATGTTCCCTGCTATATCACACAAAAATTTCAATTTGCACACGTCTCTTATGCTTCCCTTTTAATGAATCAGTTATGCCAAAAATTGAAGCACTGTCTCTGTCTCTCCTCTTCTCTTCACATCAATTGGGTTCCCACTCTTGGCTTCCTTACATTTATTGATGGCATTTAGTTGCCTAGTGTATTAGTTTCCTGAGTCTGCCATAACAAAGTATCATAAACTAGGTGGCTTAAACAATAGAAATTTATTTTCTCATAATTATAGAAGCTAGAATCCAAGATCAAGGTGTCAGCAGTGCTGGTTCCTTCTGAGGGCTATGAGGGAGAAATCTGTTCCATGCTTATCTCATGGCTTTTGGTGGCTGGCTAACAATCTGCAGTATTCCTACATCTTGGAAATGTATTGATCCTTCTAAATTACAACTGGTAAACTTTCAGTTACTCTTCATTACCTATAAATAAAATGAAAGTGGTTTACCTTGTATTCAGACATTGATTGGCCTTGGCTCCCCTGAAAAGCAAAGCCTGAGACAAGGACTGGAATTCATTTAAATTATTTTTGGAAGATATCTTAAAGAACATAACTGTGATCTAAGAAGGATGAAACCAGAAAGGAGGAAATGCCAATTCAAATTGTGTTATCGAGCAGGTTACTTACTGCTGTGGGCAACTGGGGCTTGGTCCAGGCCTCTTGAGGACTCTGAGAACGTCCAGGGAGAACAGGCCCTAGAAATGTCTACCTTACAGGCAGAATAAATGAGCATTTATTCATAAGCTCCCAACCCCCCATTCCCTATTTGTCAAAGGTTGCCCCGTATACTTGTGTCAGAATGGCTGAGCAGGTTCTGTAGAAGTCCTGTAAAGCCTAGGAACCCCAGATCAGGAAGTGGGAGAAATGTGGTGCAGCTAATTTAAGGTGCCTTCAGGTTATAACTTTGTGCAGCTGGTTGCTGTAGCAATGGCTGGAGTACATAGGTGGACCATTAAGATGTGAAGTGGGGTATTAGGGGTATGCAGCACAAGTGGGAAGAAATACAGGCTTTGCCTTGAAATCAAGTTATGTATCTCCACAGCCCATATTTGTAATCTGCACAGAGACCACAGATGAAGTCACCGGAGAGGTCCTTTCCAGCTCAGAAAAATGATTGCCACTTTCCTGGGGCAAAATTTGAAAAGTTTTCTTGCCTAGTGACAAAACGGAACATACAGAACACAGAACATGTTCCGTATGTTCAGATTTGTCAATAGGCAAAAGAATAAAAAATGTGATATTCATGTTATTGATGCTGGTGGGGTCCTAATAAAAAATAGGGAGCACAAAACAAGAAAGAGATATGGGTAATGAGAAGAGAAAAGATGATATGTTATGTTTGGGGACTGTTGAGTTAGAAGTGCCACAGAGAAGTTAAGATGGCAATGTTCATTAGACAGTTAGAAATAAAAGCTGAGGAGCTTAGATGTGGCTTGGAACTGAAAATGAAAGGCCATTTGCAAAACTGTCTTTTAAGAAGTCAGCATCATGGTTGAGATTATCAATGAAATTAGATAGAAGAAAAGGGAAGAAGCCAAATAAAATAATTTAAGTAATGTTTATATTTAGAGTTTAGAAAGATGAAGTATCAGAGAATGAGTCATATGATAGATGAAAGAACTAGGGGAATCATAAAAGTATTTTGTCCCAGAAGTCAAGGAAAATAGGAAATTTTAAGGAAAAAGAAGAGGCCAATAATATCAAATGCTGCAGAGCTGCAAAAACACTAAAGGAATTGAAAGTAAATAAGTCTGCTGTTGCAGGTTTTTTATGCTGATACACCACGAGGCGTTGTTGGAGCAAACATCTGGATAATTTACAAAACATTTATTGAATGCCTACCAAGGACTCAGTATTGTGCTACTCACAACTTCATGTATCCTCTCAAAAAGCATACATTATGATTGGGACTGGAAGACTAGAACCTATTATATCAGGTAACAACATAATCAAAATAAGCTCTGTCTACTGAACATTTTAGGGATTTAGAGAGACACTTGGCTACGTAGTATCCCGTGTATTAAAGCTATAATTTTTTAAAGGAAACTTTTTCGATTTTGAGATAATTATGAATTCAAAGGCAGTTGTAACAAATAATTCAGAGGGATTCTGTGCACTCTTTACCTGGTTTTTCCCAATGTTAACATATTTCAAAACTATAGTAAAATATTACAACCAAGGTATTGACATTGATATGGTTAAGATACAGACATCTCAATTCTTTTTTATTGCTGAGTCATATTCCATGATACGAATTTACCACAGTTTGTTTAACTATTCACTATCTGAGTTGTTTCCAATTTTGACTATTATGAATAAAGCTACAATAAACATTGGTATACAGGTTTTTATATGAACATGTCTTCATTTCTCTAGGATACTCAGGTGGACAATTGCTGGGTCATATTTAGTTGGATGTTTAGTTTTCTGATCATTCTTCCTTTAAATTCTTTTATTTATTTATTTATTTATTTATTTATTTTTATTATTATACTTTAAGTTTTAGGGTACATGTGCACAACGTGTATATTAGTTACATATGTATACATGTGCCATGTTGGTGTGCTGCACCCAGTAACTCGTCATTTAACATTAGGTATACCTCCAACTGCTAACCCTCCCCCTCCCCCTCCCCCTCCCCCCTCCCCCTCCCCCCCTCCCCCCACCCCCTCCCCCGCCCCCCACCCCACAACAGGCCCCAGTGTGTGATGGTCCCCTTCCTGTGTCCACGTGTTCTCATTGTTCAATTCCCAACTATGAGTGAGAACATGCGGTGTTTGGTTTTTTGTCCTTGTGATAGTTTGCTGAGAATGATGGTTTCCAGCTTCATCCATGTCCCTACAAAGGACATGAACTCATCCTTTTTTATGACTGCATAGTATTCCATGGTGTATATGTGCCACATTTTCTTAATCCAGTCCATCATTGCTGGACATTTCGGTTGGTTCCAAGTCCTTGCTATTGTGAATAGTGCTGCAATAAACATACGTGTGCATGTGTCTTTATAGCAGCATGATTTATAATCCTTTGGGTATATACCCAGTAAGGGGATGGCTGGGTCAAATGGTATTTCTAGTTATAGATCCTTGAGGAATGGCCACATTGACTTCCACAATGGTTGAACTAGTTTACAGTCCCACCAACAGTGTAAAAGTGTTCCTATTTCTCCACATCCTCTCCAGCACCTGTTGTTTCCTGACTTTTTAATGATCGCCATTCTAACTGGTGTGAGATGGTATCTCATTGTGGTTTTCATTTGCATTTCTCTGATGGCCAGTGGTGATGAGCATTTTTTCATGTGTCTTTTGGCTGCATAAATGTCTTCTTTTGAGAAGTGTCTGTTCATATCCTTCACCCACTTTTTGATGGGGTTGTTTGTTTTTTTTTCTTGTAAATTTGTTGGAGTTCATTGTAGATTCTGGATATTAGCCCTTTGTCAGATGAGTAGATTGCAAAATCTTTCTCCCATTCTTGGAAAAAACTACTTTAAAGTTCATATGGAATCAAAAAAGAGCCTGCATTGCCAAGTCAATCCTAAGCCAAAAGAACAAAGCTGGAGGAGGCATCACGCTACCTGACTTCAAATTATACTACAAGGCTACAGTAACCAAAACAGCATGGTACTGGTACCAAAACAGAGATATAGACCAATGGAACAGAACAGAGCCCTCAGGAATAATGCCACATATCTACAACCATCTGATCTTTGACAAACCTGACAAAAACAAGAAATGGGGAAACAATTCCCTATTTAATAAATGGTGCTGGGAAAACTGGCTAGCCATATGTAGAAAGCTGAAACTGGATCCCTTCCTTACAACTTATACACAAATTAATTCAAGATGGATTAAAGACTTAAATGTTAGACCTAAAACCATAAAAACCCTAGAAGAAAACCTAGGCAATACCATTCAGGACATAGGCATGGGCAAGGACTTCATGTCTAAAACACAAAAAACAATGGCAACAAAAGCCAAAATTGACAAATGGGATCTAATTAAACTAACGAGCTTCTGCATAGCAAAAGAAACTACCGTCAGAGTGAACAGACAACCTAACTTCTTCATTAAATGATCACTTTCTGCAATTACATTATATATTCCCTTATTTGTTTTTATTATTTGTATCTCCCAGTGGTCTATAAGGTCTGTAAAGGTAGGAACTTTGCCTTGCTCACTGCTGCATCCCTAGCACCTAGAACAATAGAGATATATAATACACATACAATAAATATTTGACAAGTGAAAGAGTAAAGGAGACTTGTATGTAATGCCATGGAAATATTTTGAAAAAAAACTTATTCTTAAAATCTGATCTAGTTTTTACCTGGTGTAATTGTTTTCTGATTCAGATCACACAAAATAAGTTTTGAAAATAATAGAGAACTACAGTTATTCTATGTTCTTTTACATTTTTAATTTTTGTGGGTATATAATAGGTTATATATTTATAGGATACGTGAGATATTTTGATACAGGCATATAATGCATACACTTCAGGGTAAATGGGGTACTCATAAACTCAAGCATTTCTCCTTTCTTTGTGTTATTTTATCCACTAACTTACACATTCAACAAACCCTTGCTAACACTTGACACTGTGCTGAAGTCTTGGAGAGATACCAAATGGAGTAAAGCTCTGACACATAAGTAGCTTCGAAATTGTTACTTCTGTCCTTGCAACATAAGAAAAGCTGAAACAGCTGAAAATCAATAACTGTTCTTGGGCAGGCCTATCAAAGAATTGAAGTGTAGGAGCCAAGACTTGGCCCTGTGAAGGATGGTTGTACATCAATTCATGAAAGTGGAGAAAAGGCATACAAATTTATTTAAAGTGCATATGTGGGAGCCTTCAGAATGACAACCTAAAGATACAGGGGAAATTGTCCATTTTTATGCTTAGGTTCAACAAAGTATAGACAGCATGTAGAAATATGATTGGACAAAAAGGGTGTGCTGTAATGCTAATAGACTGAGTGGGGACACTCAGCAAGGCCTGCCTATCCTGATTCTTCCTGGCCTCTCTGAGCATGTGTTCCTTCCTTCTGGGTATGAGGCAAGACCCTCTCTGGAATGAGGGTCTTAGACCTATAGTCAAACAAGATAGGTCAGATAATTTCTTTATGGCCAGTTTTTACACAGAAAGGCAGAGGAAAAATTAGAGTAATATTTTTAGGTTTTATGGCTGGCCATAGGGAAAGGGGGTTCTGGTTTCTATGATCTGTCTTGGAGAAGAGGATTCTAGTTTCTATGGCTAGCCTTGGAGGAGAATATGACCTAGAGACAGCAGGGCAGGAGAAGGTCAGAGAAAAATTTTCGCTTCTGAGGCTGCTTCTGAGGCCTTTATTATGGGGTATTATCTTCTGAGCCCCCACACAAGTCACTGGGAAAGCTGTCATCCTGAAATCTGGGGAGACAGGAAATTACAGAGAATTACAGCCAAGAGTATTTTATATGGAGTAGGAGCCACTGGAGCCAGTCACCAGTAGAAATGCTTAAATTGTAATTTTGATGAATTGCTGGAGGCTGAGAGTAGACTATCATGAAAATGAGAAATTCCTAGAAGCTTCAGTCTTAGGGAGGCCCCCATACTTTAATGGGCTTATACCTCAAGGAACCTTATCATGTTCTCATGGTGATGAGCCAAGAAAAAAAAATTACCATTTCCCTGGTAAGGGAAAGGGAAAAGGGCATTCTCCATCACAGAACCTACTTTGCAGTGAAAAAGACTTTATCAGAAGCCTATCTCAACCGAAAGTTTGCAGTGAAAAAGACTTTATCAGAAGCCTATCTCAGCTGAAAGAGAGACTTTTCCCCAAAATTCAACTTCATCTAGTCTTCTTGTCTTACATAAAGGGTTGAGGGTGAAAAAATATATTTTTGAAGGTTACAGCACATTGGCACAGGCACCCTATAAGACTGAAATTTAATAATAACATGTAGAATAATTCCTCTTCCTCACTCCTTACCACCTCATCAACAGGGCTCTAGTGTAATAAAATGGATTATAGCTGAAAGAGCTGCAAGGCTCAGACTAGGTTTAAGAGGGAATTCCTAGGCAAATCTAAAGACAACAGGGAAGAAAAAATAAGGACACTAGAAAAATTTGAATCTCCTAAAACCTACAGCTATGGCAGATATTAAAACAGCCTACCTGCTGACCAAATTAACATAAAGCTTTACACTATAGGCCTATTTACTTCAGTTCCTGTCCTATTACCCCATATTTCATGTCTGCCTTTAAACAAAAAATTATACAGCATACTAAAAAGCAAGAAAAAGTACAGTCTGAAGAGAGAAAGAAAGCATCAGAACCAGACCCAGATTCATGCAGGTTTTGTAATGATCAGACAGGAAATTTAACATAAGTATGATTAACATGTTAAGGGCTTTAATGGAAAAAGTAGACAACATGCAGAAACAGATTGGTAATACTATAATGGAGATGGAAATTCTAAGAAAGTATCAAAAGGAAACACTAGAAATCATAATAATAATAATAATAAGGTGGAGTAGGAGGAGGGAGAAGAAGAGGAGGAGGAAGAGGAGGAGGAGGAAGAGAAAGCTTTGTAACACAAATGAAGAATGCCTTTGATGGGATCATTAGTAGCCTGGAATAGCCTGGTAGTGAATCAGCGAACTTGAAGATATGTTGATAGAAACTTCTGAAGCTAAAATACAAAAGGAAAAAGTAATTTTACAAAAATAGAACAGAATATCCAAGAACCATGGGACAATTTCAAAAGATATAAAATTGCATAACTGGAATACCAGTGGAAAAGAGGAAATATTGAAGTAATAATGGCTTAGAACTTTAGCAAACTAATGACAGACATCAAACCACAGATCCAGGAAGCTCAAAGAACACAGAGAATGCATACCAAAAAATCTACACCCAGACATATAGCAGACTGCAGACAAATCAAAGAAAAAGAGGCTATCTTAAAAGACACCAAGATAATAGGGAGAACACTTTCCTTCTAGAGGGAAAGAAGTTAAATATTACATCAGACTTCTCATCAGAAACCATGCAAGCAAGAAGAGAGTGGAATAAATTTAAAGAGTTAAAAGAATCAAACCAATAACTTAAATTTCTGTATCCAGTGAAACTATCCCTTAAAAGTGAAAGAGAAATAAAGACTTTCTCAAACAAATAAAAACTGAGGGAATTCACTGATAGCATACCTACCCTGAATGAAATGTTGAAAGAAGCTCTTTGGGGAGAAGGAAAATGATATAGATCAGGAACCTGGATCAATATTAAAAAAAAAAAAGCCTCAGAGAAGAAATAAAAGTAGATTAAAAGCTTTTATTTTTCTTATCTTTCATTAATCTAATGGATAGCTGTTAAAAATGGTAACAATGTATTGTCTAATTATAGTACATTGATAAGCAAAAATAATTTTAATTTCTTAAGGGATGGGAGAGAGGAATTGACACTACTTAATTAAAAGGCACCTGCATAATCTGTGAAGCAGGATAGTGTTATTGTAAGGTCTATTTAGAGTAGTTGTATATGTATATTATAAACTCTCAGGCAACACTAAATTTTTTTTTTTTTTTTTTTTGAGATGGAGTCTCGCTCTGTTGCCCAGGCTGGAGTGCAGTGGTGTGATCTCGGCTCACTGCAACCTCTGCCTCTCGGCTTCAGCCTCCTGAGTAACTGGGATTAAAGGCATGCTCCATCACAGTTGGCTAATTATTTTTGTATATTTAGTAGAGATGGGGTTTCACCATGTTGGTCAGGCTGGTCTCAAACTCCCAGCCTCAGATGATCTGCCGCCTCGGCCTCCCAAAGCTCTGGGATTACAGGCATAAGCCACTGCGCCTGGCCCTAAAATTTTTTGAAAGAAATATAATTTATATGCTAAGAGAAACAGGAAAATGGAATAATATAAAATGCTTAATTAAAATGAGAGAAGGCAGAAAAACAGAGGAAAAAAACAAAAGAAACAAAAAAGTGCAAACAATAGAGAATAGTATAAACATGGCAAATATTAATCTAAATATATCAATAATCACTATAAATGTGAATGGTCTAAGTATATCACTTAAAGACAGAGATTGTCAGAGTGGATAAAAAAGCTACAACTATACATGCTGTCTACAAGAAATTCACTTTAAATATAAACACACAAATAGGTTAAAAATAAAGGGTTGGAGAAAGACATAAGACAATGAGATTACCTATATTAATTTTAGATGAAGCAGACTTCAGAAAAAGAAAAACTATCATAAAGAGAGGCATTACTGATGATAAAGTGGTCAATTCCCTAATAAGGCATACAATCTTTAATGTGTATGTACCCAACAGAACATCAAAATACACGAGGAAAATACAGACAGAACTACAAGGAGAAACAGACAAATCCACTGTCATAGCTAGAGAGTCAACACTCCTCTTATAGTAATTAGTAGATCAAGCAGGCAGAAAATCAGTAAAGATAGAGTTAAACCAAACAGCACTATCAATCAACTTGATCTAACAGATGTTTTTATAGAATTCTCCATCCAACAACAGAATACGCATTCTTCTTAAGCTCACATAGAAAATTCACTAAGATAGACCACATTCTGCGCTATAAAACACACCTTAAGAAATTAAAAAGAATAGAAATCATACAAGTATGCTTTCAGACCTTAACTGAATCAACATAGAAATCAATAATAGAAAGATAGCTGAAAAATCCCAAAATGTTTGGAAATTATATTATATAATTTTAAATAACAGATAGATCAATGGAAAAAAATCTCAAAAGGGACTTATAAAACATTTTGGAGTAAACGAAAATAAAACATTAAGATGTGTGGGATGTGATGAAGGCAGTACATAGAGGAAAATTTATAGCATTAAATGAAAACATTTGAAAATAAATAACAAATTAACAGTCTAAGTTTCCATTTTAAGAACAAAGAAAGAAGAGTATCTTAAGCCCAAAACAATCAGAAGAAAAAATTAGAGCAGAAATCAAGGAAATTGAAAACAGAAAAACAATAGACAAAATCAACAAAATAAAATTTGTTTTTTAACATCTAGTAAGGCTAACCAAGAGAAAAGGAGAGAAGACATAAATTATTACTGTCAGAAATTAAAGAGTGGCCATCACTATTGATCCCATGGACATTAAAAGGATTGAAAATGAATACTATGAATAATTTTACATCCACACATGTGATACCTTAGATGAAATGGACTAATTCCTTGAAAGACACAAACCACAAAACTAAAAGAAAGAGAAATAGACCATCGTAATAGATATAAGAAGATATCTATTAAAAATATTGAATCAATAAATAATAATATTCCTAAACAGAAAGGACTAGGCCCAGATGTCTTCAGTGGTGGATTCTACCAAATGTTTAAGGAAGAAATGATACCAAATCTCTACAATCTATTACAGAAATTAGAAACAGAGGGAACACACCTATTTCATGCTATGAGGCAAGCATTACATTAACGCTCAAACCAAATAAAGACATGACACAAATAGAAAACTATAGGCCTATATAGATGCAAAGTCCTCAACAAAATGTTAGCAAATCAAATTCAACAATGAATAAAAAATTTTACACTATCACCAAGAGAAGTTTACTTTAGGTATGGAATGCTGGTCAGCATCTGAAAATTGTATATTGATAAAATTACATGGAAAATTGGTGTGATCTGCCACATCAACATGCTACAGAAAAAAGCACATATGATCACATTGATTCACCTAGAAAAACCATTTGACAAAAATTCAACATCTATTCATTATGTAAACTGTTAGCAAACTAGGAATAGACAAGAACTTCCTCAACTTGATACAGAACATCTACCAAAAATCTACAAGTAATGTCACACTTAATGATGAGAAACTGAAGGCTTTCCCTCTTATTGGGAAAAGGCAAGGATGTTCCCTCTCACTACTCTCACTCAGCATTATACTAGAATTTCTAGACAGTGCAATAATACAAGAAAAGGAAACCAAAGGTATACAAATTGGGAAGAAAGAAATAATAATGTTATTGTCTCCAGATGACATGATTTTCTATGTAGAAAATCCCCAAAAATTTAAAAAACAAACAAACCTGGAACTAATAACAAGTCTTGGAATAAATATTTAATATATACAAATTTAATATACACAAATTTCCTATGTACTAGCAGTGAACAATTGTAATTTGAAATTAAGAACACAATACCATTTAAAATACTAAAAAAAGATTGAAATTCTTAGGTATAAATATAACGAAATATATACAATATTTATACATAGGAAACTATAAAATTCTGATGAAAGAAATCAAAGGAGCTCTAAACATATAGAGGGGTATTCCATGTTTGCATATTGAAAGACTCAACATTATTAAGATATCAATTCTTCCAAACTCACCTACATATTCAGCGCAATCCCAATCAAAATCTTAGCAAGCTGTTTTGTAGATATTAACAAACTGATTATTAAGTTTAGGTGGAGAAGGAAAAGACCCATAATACCCAACAGAATTAGAAGAACAAAGTTGGAGGGCTGACACTAACCGATGTCAAGACTCAATATAAAAGTTATAGTGATTAATACAGTTTAGACCATTGAAAGAATAGGGGCATAGATCAGTGGAAAAGAATAGAGATTACAGAATTAGACCCCCACAAATATAGTCAGTTGACTATATTTGACTATCTTTGACAAAGCCAGGAAGCTATTTTAATTGAGAAAATAAGGCCTGTTCAACAAATGGTGCTGAGCAACTAAATGTCCATTTGCAAATATATATATAGTAATCTACACAGAGTTTATACCTTTCATAAAAATTAACTCAAAGTGGATCATACACCTGAATGTAAAATGCAGACTTGTAAAACTTCTAGAAGAAACATATAGACAATGTAGGTAACGCTGGGCTTGGTGATGAATTTTTAGACACAATATCAAAAGCATGATCCACTGAAGAAAAACAAATAATAAGTTGGACTTCATTAAAACCAAAAATTTCTACTCCATGAAAGATATTGTTAAAAGAATGAAAAGACAAGCCACATACTAGAAGAAAATGTTCATAAAACACATATCTGGTAAAGGTCTTATGTCCAAAATAAAAATAGAAATACTAAAATTCAACAATAAAAAAACAAACAACCCAATTAAAAATGGGCAAAAGATCTGAACAGACACTTTACAAAAGAACAGATGTAGACAGCAAATAAGCATGTAGAAAGATGTTCAACATCATATATGAGGGAATTGCAAATTAAAACATTAATGAATCACTGCTACACACTTATTAGAATGGCTAAAATAACAAAACACTGACAACACCAAATGCTAGTGAGGATGTGCAGCTACAGGAACTTTTATTCATTGCTGATGGAAATGCAAAATGACACAGCCACTTTAAAAGACAGTTTGGCAGTTTCTTACAAAGTTTAACCTAATCTTACCATAAGATCCAACAATTCCACTCCTAGATATTTACTCAACTGATTTGAAAACTTGTGGTCACACAAAAATCTGCCTGCAAATATTTATGGCAACTTTATTCATAAGTACAAGAACCCATTACTAACTAAGATGTCCTTCAATTGGTGAATCGACACAAAAGCAAACTATGGTGTATCTATACAACAGAATATTATAGATTCAGCAATAAAAAGGAGTGAGCTATCAAGACATAAAAAGACATGGGGAAACCCTAAATATATATGGCTAAGTGAAGACAGCCAGTTTGAAAAGGTTACATATTTAAGATTCCAATTTTATAGCATTCTTTAAAAGGCAAAACCGTAGAGATGGTAAAAAGACCATTGGTTTTCAGGAGTTTGGGGGAAGGAGGAAAGGACTGAATAGATAAAGGAGAGGGGATTTTTACAGCGTGAAACTATTCTGTATGATGCCAGACACTCTCTTTCAAAACCTTCATAACTTTATAGCACAAAGAGTGAATGTTATGCAAATTAAACACTATTTACAAGGTCAGAAGATCTCATAAAGCAATGCAGACTGTGAAAGAGGACCTAACTGTACAAATGTATGAAAGTATCATACTGAAGGAGAAAAGGTAGGGATTGGGGGGGGAAGGAAGCAACTCTGAAAAGGAGTGGAGTCTCTAAGACTATAGGCAAAAGAAACTTCACATAAGCACTATACTCTAGTTAATTAAGTTGTGCCCATGGAGGTATGGGTTAATAATTCTAGAAACATTGTCTGCATAAGTGGATAGTGGGTGGTGGCAACCAGGTTTCTTTTGTTGTTGTTGTTGTTTTCATTTTTCTTTTGTGACTCAACTGAAGTAGCAACCAGGTTTCATGCTAATGAAGTGGGAATTTGCAAATAGATAAATAAGAGGAGGCTAGAATGATTCATGTGATAATAAGTCAGAGCTGGAGACATAAGTATGAACTCATGTTTTTGCTTAATAAAGATATAGATGGTTATGTAGAGAAATATTCATAGATATGTGTATATACATAAGACATATATACACATCTATATTTCTTTGCTATGTCAGCTGACAGGGCCTAGAAGCAGCAGTATCCCGGTAACAATGAGTACATCTACCACCAAGATCTTGGATTCTAATATTATTTTTCAGTAAGAGGAACCAGGACTCTTTGGAGAAAAGGCTGATTTTATTACTGGGACAGGAAATGTGTACGATGAGCCTGGAACATCTTATAGTGCCAGGAAGTGAGGAAGTGCTCAAAAAACAAAACAAAACAAACAAAAAATCCATACAATGATGAGGGTGTGTCAAAGAGACAACTCCGGAGCCAACTGAAAGCTCCCAATAGCCAAAGCTGGAACAATTTGAAGAATAAAATAAACTAATATTGGACTATAACACAAAGTGTAGAACAAATATCCGTAAGTCCTTAGTGATATGAATACATTATTGAATAACTTAATAATTAGGGGAGAAGGAGCAAATATCCCTTGTAAAATAACTCAAAATAATTAATGTCAATACTCTGCACTCCAGGAGGGGCCCCATAAATCCTCACTCCCTAAGTGTGGGCTGCACGTGGTGACTTCTTTCCAAATAGTACAGTATGGGAAGGAAGTAGGGGCAACTTTACAGTAGACAAACCTGAAAAACAGTACCTCAGCTAGGAGAACAAGGTCAATATCAACAACCATAAATCATACTGATTCTATAAACCTTTGATATGATGCAATGAAAATGGTACTTTTTCTCTGAGGTTTTCCCGAAGACCAGTAACCCCAGTCTAACCATTAATAAAACACCAGACAAATTCCAGTAGAGGGGAATCCCATAAAACACTTACCCAGTTCTCAAAAACTGTCAATGTCAAAACAAACAAACAAACAAACAAACAAACAAAAACAAAGAAAATCTGGGAAACTGTTGCAGCCAAGAGGAGCCTAAGGAGACATGAAAACTGTGATATGGAATCGTGGATGTGATCCTGGAACAGAAAAAGACATTCGGTAAAAACTAAGGAAAGCTGAGTAAACTATAGACTTTAGGTAATAATAATGTATCAGTACTGGTTTATTAATTGTGACAAAAGTGTCATACTAATCATGTGAAATGTTAATAGGAGAAATCTGAGTGCAGGATACATGGGAAATCTTTGCACTATCTTTTTAATTTCTCTGTATATCTAAAACTGTTCTTCAAACTAAAATCCACTCTAAAAATCTGGTTTCAGAACTAAATCTATTCCAATGTGGATGACATAGAATGGGAAAAAAATGATGGATAAAACATTTTTTGGGGGGAAAAAAAGGAGGAAATCTAGTTTTGCTAAAGATGTTTATAACCACTGACAAAAAAGATGTTGGACAATGATAGAACAAGATAGTTATATATATGGAGAGCCAAAAACAACACAGGAAGATGTGAAGAATGGAAGGGAATTAGCAGGAGAAAAGACATTTCAGATGGAATACAACACAGAAAACTGATCTGGAGACCAATTTGACTGAAAAACAGTGCTATGCAATAAGGAAAAAGGAAATAAATTTGGACCCAACTACACAAATCTTTGAGTAACTAATTTAGAAGTTTGCTACTTTATCAAAAGGTACTGTATTTATACTGCATATCAATACTATTTGTGACTAACAGTTTAAATCATTTTATTTTTACTCAAATTTGGGACTTATGTAAGAACTTACTGGGCAGAGAGTTACATCTTGGATTAGACAAGATAAATAAAATATTTTTGAGTAATTTACAGAGATTTCTTCTATATCCATAATTATAGGTAAAAAATTGCTTCTTAAGCTTTAGAGCTAAAAAATAAATTTTGCATGCTAATATAAAAGTGTGTAAGGTGTTTGGTTAGTAATATTTCTCTTATTTATGTTATTACTGTTGCAAGAGCATGATGCTTTTTTAATGAAAAATGAAGCATAGCAAAGTGTTATCCAGATTTCTCTTACTCCAACAAAAATCAGAAAATAAAAAAGCAAACAATTTTGAAATGTTTACATAATATATTTAAAAAGTTATCACAGAGATAACTAGATAGTGACTCAAAATAGGACATTCAAAATTACATTTGGATAAAACATTTATTTGGAGTCAAAAAGTGCTAAGTTTCAAACCTGGCCCTGTCAGTTACTACCTATGTGGCCTGGAGTGAGTTATATCACATATTTGAATTCCATTTTCTCTTCTGTAAATTGGTAACGAACAGCTTTTTTTCAGTTTTCTCATTACATTTAAATAAGAAAATAGGTATGGAATACATCTCAACCTCTTGCACATAGTAAGCCCCAATAAATGGAAGGTATTATTATTTTAAAATAATAAATAACAAGGCACTTCATTAATGTTCTAAAATAGTATTCATCGTTTTCCTCCAAACTCTTCTATATATAAGTATAAACAACCTTCTTGAAAATGGAATGGATAAAGATACGTTTAGGTTTTAAAAGCCTCCCTTAGTAAAGCTCTCAATTTCTAAAGTCTTTAGCCAGCATTCTTGGAAAACCTCATTTTCAGTTGTTCATTATAATAAATAAAAACATACAAACACTATTCTTTCCCATCTCATCCTAAAACTAAGATGCTGCTGCTGCCTCTGAATTGCAGGATATTGGGTGGTGTGAAGTGCAATTAATGAAGGAAAGTTTAAAAGCACATTGATTCCAAAAACATAGGGTGATAATTCAAGCCCAAACTTGTTTTCAAACTGTGGCACCTCAGAAATAATGAAATCATGAGCAGTGCAAATGAGAGGAATATCATATCAGATGATCCCCACAGTCTTTGCCTTTTTAAAAAATGTCCAGTGAAAGACCAAGTTTCCAGAACCTGTGAACAACAATGGCTAACTAATAAG
The DNA here is from genome assembly GCF_000001405.40 of Homo sapiens. NCBI lineage: Eukaryota > Metazoa > Chordata > Mammalia > Primates > Hominidae > Homo > Homo sapiens. Next base: position 115,451,174 of record NC_000003.12, on the reverse strand, counting down.
AGGACCAGCTGTGAGACCAGAGGTTTATCTAAGCCCTCTCAACCTGCATGCCTTTTTTGGAGCATTTGAAATTCAGATTCTATTTATCAAATACTCAGAAGACTTTTCTCCATCTATAGCAATGACAATGCTGTGTGAGCATCACTGGAAATGGACATTTAAATTTTTAGTTGCAGAGTACCAGTCATACATTAATCTTAGAAATTTATGAGATCACGGCTATACAGGTGATAATTCCAGAATACAAACATAGAAAGGGAAGAAAGCTTAAACATAGTAGAAAAATGAGTCCTATGTTAACTAAAGGAATATTAGGAGGGAAAGAAATAAAGAAAAAAAATGGAAACATAAAATAATTATTTTTAGAGCCAATTTTTAAAATGCCACAATAAGAATATGTAACATAAGGCTTGACATTGTCTGAGTGCATGATCCCATGCATGCTGTGCTTGAGGAGTAAAATACCAGAGGGAAAAAGGAGAGTAAGAAAAGAGCATGCATGAAGGGAGAATACATTTTTAAAATTGAAGCAATAAATTACCTGAGATTTCCCTAGAGACCTGTAAATAGGAAACTGAAAGCATTTCCTTCTATTTATTTTATAAGTACAATAAACTTTATCAGCTTTTAGTATTGGAGACTTGTGCAATATTTATAGGCTGCTTACATTCAATGTTATTCAGGAGATAGTATCAGGAGACTAATGAAAAAGAAAATTGGGGTAAGGTTAGGGGTCTTTTTCCCTCTTGTCCAACAATCGGGATTTATCATAAAGATTTATCATATTGCTTCCTGGCCCATTCGCCACGGCCAACATAAAGTGCCCTGTCTAGCCTGTGATATAATTGGGCTAGCCACAGACATACAGCTTCCTGGCTCAATAGAAGGTCATTAGAGACAGATTTCTTGCACCAACACAGTAACAGGTGTCCTCTATGTCTCTGAGGAAGAGAAATGAATAAAGGAAAGACTGAACAGGCAAGAGACTTCTGGTGGCTGTGTCACACATAGCCAGATCAATAGAGAAAGGTTCTTTGTAAAGCCATCGTCTAACAGAAACCTTCAATCACTTGTCAGTGACATCAGCTGATGTGGCACACACTGGACCTTAAGAGCAGGCAGGGTGTAGAGTTAGAAGTGGTTAAGGACAGTTCATCCAGGATTTAAATTTCTTTATATCATACAAATTTCAAGTTTGTTGATCAAGGTCCATAAACTTAAAACTTAGGCACTCTCAAACTTTACAAAATTCTTTCCAGTGTCCTTCCATTTCTGATGTGTCAAAAATGTTATTCCCATTTATGGCTTTCATAGATTCCTCAGACCATCCATGGGTTAAAGGGTGGTGGCTGCTTCCATTCCTGAATCTTTATAGAAGTTTGTACAGATTGGTCCACTTTCATCTTTTCATCCATTGGCACTATCTTGATATTGCCATCAATTTAGCAAATTATGCTCACAATTTTGTCTCAAGCTGTTTCTAAATCTCTTTTAATATGCCTGTTTCTCATATTTTTATAGGTAAAGATTAATCTTTTAATAAATTTAGAATATTAAGAACCAATAAAAGCAAACCTTGCTATAACATTTTATATAATTGCTAGGAATTTATAAAAATAATTCAAAACTGCTGGGCGCAGTGGCTCATGCTTGTAATCCCAGCATATTGGGAGGCCGAGGTGGGTGGATCACTTGAGATCAGGAGCTCGAGAACAGCCTGGCCAACATGTTGAAATCCTGTCTCTACTAAAAATACAAAAATTAGCCGGGCATGGTGACGGGCTCCTGTAATCCCAGCTGCTCTGGAGGCTGAGGCAGAAGAATCGCTTGAACCTGGGAAGCAGAGCTTGCAGTGAGCTGAGATGGCACCACTGCAGTCCAGGCTTTTTAAAATCTCAAATCCTTTGACAGTGTGCTTTGCAACATTAAAATAAAACATAAAGAAACTCTTATCCGCATAAGTAATGAATATTTTCTATGAATTCAAACCAGAGACAATTACGGAGGGAAATCTAGGCAGAAGCCTTACTTGATATTATTATACAAACATCTGACAAGGGCACCAAGTACAAAAAGCCTACAAGCAATGATCAACTTTAGCCAGCTGGTCTGTGTAGGGATAAAGATTGCACATGAAAATTGCATAAGTCATTGTATTTCATAACCAAATCTCTTTATAGTTTTCTAAATCTCACATTCCTAAGTAAAGAGGGTCTGTGCTGTCAGCCAAACTATAATAATAATTCCTAAGATCCTGGAAGGCAAGGACAAAATCTACACAATACTCTTGTATGGCACCTAGAACTGTAATGAGAAATAGATATTTAACAAAGTTTGTTTTGATTTTGTTTTTGCTTTTTTGTTGTTTTTATTTTATTATTTTATCTTGGATAAAAAATTCCACACATCCCTCAGGGCCCACTTCAACAACCTGAGTGACAGTAAGATTGGGAGACTATATTATGTCTTCCACCTCTGCAGTCCCATTGAAAGATAAGATTTCCAATCTCTAGTCCATTCCAGATTTCCAACTCTCTAAGAAAATAGAATCTGAATTGGAATTTGGATCAGCTGTTTTGCAGATTATTGAACTTGGTGGAGAATTTTGTTTAGGCCTCTGCAGGATGCTGTCAGTCCTGGAAAGTCCATGGAGTCTGGTTTCATTCAAATTCCCACTAGGACAAATGCTCCAGGAGAGGAGGGAATTTTATACTTTGTTCAGTACTGTATTCCCAATGTCTTATTCTCAAGGAATATTTGTTCAACAAATGAATAAACCCTGTGAACTTTCTTGGAGTCTACAAGAATATTTCATTACATCTCAGGTTTTCTGGGAATTCTGAATAGGTCCCAACACCCTGCAATGGCTGAACTGGAAAGGGAATGTTGGTGGGTGCAACACTATTTCATAGGGTCAGTTGCAGCCATTATTAAGAATACTGCACCAATATTACAGGTCCTTGGAAATAATAAACTGTACATTTAATACATTATGAAATTGTAGTCCATATAACATTTCTGTTCTCTGTGTCTTTTAGCTAGGCCCAAGAACAGAGGGTAAAATTTAGCAAGTAATAAGGAAGAGCAAGACATATGAAAATTAATTCAATTATTTTACTTGACAAACATTATCAAATATAAACAGTAGAGATGGTTGTAATGAAGGAATTTTTTTTGAGTGCTTGTCCAAAGTTCCCCTGTAAAGAATTTTTTAAACCATTGTTAGAGACCACTTTTACTAAAATTGCAACAGGCTGGGTCAAATTCAAACAAAATCAAATGTCACTGACATAGAACATACAGCTGTGTAACTGAAAGGAGAAAATTTGTTTGGGACTGATTTTCCAAATATAACTATTATTATAGTTATCCATTTTGTCTATCTGATGTTCTTTTTCTATTGAAATGACAGCTAGTCGCTGAGTTCTTCTCAATATTACCTTGTGGCTGTTCTCAACCTGAGAGGTTGTCATGTTTTTATTTAGAAACAGATGCACTATTCCAATGACAACTTTGATTGTCCATAAACCACATGTGAAGAACCTTAAAGCATCCTCAAAACAAACTTTTGTGACCTGAAATATACCAGCCCATGGTAATCTAGACAAGTGACACAAAAACACCATGTTAAATCACTAACAATCACAATCTTAAATCACACCTCATTTCAAGGAGAACTGATCTTCCAGACATTTGTTCTTTCCAGCATAACCTGTGACTCATGAGGGTTCCATACTGCTGGGGACATCCTGGTGGAAAATGAACCCTCAGTACTATGTAGGTCTGCATGTGCTCTCTTGCGCCAGTTTCAAATGTTATGCCACAAACTGAATTGGTGGCAGTCTAAATGCTTTCTTGCCAAACCAATATGCACAAGTTTCTTTGTTATCATTACTGATGGCCTGTACATCTAAGCTCTATTCACTCTGTACAAATTACTATACATAAATAAGGAGTATATGTAATAGAGTTATAGCTTTATGACCTTCAAAATCAACATAGAATATCACCAGATCTGAATATTATCTGATAATCTAATATGGAAACAAGAATTGTTTTTAAAGTCTATCACTTTTCTATTTATATATTAAGTTGGTCAAAAAGTTTAGATATGGGCCTGTTTAGGTTTACAAAGTTTAAGATAGTCAAATTTCCAGCAACAGAAAAAAACAGATTAAGGAGGAGGAGTCCTAATGTAAACAGTGTTTAATTGTAATGAGGCTGACTAAATAAAACTAATACATTCACTGAAGAAGTTAAATACTTGTTTATTTTATGCCAAACAGCAATTTAGAGGCAACTAGATATTTGTCTAATTTTTTTCTGATAACTTAAAATTTGCATCTATGAATCCAAACATTTGGCTTCCTGACTGCATATTAGCATTTTAATAGCCATGGCTAGCTTTATGTGGAAATGGTCTTGGTCTAAGCAAGAGTGAAGACTCCAAAATGAAGGAACCATAATATTAAGGCCCAAGTGAATTCAGAGGAAAATGATTACAGGGTATAGGTTTATCCTTGTTCAGCCCACCCAATGAGATCTCAGTACAGTTCCTCCCATCAGAGCTCCCAAGCCACATGTGACACTTTGTCATGAAACCTGTAGTGCTTTAAGTATTCTCATTTCAATCTCAGGGAAATAGATGAGATCGTATCGAGGGTTTGGGAATCCGAGGTCATTTTGACTGAGAAAAATTGCAAATGCAGCTCCTAAGTCGTGTTCTGGAAGAGAAAGCCCAAGGGCCAACTGTGTATGACTCAGTCCATTTTATTAAGCAAAATTTCCCTTTCATCTATATTTGATTAAATAAGAATCCAAACAGCTGTACCCTTCGTTGGCACAGATAAGGTGCCATATTTCTTTATACTCAATCTCCACAGTCCCAGAAAATCACTTTACCTAATCATTGATTCCATCTACTTTCATTCAGCCTTTTAAAAATGTTGGTTAGAGCTGCCAAACTAACTTTTTCAATTGTTCTACGAAGTATTTGCAATATTCTCTAGCAGAAGAAAGATGTATTTTAGAAGCTGGTGAGTAGATCATGGAGACTCAGGCAGTCATCACCATTTTTTATTTATTATTTGTGAAATAGCTGGTGCTTAGTGTAGGGATAGACTTTAAAAAAGGCATAGATCTTAGTCAAGAAGCTAATAACCTATGTCAGACAGACAGAGCAATTTAGTCATAAAATACATCTGCAAAAAGGTGGATCTTAAAACTTAGGTTGGAATTGCGCCTTGGATTCCTTTCAATTTGGAAAGGGTAGTGGAGGAGAAATTTTAATGATAAAGAATCAATGAGGCTATTTGCCAAGGAAGTGAGAAATTGAGTTCTCCAGAAAAATTGGAAATTATTTTATGACTTTATGCTTTTATTTGATTTGAAGTATTTATGACATATGGTGATTACGTCATATCTCCCTACCCTGCTTCAAGGAAACACATTATATGTGGATTTTCTTAAAATCAAGGACCAGTGCTTATTCCTATCAGAGTACATTGTACATAGCGTATGCTCAGTAAATTCTTGTTAAGTGAATAAATAAATGAAAGCTTAATAAATTTGAGGATAATACATATTCAGAGAGACATTTCAAGTCCTGAAAAATCAAAAAACATTTTGGTAAGGAGATGAGTTTGAGCAAGAGGAGTTAGACAGCCTATGAAAAGAAAGTTAACAAACAGAGCCCCATAAAGCACAGTGTAAGAATATGTTGCCAGCACTATACATAAAATAGGGAATCCTTTCCCATTGCTTGTTTTTGTCAGGTTTGTCAAAGATCAGATGGTTGTAGATGTGTGGCATTATTTCTGAGGCCTCTGTTTTGTTCCATTGGTCTATATATCTGTTTTGGTACCAGTACTATGCTGTTTGGGTTACTGTAGCCTTGTAGCATAGTTTGAAGTCAGGTAGCATGATGCCTCCAGCTTTGTTTTTTGTTTGTTTGTTTTTTTGGTTTTTTGGTTTTTTTTTTTTTGCTTAGGATTGACTTGGCTATATGGGCTCTTCTTTGGTTCCATATGAAATTTAAAGTAGTTTTTTCTAATTCTGTGAAGAAAGTCAATGGTAGATTGATGGGAAAACTGGCCAGTCATATGCAGAAAACTGAAACTGGACCCCTTCATTACACCTTATACAAAAATTAACTCAAGATGGATTAAAGACTTAAACGTAAGACCTAAAACCATAAAAACCCTAGAAGAAAACCTAGGCAATACCATTCAGGATATAGGCATGGGCAAATACTTCATGATTAAAACACCAAAAGCAATGACAACAAAAGCCAAAATTAACAAATGGGATCTCATTAAACTAAAGAACTTCTGCACAGCCAAAGAAACTATCAACAGAGTGAACAGACAACCTACAGAATGGGGGAAAATCTTTGCAATCTATCCATCTGACAAAGGGCTAATATCCAGAATGTACAAAGAACTTAAACAAATTTACAAGAAAAAAAAATTACCCCACCAAAAAGTGGGTGAAGGATATGAAAAGATAATTCTCAAAGAAGACATTTATGTGGCCAACAAACATATGAAAAAAAGCTCATAATCACTGGTCATTACAGAAATGCAAATCAAAACCACAATGAGATACGATCTCACGCCAGTTAGAATGGCCATCACTAAAAACTCTGGAAACAACAGATGCTGGAGAGGATGTGCAGAAATAGGAATGCTTTTACACTGTTGGTGGGAGTGCAAATTAGTTCAGCCATTGTGGAAGACAGTGTGGTGATTCCTCAAGGATCTAGAACCAGAAATACCATTTGACCCAGCAATCCCATTACTGGGTATATACCCAAAGGATTATAAATCATTCTACTATAAAGGCACATGCACACATATGTTTATTGCAGCACTGTTCACAATAGCAAAGACTTGGAACAAACCTAAATGCCCATCAATGATAGACTAGATAGAGAAAATATGGCACATATACACCACAGAATACTATGCAGCCATAAAAAAGGATGAATTCATGTCCTTTGCAGGGACATGGATGAAGCTGGAAACCATCATTCTCAGCAAACTAACACAGGAACAGAAAACCAAACACCACCTGTTCTCACTCATAAGTGGGAGTTGAACAGTGAGAACACATGGACTCAGGGAGGGGAACATCACACACTGGGGTCTTCGGCGGGTGGAGGGATAGGGGAGGGATAGCATTAGGAGAAATACCTAATGTAGATGATGGGTTGATGGGTGCAGCAAACCACTATGGCATGTTTATACCTATGTAACAAACCTGCATGTTCTGCAGATATACCCCATAACTTAAAGTATAATAAAAAAAGAGAAAATTACACTAAAAAAAGAGTATGTTGCTCTATGCCTTAAAATTGTAACTTCTCTTGCCATATTTTGAAATATCTAAATTACTTTTTAGTAATTATGTTGACACTGGCTTTGAGTTCCTTACAAAAAGCTGGCATTAGACATAAAAAAGTTGTTTTAATTAGGTCAGATATATGCAAATTAATTTGCATTCTGCAACATTCCTTATTTTAAAGATCATATAAAGATACCTATATAGCTGAAATGTTTCCATATTTTCATACTTTGATAAGGATAGGACTGTATATGGTTAACCCTGGGAAGATTATGAGCAATAAGAGCCATACTGGAGATGAGTGAGAAGCAGAGGAACCAGGATGGAAGAAGGGACACACACTCACATGGTTTGGATGTTTCTCCTCTACAATTCTCATGTTAAAATGTGACCCCCAATGTTAGAGGTGGGGGCCTAGGGGGAGATGTTTGGGTAATGGAAGAGGGAGGTCCCACATGAATGGCTTGGTACCCACATCACAGTGATGAGTGAGACCTTGTTCTCTTAGTTTAAGCAAGAACTAGTAGCTTAAAAGAGCTTAGTGGCCAGGTGCAGTGACTCCCACTGGTAATCCTAGCCCTTTGGGAGACTGAGGTGAGAGGATCGCTTGAGCTTAGGAGTTTAAGACCAGCCTGAACAACATGGCAAAACCCCATTTCTACAAAATATACAAAATTTAGCCAGGTGTGGTGGCACACACCAGTGGACTACTGGTGTACTGCTACTCAAGAGGCTGAGATGGGAGGATCTCTTGAGCCTGGGAAGCAGAGGTTGCAGTGAGCTGAGATCATGACACTGCACTCCAACCTGGGCAACAGAGCGAGACCCTATATCACAAACAAAAACAGAAAATAGCCTGGCACCTCTTCCTCTCTCTCTTCCTCCCTCTCTCACCCTGTGACATGGCCTGCTACCCCTTTGCCTTCTGCCATGAGCAAAAGCTTCCTGAGGCCTTATCAGAAGCCAAGAAGATGCTGGTGCCATACTTGTACAGCCTGCAGAACAGAGAGCCAAATTAATCTCCTTTCTTTATAGTTTCTCCAGTGTCAGGTATTTCCTTACAGCAAAGCAAAACGGATACACACACACACACACACACACACACACACAATGAGACAAACATGGAAATAAATTTTCTATCTTCTCAGTGGTTCTTCACGCTAGCTATGCATACAGAAATTGAACGTAAGGAGCTCAGGCGTGTGTCTCAGTCATATGGTTAACTCCTTTGTGCTGTACTAACACAGCCAGATCCCCCTGTACCCATTGCATGTCAACATTAGGCATACTTCACTTGTTTTCTGGGGTGAACTCACAAATTAGTCTGCAGAGGTACACTTGCCTGTAATTTAATTCCTATCTCCAGAATAGAACAGAAAGAATGAGCAGCCTAAAGAATCCAGCTTGGTTGGATATAAAGAGGAGACCATGATGACAACTAAATGCCCACTGGTGTGAAGCAAGGTAAAGCTGGATTGATTTCCCTGGGACCATCACTGCTGAGCAAACCTATTGGTAATTCATTTTGTCTATTTCAGGTAGCAACATTTTTCAGAACTCTGGAGTTGAACCCTAAATATGTCTTTCCACCTCTCCAGCTAATTTGCTAAATGAGGCAGGAAGCTGATTTGTCAAAGTCCATATGTATCTTAATACTATGTCAAGGGAATCTTGACTTACTGAACCACCAAATTCAGGTTTCTCCTCAACAGGATTCTGACTAGAAATAACACTGTAACCATAGAAACACCCATTCAATGAATGGTCATGGGAGAAATGACAGCACAATGCCATTTTAAAAGGATAAAAAAGGAGAATTCCTGCCAAATTTGATACGGAGAAGGACTTTTTTCTCAACAAAAAAGCACTACAAAGTGCTCAGAAAGGAGGATTTCGATTTTTTTCTAGCTCTCTCTACAAGTACACATTTTCTCTCTTTTATTCATTCATCAAATATTTTTTTAATGCCAGCCACATTCCAGGTACTGTTCTAGGCACTGCAGTAAACAAAGCAGACTGAGTCTCTGTTGTCTAATGGGGAAACACAAATAATAATAACACCTAATATGTAAAAAAGTGTTAGATGTAAAGGAGAATAAAATGGGGAAAGGAGATAGAGCATGATGATAATAAATGTCAAGAGAATGAAATTTATTATGACCAAGAAAGACCTCCACGAAAAGGTGACAATTGTGCTGAGGAAACAGAACAGATTTCTCATATGGAACAAGGGAATAGCCTGTGCAAAAGCCCTGCAGTGGGAATATGTATTGGGCGATGGAGCAAAAGTGAAGATTACTGAAATAGAGTAAAGGAGGGTGAGAGAGCTGGGTGACAAGTGTTGGGTAGTGGGCTCAGACCATGAAGGGATGCATGGTCTATAGAAGGACTTGTAGTTTGAGTGATAAAGGAATCCTTTGGAGGTCTTGACCAGAGGAATAATACGGTGTGTCTTGAGTTTTAGAAGGATTACACTAGCTGCAATACGGACATGAAATTGTATTGGGGATTACGTGGAAAGCAGGCAGACCAGCTAAGGAGACTATTACGATAATTCAGACAGGAGAAGATAGTGACTTGGGCCAGGATGGTAATAATAAAAATAAAGAAGGAAGGAAGGAAGGAAGGGAGGGAGGAAGGAAAGAAGGAAGGAAGGTTGCTTTTCAATATATTTTGAAGGCAGCCCTGACAGGATTTGCTGATGAGATGAATGAGAGTGGCTAGTACAGTGCATTATTGGCATATGAATAAGTAAATATTAATCAAATAAAACAGTCAAATCAAATTTGCTTTTTTTTCAGAGAAATTTGCAATTTAGAGAAGTAAAAGTACTATTTCTTTTCCTAACAATGATAACATTTTGGATTTACACAGTAGCCCATTCCATGGTGGTTTTGTGGTTGGTTTGTTTGTTCATTTTGTCTTTTGTTTGTTTGCTTGTTTTTGAGACAAGGTCTTACTCTGTCACTCAGGCTGGGGTGCAGTGGCACAATCACAGCTCACTGCCGCCTCAACCTTCCAGGCTCAAGCCATCCTCCCACCTTGACCTCCCAAAATGCTGGTATTATAGGCATGAGCCACCACACTTGGCCCCATGGTGTTTTTGATGATCTTTTGATATGTCAACCTGTCTAGGCTACAGTCTCCAGTTATTCCGTTAAACAATAATCTAAGTGTTGTTGTGAAGGTATTTTGCAGATGTGATTAAAGCCCATAATAAATTGACTTTAAATAAGGGAGATTATCCCAGGTAATTTGGGTAGGCCTGACTCTTAGTTTTTGGTTTGCTTTTGGTTTGTTTTTTTGAAGACAGAGTCTAGCTCTTTCGCCCAGGCTGGAGTGCAATGGCACAATCTCTGCTCACTGTAACCTGTGCCTCCCAGGTTCAAGCGATTCTCATGCTCCTGACTCATGCTCTCTTCGGCCTCCTGAGTAGCTGGGACTACAGGCACATGCGAACACGCCCAGCTAATTTTTGTATTTTTTTGTAGAGACAGGGTTTTGCCATATTGAACAGGCTAGTCTCTAACTCCTGACCTCAGGTGACCCGCCTGCCTCGGCCTCCCAAAGTGCTGCGATTACAGGCGTGAGCCATCATGCCTAACCATGACTCTAGTAGTTGAAAGGTCTCAAGAGCAAAGCTGAGCATCTTCCCTGATGAAGAAGGTATTCTGCCTGTGGACAGCAGCTTCAACACATGCCTGAGAGTTCTCAGCCTGTCCTTCCTAATGTCCTGCCCTATAGATTTCAGACTTGCTGAGCCAGCCTCCACAATCATAAAAGCCCATTCTTTTTGCAATAAATCTCTTAATGTAATATCCTACTAATTCTACTCCTCTGTTTGAACCCTGTCTGATGCGGAGCTGAGTTAAATGCTTCCAGTTTAAGCTACCAAAAGGAAACAAGTTATTAGTCACCTATTAGAGCTCTCACTCACTCTTGTGGTCTACTCCTTTATTTAGACATATATAAAACATATAGTTGGAAAGAAAATTCAGCCCTACCCATACAAATAGGATGATTGGTAATATGTTTATTCAGTAACAGAGTCATCATAGGATTAGAATACTTTTAAAAAACTGGCAATGAGTTAGTCTGGTTGTTTGAGACAGTCACCTTATGGCATAATTAGTATAGATTTTATGAATTATATCTCATGGACCATTTGCCTCCCTCCTCCCACTATGTAGGCTGTATAGGGAATATTGGTCAGGTGGTAGAGAAGGAGGCCTATGCAGGTACAATGGACAGAGGATTCAGTAGAGAGAGCATTGATTGGGAGAAAGAAAACATGTGTTCTTCCCCTGGCTTCTGTTTTAGTTCGGTTCCTTAATCACAAAGAACAATGTCTTATTCAGGTTATCTGAAGAAGAAGAGAGTCTGTTATAACAACCGAGACATTAATTGGAGCTGGAAGCAGAACTAGAGAGAGGGTAGCTTCAGGGAGCCCCCACTTCATACCTGCTACATTTTCATGGACTATATGAATCTGTCTCTCACTTGGCCTCCACTTCTTTGCCCATCCATTTCAACCTCCTCTCCAAGCCACTTGCATTTGTTGGACCTGAGTTTACATTACAGTCTCTGCTTTCATTGCCTAGGCTCAACCTCATGCATGGTTAACTACATAGTCTCTTTCAACTCTTCTTCCACTGCTAACTCTGCCATTTTCACATTTCCTAAATCAAATTCTCAAGAAAAGGAAGAGAGAGAATCTGATTATTCCAACTACAAAGAGAGTGGTTATTAAAGGTTAAGTGTGAAAGGTCATAACATAGGTTATTGGCCACCCACAAAGGCTGTGGTTGAAGTAGAGGAAGGAGGACAGCTAAAATGTGACACCCATAGTCAAAAGCTACTGTTTAACCTTTCGGCACATCAGCACCTTGACATGCCTGCATTCTTGGTTCTGCAACGTTTTAAGGGAACTTTTCTCATCTCCAGCCTATCTTTCCCTCTATCCTTGTACCTACTTCTTTTCCCACCTACTCTTATGTATCAATCTTCCAAGGGTTACATCCTGGTTTTATTGTCTTTTAGAGACTCCTGGGGAGAATTCTGTGTAATCAAAAGAAGTCACTGGATTAGGTAAAGCTCAGGAGGATGGACGAGGATACTCCTAGTAGTTAGCATGTTCAAAAGCCTGGAAGCAGGGAGAGTTTTCCTTCTACCTTAGGAGAAGTCTTTTTAGAAAACAAACTCTGAGGCAGATATTTGCATGCAGCTGGTTTATTAGGAAGTTCCAGAACAACACCTATAAAGGAATGAGAGAAGCAGGACTGGGTAAAGACAGAAATTGACACAGACCTATGAGGTCTCTTTAGCTCAGACCTATGCGAGGTCTGGAGCTGGGATATCCCTTCAGATTTGTCCACATCAAAACAAGAAGGCTTGACCTGTGTAGTCCTGCATCAACAAGTCAATGGATTGAACTATTCCTGGAAATAGGTGTAGACTTGGACAAGTTAGGTCCCTTCAACCAAGGATAATTTCCAGTGACTGCATTAGCTATAGACTGCCAGCAGCCAACAATTTCATAGCTGGGGGATAAATGCATTAGTTCTGAAGAGGAAATCTGAGTAGTATACCAGAGCATCCAATCCAGTATAGGCCAATCCTTGCATCCCTTGGATTCACGTGATTCACACGGTAAATTTATTCCATCTGGGAAGAACTCCTTCAAGTTTCTGGTTGGTCTCTTTTTCTGGGAAACTTTACAAAAGAAAGATGAGTAGCATGAACTATATATATAGCTTTTGCCAATATAGCTGGTTTTACAGCTGAAACTGAAACTCATTTTCTCCCTCCTCTGCAACCTATTCCAGATTGTTTTGACCCTAATTTAGCACCTCTGATGATCTAGATGGCTTACCTGGTGGGGTTACCCAGACAGTCATCCCTGAGTGCCTAGGCTTCTGGTAACCACACCATACTGTGGCTGCTGTACTTGTCCATTTCTTGAAAAAATCAGGAAAGTATCAAGACATGATCCAGTAGATAACCTGACAACCAAACTTATGCTTTCCAGACCCCACTGAGTACCCCTAGGAGGCCATTAGGAGGATGGCCTCCTAATGGCCGGAATCAATTACCTCTACCAACATTGTTTTCTTTTATTGCTTACTGGACTCTTGACATGAAGAAACTTAAATGACCCTACAGTAGCCATAGTTTAAAGTTTAATGGGACTCTTACTGGGCCCCCTGGTAAAACAATTTCCACTTTAGAATCCAGAACCTAGTTTAGAATCCACAGAACCAAAACATGCATTATTGAGGAAACATTTCTCAACTGAGTCATTCACTGGTAGTGATGATAAGTAGAGCCATCCTGGACCCACTGGAGAATAGAACTGTAAAAGGGTCTTTGATTTAGGGTATATATTACATCCTGAAAGATAATGCCTCATCTGTGCAAGGTATCATCTGCAAGCCAGTATCTAAGCTGCTCCTTCAAAAGTCAATTCCATTATCTTTCAGACCTGCAACTTCAGAGTGGTGCAGAATGTAACAGAACCAATAGATACATGGTTATGTGTACACTCCTACAACATTGTTGTTTGGTCTGAGGCTATGTTACACCATATATGGTGTGGGTAGATATTCCGTTCTTCTGATGGTGCTAGCTGAGGCCTTGTGGTAGGAAAAGGAAACTCATACCACAATATGTGACTTTTCCAGTCGAGATGAATCACTACCTTTTCCAGGATAGAAAGGTTCCAGTGTAATCAACTTGCCACTGAGCGGCTGGTTGGTTTCCCTGAGGGATTTTGCTGTACCAGAGACTCAGTAATGATCTCTTTTGCTAGCAATTTGGGGAATCAGCAGCTAGATGGAGTTGGAGAACAATACCTAAATCAGCCTTGGTTAGTGAGGACAAATGCCACTGAGCCCATCCCTCAGCAATGATCAGTTTCTTCATGCATCCATCAGGCCAGCATTGGGCAATGAAATGCTGATGACATCAACTGGCTGAGTCATGCTGTCTACACGGCTGTTTAATGCCTCATTCTTGGTGAATGTTTCCTTGCGGGCAGTGCCATGAGATGCAAAGATATTCAAACTTCCAATCTACAGCCACAGGCAGAGGCACATGCCTCTTTCCCAGATCTTTTTTTCTATGATCTTTCTATCGCTCTTCTTCCAAGCCCCCATCCAATCAGCCAAACGAGAGGTTACTTCCTGTAAGTTCCTATTTATTCTTACCTCCAGCCATAAAAATGGCTGTGACCATCTGATCCTCTAAACATTGAGAGTGTTACTCCTCATTGCTGTCTCTCAGGGACACCATCAGAAGGTTTACAGAAATATTATGGAATATCTACTCACACCAAAGGTGGAACTGTAGAGTAGCAACAGTGCTTTCTCAGCTTGGACCCCCATAGAGAGCCAACCCATTCATGACCCAGGTGTAACTTTTTCTTCCTTTGTCAGTCAGTCAAAAGGGATGCCTACGTGGCTATAGGGAAAGGCAACAGTATAACGGTGAGCTTAGGGAAAGGTGACAGTATAACAGGGGTGAGCTTAGGGAAAGGTGACAGTATAACAGGGGTGAGCTTAGGGAAAGGTGATAGCATAACAATGGTAGGTTATTTGGAGGTCCGTGCCCTCTGAAACTTAACTTCTGCCTTTTGTCTCTGCCAATTCCCAATTCCAGATATATCACTTCGATCTTACAGTGGATTGCTATTGGTTTAGCTCAACCTTATGATTTGATGGAGGTTGGAAATACCTAAGTTAGGATGGGCAGTTCTGGCTGCATGGTCAGTTGAGCTCTCATATTTTCCATCTACCAAGTTCCGGTGGCAAATCACGTAGCAGAGCTCTTTTTTGCTTGAAGTCTCAAATGAAGTTGGTAATCTTTTGTGTCACTTGGCGAATGAGTTGAAACAGTATTTCCAAGTATGAAATATGCTGTCCCTAGAACCCAAAGAAGCCTTTAAAAAGCTGTGCTTCTTTCTTAGGGGTGCACAATATGAGAGGCATTAGACTGTCCTTTTCTTTCAAAAAGCTGTTCTGGCATGTCCCAAATGGCTATATTCCTAAAAACGGATATGTCAGGTCCTTGAATCTTCATTAGATGCATCTTCTGTTCTTTGGAGTACATGTATGTGTCTTACCAAAACCTCCAATGCACTTGCCATTTCTTCCTCATCCAGTCCAATTAACATGATGTCATTGAGACAGTGGACCAAGATAATGTTCTACAGGAAAAAGAGCCTTAGTTAACATAGCACAGGGCAAAACCATTATATGCTGCCCTTCCCATATGAACACACACTGCTTCTGATTCTTCTTTCTGAAAAGGATGGAAATGAAAACACATTTTTCAGATCAATGACCACATATCATGGATATGAGGCTGTGTTAATGTCTTCTAGTGAAGGCACCTCAGCACAGCAGTTGTAATTAGGGATACTACCCCCTTAGTATCTGCAAAAGTCTGTTTTTTTATTGTTTGTTTGTTTTGTAGAATCTAGACTGGTGATTTGAATGGAGGATATGGTACCACTAATTAATCCATTCGATTGCTCCCAGATATGACTGTCATCTTTACCAGTTGGTAGAGCGATATGCCAGTCCAAAGGCCAAAGAACAAATACAGCAGTTCTCCCAAATACCAAGTATGCTTATTTCAATTTTACATTTAAGGACCAGAGAAATAATCATCTAATGAGTCCATAGACCTAGTGAACTCACTGTGAAATGGAACTGGGCCAGGCCTCCATTTATCGATTGGTCCCTATATCCTGCTTTGAGGGCTCAATGGTGTTTTAGGTCCCTGGATACCAACATCAGCTTAGACCCAGTGTACAACACTACTCAAAATGACTGGATATTTCCACTTTCCCAGGGCACAACTATCCAAGTAGTCATAGGTACCTTGAGGAAGGACTGAGGGAATCATTATCACATATGTTTAACATGGAGTTACAAGTGTCTTTTTCCTAGAAAACTGACCTCTCCACCAAGTAGTACAATCTGAGACTGAGAACTGAGGTTCCAGAAATTAGACAAGGGATTTTGACTTTTTATTGAGGTAAGTACCCTCAACCTCCTTTTATCCACCTTTGAATTATCTGATTGCATTCATGAGGCATATTCTTGTTGGCTGCCCATAGGCACACTAAGTTCCATTAACCACTTCCATGGACTGTTACTCAGACTGATCATTTATTATCGTAATGGTGATCACCTTGCAACCAGCAGTTAAATGCTACTACCTGACCTCTGTTATTTTGGCATCCTCTTTATTCCTATCAGATTCCCAGTTCTATAACAGCATCTTCTACTGTCAGCTCTGGTCTACAGAGGATGGCCACCACTGAGTTCCTCATTTATGCTAGTTCCCCTCTCAGCAGTACACTTTTTTTTTGTTGTTGAGACAGAGTCTCACTCTGTTACTCAGGCTGGAGTGCAGCGGTGCAATTATGGCTCACTGAAGTCTTGAACTCTTAGGCTCAAGTGATCTTCCTGCCTCAGCCTCCCGACTAGCTAGGACTATAGGCATGCACCACTACACCCAGCTAATTTTTATGTTTTTGGTTTTTGTTTGTTGGCTGTTTTGTTTTTTGTTTTTTGTTTTTTTTTTTTTTGTTTTGTTTTGTTTGTAGAGATGGGGTCTCACTATGTTTCCCAGGCTGGTCTCAAACTCCTGGCCTCAAGTGATCCTCCTACCTCAGCCCCCTAAAGCACTAGATTACAGGTGTGAATTCACTGTGCTTGGCCTCATCTGTACATTCTTTATCACTCTGATAATGCCATGTGGACCCTTAAGTGAAACATGGTTAGCAGATGGGTTTACTGCTTTACATAGTTGAGCCACTCTAGCATAACCATTCCCCTGAACATTTTGATCCTTTCTTTTACTGTGTGCTATGGAAGTTCTGACAGTTTTAGTTAGTATGTACTTAGTATGAGCCATATCTTTTTCCAAGCTTCTAAGAGTCACTCCAACAGCCTGTTAGCACTGTCCATTGGATCCTTGACAAGGTATTAAAATGCTCTGTCGATAGAGAGAGTTATCATATGAATTTGTTCTCCTTTATCGAAATTTATGTTGTAACCCCACCCCACCCTGATCCAAGACCTCAGTATCAATTCTTATATATTCTCTCCCAGTTTCTGCTGATACATGTTGGCTAGGTCCTGCAGCTTTAGGATGTAGTTCCTTTCCTCCCTTAGGAGACAACCAAACACTTAGCCAATTATGTGGTGACTAGTTATTGGTCTGATAGCCAGGAGGAAAAGTAAAGATAGGTAGTGGGTAAAGGGAAAGGGAAATGTAGCATATGTTATCATATAATATTGCAAGAAAAGGGGAAGAGATGGCTTTTAACAAGAAGGAATAAGGTACTCCTGTGAGTTCAGAGGAAACTAAGGATTCAAGATTTTTAAGTGCACAAACCCAGTTGACCCCATCCCAAGTCTCAGAGCTTCACTGCTTTCCAATTAAGGTCCTGACCTTGATGAAGCAGATTTGTCAGGGCTGACATATCCTTCTTCTCTGGAGCTCTGCTATACTTAAAAACTATTTCTGGTTTTGGTCCTCAGGGTTTCTATGCTCAGGCCTTCTGGCTTTCACTCCTTGCTCTACGTGTTAGATTAATCAATCTCAGTTCTTCATTGCTTTTCTCTAATGACGTGACAGCGCTCAGCCAAAGCCATCTGAATCCACTCAGTTTGCTACTGATGAAAGATTTAACATTTGCTACAGCATTCCATGAGCTATCAAAATTCACCTACCACCAGTAATGAGGTCCTAACCACCAGCCAGCCAAAGAGTAATATAGCTCCAAAATCTCATTTTAGAGCCACTGCCTAGCACCACTCTGGTACCAACTGTTTTAGGTCAGACTTCTCAGGAAACAGACTGTGGGGTATATATCTGAATGCATATTTATGGAGAGGGCTCTTGGAAAGAAAACCACTTGTCAGAGAGTGAAGGGAGCATGATAAGGTGGAGGAAGAAGTTAAAACAGCAGTGGAGTTCCAACAGAGGCCTCAGCCAATTCTATGGGAGAAGCTCTTGAGCTGCAGTGGCCTCAGAGTTGTCCCTCTTGGACTAAATAGGACTGGGCCTTATACTCCTGCACCAATCAGTCATGTAATACAGGCTGCTCACATGGGTTGACGGTGTAACTTTGTGCCTGGTACCTCCTTCTGGTGGAGGGCAATTCTCCCAGAAATTCTCAGCTATAAGTGGGCAACAACCAACAATCCTGGCATCTGTGGAAATGTATGCCTCGATCTCAAAGAATGGATATATGTGGGGTACCATGAGATCGATTACTGTATGTGTTTTTGCTTGGCTGCCAGTAGTTCAGCAGAGCCCAAGTGTAGAGTGTGAGAAGGAGAGAGGTACAGGATAAGACCAGATGGGTAAGGCCAGATCAGGAAGGGGTTTTGCTTACAATGGCAACCGCCAAAGGGTAGTAATACCCAATAAGAACTTCAACATACAAATATGGAGTTTAAGAGAAGCACTTGATACAGAATTACCTTAGGCCTAAGACATAAAGTTGAGAGTCATTAGGGAACGCCAAGTCACCTGAGTTTGAATTCCAGCTCCAGCCATACCAGAGATGGGACCATGCCAAACTACTCTGAGTTCTCTGAACCTCAGTTTCTTCACCTGTAAAACCCTGTAAAGTGCTGTTATGAGGAATAAGTGAGATGATTTATACAATGCACTTAAATACAGCATGGCACATTGTAAGCATCCAGTAAATTTTATGGATTATTATTACTGGTATATAAATGGAGATTGAAAGGCGAATGAAAGAATTATGGAGAATTTGTAAGAGAAAAAGGAAAAAGATGGCAAAGTATCATTAGTAATATGTCAGGGAATGAGAGTGGACTAGAGATCTGGAAAAATGAATGAAAAATGAACAATAACAACAAAAAGTAGAGACAAGACTTCTTCCTGGTCTCCTGACCCATTTTTATCCTTTTCCTGAATGTGTCCACCTCGATGTCTAAGAGGCACCTGAACCTCACTCATCATAAATCTGAATTCATTGACTTTCCCCAGAAATGTATTACTTCCCTGGTATTCCCATGCTTGGTGAATGAACACACCACTACCCTCCTGGCACTCAGGCCAGCTCCAAACTTACATTTAGTGCTTTCCCTAGAACCTAAGAGTTATCTTATAAGTTACTTTTTTCTCTCTCAATTAAACACCAGTGCATGGTATCTCACCTCCACAATATCTTACTTTCTGTTACCTTTAACATTGGGCATTAACTAGTTTCTTTGCCTCTACCTTTCCACCTTTATCTTGACCAGTACTGTCAATATTATATCTTTTTTTAAAATGTGCATGTTATGTATATATATATATATGTATACATAATCATGTCATGCCCATGCTCAAAGCCCTTCAGTGGCTTTCCATTGAGTCAAATTTCCTTGTGACTTACAAGGTCCTTGATCATTTGCCACACATGTCTATGAAGCTTCATTCTTGCCATCACTTCATCACCAAATGTTCCAGACACATGGAACTACTGCAGGTCCCCAAACAAGTTGCAGTTCCTCAATCTTGATCTCATCTCTGTAGCCTTGAAGAAGCTACATTCCCTATACATGCAACATTCTTTTTACCCTCTTACGTATTTGGCAAAATCTTACTCATCTTTTCAATCTCTGCTTCAATTTAACTTCCAAACAGACAGACAGACTTTCATTTCCCCTCTTATTACACACATAGTACCTTTGTCATTTAATTCTTTCCTTTTCCAACAGCAGTTTTTAAAAAACTGTTTGCTTTTCCTTATAACAAATGGAATACGAGTTCATTGTAGAACATTTAGAACTTTCTGTCTTAACAATAGCCATTAGCCATTTGTGGCTACTGAGCCCTTAAAGTGTAGCTACTCTGAATTGAAAATACACATCTGATTTTTTTTTTTAATTTTACTCTAAGTTCTTGGATACAGGTACAGAACATGCAGGTTTGTTACATAGGTATACATGTGCCATGGTGGTTTGCTGCACCTATCAACCTGCCAGCTAGGTTTTAAGCCCCACATGCATTAGGTATTTGTCCTAATGTTCTCCCTCCCCTTGCCCTCCATCCCCCAACAGGCCCCAGTGCACGATGTTTCTCTTCCTGCGTCCATGTGTTCTCATCGTTCAACTCCCACTTAAGAGTGAGAACATGTGGTGTTTGGTTTTCTGTTCCTGGGTTAGTTTGCTGAGAATGATGGCTTCCAGCTTCATCCATGTTTATGGCTGCATAGTATTCCATGGTGTAGATGGGCCACATTTTCTTTATCCAATCTATCACTGATGGGCATGTGGGTTGGTTCCAAGTCTTTGCTATTGTAAATAGTGCTACAATGAACATACATGTGCATGTGTCTTTATAGTAGAATGATTTATAATCCTTTGGTTATATATCCAGTAATGGGATTGCTGGGTCAAATGGTATTTCTGGTTCTAGATCCTTGAGAAATCGCCACACTGTCTTCCACAATGGTTGAACTATGCTCTCACCAACAGCGTAAAAGCGTTCCTATTTCTCCACAGCCTCGCCAGCATCTGTTGTTTCCTGACATTTTAATAATTGCCAATCTGACTGGCGTGAGATGGTATCTCACTTATGAGATCATAAGTGATCTCATATGATCTCAAATGATCATAACCATTGATTATGGTTCATAAGTGGTATGGTATCTGATTTCAAAGACTCATGAACAAAAGAAATGTAAACACCTCATTACAAGAGTTTATATTGACTACATGTTTAATATTTTTTGACATACTGGGTTAAATAAAATATAAAAATTAATATATTTTTACTTTTAAGACGTAGCTACTAGAAAATGTTAACTTATTTTATATAGCTTACATTACATTTCTATTGGACAGTGCTGATCTAGAAGATTAAAATTTTCAAGATGAATATAATTTACAATTCTATCACTTAGGAATAATTACTACTGATATTGTGGTATATGTATTTCCAGTAGTTTTTTGGTTGTTGTTATATTGTACGTACTGTTTTATACTTTTTTACTTCATGTATGATTTAATGTTTTTCTATGTCATTACAAAATCTTGTGTAACAATAGTGTGTCGCTGCATGCTTAGTATTTAACCAGTAACTATAGTTCCTAAAAATGTTTCCATGCAGTCACTTATTATACTGTATATGCTTCATTTTCTATCTTTCTGACTAGACTATGAGCCCCAGTGGGCAGGAATTGTCTTGTTTACTTGCATATCTGAAGCATATTCCAATAAATACACAACAAATGAAAGAATGAATTAACAGATCAATGACTACATTGCAAGAATATCATGTAATTACAATTTGATCATATATGTTAAATATTACTATTATTATTACTATATGAAAAGAGGCTTCCAATCCTGTGTGTTGTGATTAAGACAACTTTTTTATTTAAAGAATAATGTTTCCCTTAAGCATATTGCTGTATTGTGTAAGTATAGTTATCACAGCTATACCAGTAATTGTCTGACAAACAGTAGAAGCTTACAGGAAAAGTAAATTGATAGGTGCCAACTGGAAAACAATGTATATCATCTCTATTGGAACTGAGCAATGGCATGAAATTAGGAGAAAAGTAATTTCATTGAGAGTTGAGTTCCTGTGGAGATGACCCCCACCACCCGTCCCCTACAAAAAAAAATAAAAAGAGCCCGCAGCATATCCCAGGGAGAGCAAAGAGGTCTGGGTGATGAAAAGAAGAGAGTTTCAATAGGAAATCAAGAGCCGGTGCCTGAGACATTTCAAGGGCAATTGACTGGTGACTCAGCACTGTGACCCCAGTGACTGCTAAGATCCCGAAATAGAGTGGGTGCGACATGAGTATGCATTGCTTGAATGAATAAATAAGTATATCATTAGGTGGATTTTAAATCCCATGTGACAGGGACCAAGTCTTCCTTGCTCAGCACAGGATCCCAGTACTTTGCACAGTTGTATAACATATTATAGATGCTTAATATAATTGGTAAAAAAAAGTGAATGAATGAAGGAAACAAGTAAAGCTAAAGAGAGGAAGGGGGAAGAGGGAGGAAGGACATGAAAGAGAGGAAGAAAGAGAGATGGTTTTGGATTAAGCCATGATACCCTGGATTAAAGTTTGAGATACAAACCTGTAATTTAACTGGCTGTATTCTGTTTTTACCATGCATTATCTCAGTGTGGTGGAGTAACTTGCATTCTAAAAAAGAATTGAATGAGTGTGCATGCAGGGTGAGCTTATCTGAGAAGGGTTGGTATAGTAGTGTAGAGGAATAATTACACAAGGTCAAACTTGTGCAGTCTGATAATAAGTCAATGTGTTCATCATACAAGGTGATTACTATGTTAGTAAATATTCTTTTTTAAAAAAGACTTCTTTTGACCTGTTTTAGATTCACACATAAAATTGACAGGAAGATAAAGAGACATCCTGTATAACCTCTGCCCCCATACATGCATAGCCTCCCACATTATTAACATGAATATTTTTATTTGTCATTTTATTTGACATCAGTTAGCCTCACAGTTTCCTAACTATGTGGTGAGGTTCTCTGGGGGCACACTCATAAACTTATATCAGCACTGAGAGACATTTTATCTTTTCAATGATATCATTGCTTTGCAAAGCTAGGTGATGAAAAGCAAGGCCATGTAAAAATCAATGTGGAATAGGACATGAGGGTGTTAATGTCCAATCTGAATGCCAGGATTGCAAAGCTGCGCAGTAGAATCACACATCCCATTGGTAAGCAATTGTGTTTACTTAAGAAATAAATTTTTAAAAACTTTTTTTATTTCAATTTATGTGTATTAGTTTTTAAGCAGCCACTAAGTTGCTAGGACATAAAGACTTTTTAAGTTGTTTTGGTCCAACTAGTTAACAAATAAATTTTTATTGGCAAGGGGCATCATGAAAAATATTCTAATATTGGCAAGGGGTATCATGAAAAACATATGAAGACACAAGAGAGTTTGGGAACTCTGGGTTAAGCTCTTTCTCTGGTACCAGATTCGAAGGAGAGTTCCTCAACAAAAATGATATGGAAGCAATTTGAAAAGATTTTAAGAGAGACATGCACTGAATCTATAAATTACCTTGGGCAGTATGGCCATTTTCATGATATTGATTCTTCCTACCCATGAGCATGGAATGTTCTTCCATCCTTACACCTTATACAAAAATTAATTCAAGATGGATTAAAGACTTAAATGTTAGACCTAAAACCATAAAAACCCTAGCAGAAAACCTAGGCAATACCATTCAGGACATAGGCATGGGCAAGGACTTCATGTCTAAAACACCAAAAGCAATGGCAACAAAAGCCAAAATTGACAAATGGGATCTAATTAAACTAAAGAGCTTCTGCACAGCAAAAGAAACTACCATCAGAGTGAACAGGCAACCTACAGAATGGGAGAAAATTTTTGCCATCTACTCATCTGACAAAGGGCTAATATCCAGAATCTACAATGAACTCCAACAAATTTACAAGAAAAAAACAAACAACCCCATCAAAAAGTGGGCAAAGGATATGAACGGACACTTCTCAAAAGAAGACATTTATGTAGCCAAAAGATACATGAAAAAATGCTCATCATTACTGGCCATCAGAGAAAGGCAAATCAAAACCACAATAAGATACCATCTCACACC
The DNA here is from genome assembly GCF_000001405.40 of Homo sapiens. Lineage (NCBI taxonomy): Eukaryota > Metazoa > Chordata > Mammalia > Primates > Hominidae > Homo > Homo sapiens. Next base: position 115,427,173 of record NC_000003.12, on the reverse strand, counting down.
AGTTAGAATGGCGATCATTAAAAAGTCAGGAAACAACAGATGCTGGAGAGGATGTGGAGAAATAGGAACAATTTTACACTATTGGTGGGACTCTAAACTAGTTCAACCATTGTGGAAGTCAGTGTGGCAATTCCTCAGGGATCTAGAACTAGAAATACCATTTGACCCAGCCATCCCATTACTAGGTATATACCCAGAGGATTATAAATCATGCTGCTATAAAGACACATGCACACGTATGTTTATTGTGACACTATTCACAATAGCAAAGACTTGGAACCAACCCAAATGTCCAACAATGATAGACTGGATTAAGAAAATGTGGCACATATACACCATGGAATACTATGCAGCCATAAAAAAGGATGAGTTCATGTCCTTTGTAGGGACATGGATGAAGCTGGAAACCATCATTCTCAGCAAACTATCACAAGGACAGAAAACCAAACACTGCATGTTCTCACTCATAGGTGGGAATTGAACAATGAGAACACATGGACACAGGAAGGGGAACATCACACACCGGGGCCTGTTGTGGGGTGGGGGGAGGGGGGAGGGATAGCATTTGGAGATATACCTAATGTTAAATGATGAGTTAATGTGTGCAGCACACCAACATGGCACATGTATACATATGTAACTAACCTACACGTTGTACACATGTACCCTAAAACTTAAAGTATAATAGAAAAAAAAAAGAGAGAGAGAGACATGCTTTGATTATTAAGCTATCTTGTAAAAAAATGCAGAAGAAAAAGAGGAACTTTTTGGTTGGGCACAGTGGTTAACGCCTGTAATCCCAGCACTTTGGAAGGCCAAGGTGGGTGGATCACTTGAAGCCAGGAGTTCAAGACCAGCCTGGCCAACATGGTGAAACCCCATCTCTATTAAAAATACATAAAATTAGCTGGGTGTGGTGGTGCATGCCTGTAATCCCAGCTACTCAGGAGGCTGAGGCATGAGAAACGCTTGATCCCAGGAGGCAGAGGTTGCAGTGAGCCAAGATCACACCACCGTACTGCACTGCAACCTAGGCAACAAGAGTGAGACTCTCTCTTTAAAAAAAAAAAAGGGGGGGAATTGTTATACTACTCCATTACATGCATTCCCATCTTAGCATCGATCTTCTCCTTTCTTATAATTTTCCACTCCATGTTTTACCTATTTTGCTGCTTGTATTGTTATTCTTGTGGGCAGAGTTTTGCTTTATTCACATGAGTATTCACCTGGCATTCAGTACTTAGGCCATGCTCATGGAATGGGAAAAGACCAAGGAATAACTTAATGGAGGTCCTGGCCTATGAGATAGACATTTATACCAGAAATCATGGCCAACTGTCCTTCATCTATTGTGAGGACAAACCAAGAAAACATGGGATTAGTTGAAGAATTTGGTTGGGATAAAACAATGTCCTCACTGCAAGAACAGTGTACTTGAGAAGATTTTGTTTTGGACAGTTTCAGCAGTCACCATCTCCTTCTGGTGGTGAAAAGACCAGGTGCCCATTCTAAGCTCTCTGAAAAATCCTACACCTTTACACGGCATGCCAAACAATTCCAACATTGTCATCCAGCCAACTAAAGGATTGGTCCAGGACTGATAACACGAATATACCTATTTATCTTTTAAATATGCCCATGAAATGGTTGTGTGTGTGTGTGTGTGTGTGTGTGTGTGTGTGTGTGTGTGTCTCCGGGTGGGAGCTTTTATGACATCACTATTTGTCTTTTACGGGTGGAAAATGGAAGGCTGCACTGTGAACACCTCAAATGAAGTTTCACAGCAGGATAAGCCAGGGCATATGATTCAGATCCTCATGCCACAGGGCTCTGTAGCCACCAAACTGATTACCTACTGGGAAAAGAAAAGCCCACTGACGTATAATGATAATCCTGCAACAGACGAAAGAAACTTTAGGGTCATCTTTCTGAGATCGTTGCTCAGGGGTCAGGCCCCAGGTGTTAAGAAGAGCAGGCATTACAAGGTTTATTGAGAAGAATATGACAGGGATGCATTACCAGGTGCAGCATGATGAGATGGAAGACAGGACTGCACCTGGCTCTGAGGTCAGCCTCAGCGTGAAGGAGGCAATATGTTTGACTCTGTGGTTGGGGTGGAGAACTTTGGGTCACTTCTCTCTGGAGTGAAGAGACGACAGCTAATCAGCTTCCAGTCTAAGGCAGCAGCCTTCCTTTCCCAGGTCTGATCAGTTCCTTAAATTTCCTTTATTCTTGTAGCCTCTTTTTACATAATTGTTATTTCAGAAGAAAAGGTGGAGAAGCTGCACTGGAAATTCCAGCTTTGCTAGCCACATGCAAAATGAAGCTACATGTGGAACACAAATGAGAACTAGTGGACATCTCCCTAGTGCTGTGGGAGGAAGGAATACACTCACCAAAAAGAGGAGGATTGGCTGCAGCGGGAAGGGGAGAAGAAGGGAAGGAGGAGAGGTGTGACTGGCAGCAACTATCAAACAGAAAGATTTAACTGTTTGCTAGAAAGGAGGCAAGGTAAACCAGAGCTTGCTAAATATAAATGTTAGCTGCAAGCTTAAACTACAGAGCAGTGAAAATAGTCCCTGATAAAAACTAGTAAATGCTGTAAGTCAGGGTTTTCTTCTCTCCCCCAAGAGCCAAGTGCTAAACATTTAGGAGCATACCACTGATAAGAAACCTTTGGAGAGTTTATCGATTTGTGGGCCTATCTAAGATTCTATCAAAGATTCTAATCCAATAGGTCTGAAGTGAGATCCAGGACTACACATTTTCAGCGAACTCCCTGTGTGATACTATGGTGAGTGGTCCAAGGATTCTACTTTGAGAAACACCATTCTACATGGTCAGTCCTCATGGCAACTTTAATCTAGCATCCAGGGGTATCTGCAGGGCAAATATTAGGCTGATGCAAAAGTGATTGTGGTTTTTGCCATTACTTTCAATGCCAAAACCATAATCACTTTTGTACCAATTTAGTAAGTAGATGTTTGTTTGTGGATCCAAATAAGAAACTGAGATAATAACAGTATTATTAGTATAGACACTCCTTTTCCCTTGAGAGTTTCTTCTAACCTGGGAATCTACGGAAGACAGCAAAAGAGTTATTTAAAAAGTGTTGCACATTGTAGAATTAATTAGATATAGTTTACTGGCTGTTAAGTATAAATGTCAGTTACAAATACTATATCAAATTCAACTACTATATGGTTTATGTGCTTACTACTCATATCCCACTTATTAAGAATACTTGAATCCTTAAAGAGAGGTGGTTGGGGCAGTATCTTCTGAAGGTTCTTGTACAAAATCTCTTTTAATCTTATGATATTTCTTTATATCAAATCTTATCTCTGACCTTGTTATTGAAGTCTGAAGCCAAGTGCTATAGGGAGTATAGACTAAGGAGCCAGACTGCCATGATATTGAATTCTGCCTTCACAGCTTAATAATCAAGTAATTTTAGGAAAGCTATATAATGTCTTACAGCCTTAGTTTCTTCTTAAGACGGTAACATTTTTGAAGAAATGATCTAAGGATAATAATTATTAATAAATATTAAGTTATTGGCCCAGGCTATAAGCACTCAATAAATGCTGGTTATTATTCTGCCACCTAGTAGCAGAGCTGATAGACTTATTGCAGACCACTTACAGTCTAGACACAATTTCTCAAAATCGAGTCCCTGATGTACACAATATCTGCCTCAATCATGCAAAGTGAAGTAATCCTTTCTGTTGCACTTGCTATATCTATTTCTGTTCCTCATGCCTATTGCACAAATCCAAGCAATATGGAAATTTCAAGAGGTGTGACTCACACACCCAACCCCAACCCACCCCAACCAATGGATGCCTATTTCACACTGTGGTGAGAGGGTTCTAAGCAGAAAAGAATATCTTAGGAGCCAACTGCTTCCTGGAAGACTTACACTTATTACTGTAAAGCCTTTCTTTCTCTGATTGCCCCTATCTATAGATCCCTGTTCTGCTAAGCACCTGTCTGCTTTAGGTTCTGAATTCACCCTAACTGAAGATTATCTATCTCAATGTCTTAATAAGTATCAAGGGATTATACTCCTTTTTTCCATAGTCAGATATATTTATACTTATTTTAACAGAACTGTATTGAACATCTATTAGGTATAAACAGAGCTTGCTAAATATAAATGCTAGCTGCAAGCTTGATAGTTTGTCTCTATCCACTGACAGAGACAGATGTGAAGAGTGCTAGCATAAAGGAATAAACCAAATTTAAAGACTGAGAGAATCAGACTGAGTGTGGGCTGAGAATGAAGTCATTGACCTAAAGCCAGCCCTCACCTGGACTATTGCAGAAACTACCCAACTGGTCTCGCCGCTTTGCTATTATTCTCTAGAGTCCATTTTCCACTCCTTAGCCAGAGTTATCCTTTTAAAATGTAAGTTAGATTATGTCAGTTCTGTTACAAGCACTCTGAGACCTTTCCATCTTATTCAGAGGAATATCCAAAGTCTCTGTGATGACCTAAAATACTTCTTACCTTGTTGATTTCCTCTCCTACTAGCCTCCCCTTCACTGACTGTGCTCTTGGTCTTTTGGATTTATTACTCAGGTTCCTCAAACAAAGCACTATGATTTGAATGATTTGAATGCATGTGTGTCTCCAAAATTAATATGCTGGAACTTAAACCCCAATATGATAGTATTAAGAGGTGGGGCCTTTAGTAGCTGATTAAGTCACGAGGGCAGAGCCCTCAGGAATGGGATTACTGCCCTTATAGGGCCAGAGAGGACTAGGTAGGCCCCTTTGCCCTTCTGTCCATCCTGATGTGTAAGGACACAGCTCTCATTCCCTCAGGAGGATGCAGCAACAAGGCACCATCTTAGGAGCAGAGACCAGACCCTCACCAGACACCGAACCTGCCAACACCTTGATCTTGGACTTCACAGACTCCAGAACTGTGAGAAGTAATTTTCTATTATGTATAAATTATACAGTTTGTGATACTTTCTTACAGCAGCATGAATGAACTGAGACACACAATAACAGTGCATCTACTTTAGGGTCTTAGCAATTGCTGGTCTCTGCCTGAGATGCTCTCCATCAGATATCCACCTGGCTTGCTCCCGCACTTCCTTCAGAGCTCCAATTACAAATCACTCATTCAAGGGCCTTCCATACTCACCAATCACTCTCTATCCCTCGCCCTCCTTTGTTATTTTTTTCTCTGTACTTATCTCATGGAACATGCAATCTAATAAAGGAAGACATTTAATAAAATGAATAAGTGGAAGTCGGTGTGGAGATTCCTCAGGGATCTAGAACTAGAAATACCATTTGACCCAGCCATCCCATTACTGGGTATATACCCAAAGGATTATAAATCATGCTGCTATAAAGACACATGCACACGTATGTTTATTGCGGCACTATTCACAATAGCAAAGACTTGGAACCAACCCAAATGTCCAACAATGATAGACTGGATTAAGAAAATGTGGCACATATACACCACGGAATACTATGCAGCCATAAAAACAGATGAGTTCATGTCCTTTGTAGGGACATGGATGAAGCTGGAAACCATCATTCTCAGCAAACTATCGCAAGGACAAAAAACCAAACACTGCATGTTCTCACTCATAGGTGGGAATTGAACAGTGAGAACACATGGACACAGGAAGGGGAACATCACACACCGGGGACTGTTGTGAGGTGGGGGGAGGGGGGAGGGATAGCATTAGTAGATATACCTAATGCTAAATGAGGAGTTACTGGGTGCAGCACACCAACATGGCACATGTATACATATGTAACAAACCTGCACATTGTGCACATGTACCCTAAAACTTAAAGTATAATAATAATAAACAAATAAATAAAACCTATCAAAAAAAAGAAAAAAAAAGAAAGAAAAAAACAAATAAAATAAATAAATAATATATAAGGTGACAATAAGAGGCTTTTTCAAGTTTGTTGAAACTTGAAAATTTGTTCATTTCTAGTGCATAGGAGCATGCCCAGATCATAATAGGTACTCTATAATTAATAAAGAAATGGTAACTCCTCCACCCCACTCTATTGTCCTTTTACCCATAGCATAGCTGAGACCAACTCTTGTAACTTTTAACAAGACTTCACTGAAGACCTGGGGATAATGAAGAGACCATAAACTTGCTACAGCAGTGGATTCTTTTAGCACTAGACACTCACACCAAACCTCAGGGTCCCTTCTGCCTAAGTCCTGGCTAATCTCTATGTTACATGGCCCAACTGACCACAACCCAGGTATTTCCATCTTTCAAGCTCATAGCCAACTCTCTAGACTCAGAAATAGGAGAAAATTAGTTCATCACCCAATTGCAAGGTTTCCTCTCTAAATCCATCTGTAGATTAGCTTTGCCGCAAGATGACTGAAAAAGTGCATATCTATTTCTCTCAGGGAAACACCTTCTTCTAACTCTAGGGATAGAGTCCAACTTCTTATTCCCCAAAAGAAAAAAAATGCCTCAATAATCTGATAATATCTTTCTTGTCTGGATCATTCAGTATTAGATAAAATAATGCTAAGGCACTAATAACATAGTCCAGGGTTTATATACCAATCACAATCTTCTTCTTTCACAGTATTTCCTTAGGGAGCGTGGGAGAAGTGATGGATATTCAGGCCACATATCCCTCTAGTCCTCCTGTTCTTCTAAGCAACTACTGAAGGACAGACACATGCAATTCCATGAGAACATGTGATAATGTATAGGCATAGGGAAGTTTAAGGAAAATTTCTGTAATGGAAATTATCTGGAGGAGTGACTTCTATTAAAAGATGTCCTCAGTTTATGTTACTCTACAGAAATCTTATCATTTCAGATCTTCCCTTGTTACACAAAATATTCACATTGACATAAACCAGAAAGGCATGCTAAATGGCTTTTCTCGAAACAGAGGATAGTCTACTTCAAAGTTAATTACCATTTTTACCCTAGAAGGCAGAACTGCTGGTAACTTTTTTTTTTTTTTTTTTTTTGAGACAGAGTCTCTCTCTGTTGCCCAGGCTGGAGTGCAGTGGTGCTATCTTTTTTTAATGTGAGGTTTTGTTTTTTTAACTTTCAAAAATACTAAAATTTAGTCTATGCCCTATTACAGGTATAATACGAAATCCTAGCCCTAGACCACTTTTCTCACTTTCCAGAAGTACCTGGAATTGCCACACCCCTGAACTCACTCTTGAATCAATTACCATGGTCAGAGGGAAGTTGCTCTGATAATAAGCTGAGTCCTAGGTGCTCCACATCTAGAGGTCACAGCTGGGCACCCTCTAAACTAAGACTGGGAACAATGAGCTGACCATTGCCCAGAAAGTTAAAGTGATTTTTTTCTCATTGATTCATCATCATTCACTGAGCACTTACAATTTTCCTGGTGCTCTTCTAGGTGCTGAAAATACCATAGTAAACAATGTATATAAAATCCCTTTAATTATAACAAAAATGCCCAGATTTCAAAGCCACATAATTAATTTATGACTCTATTTTAAGTAATATACCTGTCTTCTGGAAATAGGGGATGTACCCAGGTTGACTCCTTTTCATACCACAGAAGAGAAGAACCACTAATCACAACTGCCAGTTCTCTTCATTTGTAAGTTTTGCATAATATGACTCTTCTGCTGCAAAAAGCTACAATCACCCAGAATAATCATAACTTTTCCCCTGAACTCAGAGGATGTCAGCTGCTGAAACTGTTTGTCTACGTCCCATATCCAAGTATATGCATGCATAAAAAGGAGACTGAGGGCAGAAGCATGGATGACGGGGTCATAGCTTCCCCCAGACACCAGAAAAACTCAGCTCAAGGCCTTCTGACAGAGGAGTATTCATTGCGTTTTAATATAGTTCTGTCTGCAGATATTTCATTTTCAGGCTACAGTAGACAAATGAGGCATCAGAAGAAAGAATGCTGATGGGGTTTTGGGGTTGATTAAAAGTAAGAGAAAGGTAGCTAATAAACATTTCCCTTCCAAGGCAATATAAAAACACCCACATAAAAGATAAGTCACTTGCTTGAGAAAACACAAAGTCAAAATGAAGTATGAATAACTGATTTTTAGTAAGGCAAGAACTAACATTCCGCTTTTACCCCCACCCCATGCTCTCTAATTTCAACTATAATTTAATAGTCTCTTTCATGCCCATAAGTCTGCCCTTCAAATACCATCCAATACTTTCATTTTATCTTCCTTTCTCACTCTCATTCTCTCCCTTATTTTCTCTTCTTTTCTTTCATCTTTTCTCCCCTTCTCGTTCTCTTTCTCTCATTCTCTTGCTTCCTCTTTTTTCTCTCCATTTAGCTTTAGGCTGTATCCTAGCAACAACCATTTCAATTAAAAGAGGATGGGAAGGGCCACCAGTGTTGCCAAGGTTACCAGTATTTCCTGCTGCCACTAAAGGAAGTAACCTGTGAGTTGATCACAATGCAATCACATGCTATGAGAGACACTATCCTTAGCTACTTTTCTGCTCAGCATCAGCAGGTAATGAGCCTTTCACATCAAAAAGTTCTACTGAACTGTCTCATGGTGTCATAGTGTTATCATTAAGTGAGAAACAACTCTGTAGCCCAGATGCTTATAGAAAAATGTAGGGAAATATGAAATGGCAATCATGACAATAATTGGATGTTGACATCGTTTCAATGGGCAGTGATTCTATTCATTTTGATATACTGTCAGATTTCCAATAACAGTAGATAAACAGCCATGTGGTTGACCAGCACAACCCATACATACTATCATAATGACTCAATATCAGATACATTTGCCCTTTAAAAATACAATAGCCATAAAAATTTGTACTGTTAAAGTAAACTAAATAAGGACTGAGAAGGACTCCATACTTCTATATTTGAGTCCTTGTGGATGAACTGCCACCTAACTTAATAGGCAGACAAGATTGAAAACCTAACTTAGAAATATGCCCCTGTAACAATAACCAAGTCTTGGCCAATCCCAGAAGTTGTACTTGAACCACTTAGATACTACCGAGTGTTCAAATTGTGTTCAAATAAGGCAAACGCCAAGCTGTAACCAATCCAGTTGTTTCTGTACCTCACTTCTGATTTCTATATGTCACTTCCGTTTTTTTGTCTATAAATTTCTTCAGACCACAAGGCATCCCTGGAGTCTCTCTGAATCTGCTGTGATCATGGGAGCTGCCCAATTCGCAAATCGTTCATTGCTCAATTAAACCCCTTTAAATTTAATTTGGCTGAAATTTTTCTTTTAACAGCCTTCATCACTTAGCTGCGATGCCTCATTTAAAAGGTGAACATATTTTACAAAATTTCTCTACATTATTCTTATCATCATACAAAATTAAAACTTCATTTAGCAAGTCTGTTTTTTCACCATAAAAATACAGCCATTAGTATTCAGGAATTAATTCAAAGACTGCCTGACTGCAGGCTAAGAGCACACACATGGGGTCCAGAGGGCCTACGGCCAGCCTTCATGCATGGCCCTAGTTCTGCACTCATTCCCCAGACCAGTCAGGTTCAAAAGTTTACAGTTTTCCTAATATCCTAGAACCTTACATTGGCATAATACCTTAAAAACCCCTCATATCTCCTTATTTCATCCCCACAATGGTTCTGTAAAAGTGTATTTTCCACATTTTATAGATGATCAAACTGAAACCCCGGGAGTTTGGGTGACTTAGGTGGAACAGGACCTGGCTCTAGGGCTTCTGACTCCCAGTAAAACCTAGCTCATTGCACAGCACCTTCCTTTCACCAGGCACTGATGCAGTGGTACTCACTCATGGCTTCTTTCCTTTCCCTGTTTCCCCTACGTCTTTACAAGTTTCTCCTGGGGACATTTCCTAAACAAACCACTTGCCCATGAATCATTCTCTCAGTTTGCTTCTGGAGAACCTGACTTAAGAAAGGATACAGCATCAGGGAGCTCTTTCTTTCTGGCCCCGGCTTTCACTATTTCCTCCCCTTAACCCTTCTTGCCTGGGATTGGTAACAATTCCCACTGTTGCTCTTTTCCAGTTGTGTTAGCAGTCTTGATGGTTCCCTTTACCCTGCTCACACTTACTTTGTAAGTGGTTATTTAATTAAAGTCTCATGAGTTACTTCAGTTGGTTTTGATTGCATGTAGATACCATTACTGAGAAGGCCCTCTAAATGGCAGCCCCAATTTCACTCTTGCTTCCCATCAACCCATTCTTCATAAGGTAGCTGTAGTGATATTTTTAAAATCTTAATTAGATCACTTCACTCCCTACTTAAAAACCATCAGTGAATTCCCATCATGCACAGATAATGTCCACGTTCTCCACCATGAGATAGGTCTTTCATGCTACAGCTGGTATTTCAGCCTCAATTCTGACTACTTCCTTTCTGATATATTGCAGCAGTACCAAACCACATTTAATTCCCAACACAGGCCAGACTGCATCTCACCTCTGTGCTTTAGCTCAACTCATGCTGCTGTCAAAGTGTGGTATGCACTGTGCTCCTCCAAATGTCACTCACTGATTCCTCCAGTTCAAGTGAGTGTCATCTCTCCAGGAAGCTCCTGGAGGATGAGAATTACTTGTTTCTTAATTGTTAATACTTTCAGTTTCAGATGACACAAAATATAAAAGTTGTTGAATGAATGGCCTTTCAAGGAGTGGAAATAGCTACTACTGTGCTAACGCACCTTGACGTACCCTTATTATTGGAGATATATTTGAAAAATGAACCCATAATGTTAACAACTGCCGTTTACTTGTGCCAACTCTATACCAGGAACTTGGTACTTAATATATGTTATTATTTAATGTTCACAACAAAAACAAGGTATTATACTGTTTTTAAAAGAGGGGAAAATAAGGCTCTAAAAAATAAGAAATATTCCTGGGTTACACAGTTAGTAAGGAGTGGATTTGGGATTTGAATCCTGTCATGCCTGTTTTCATTTCAAGGACTGGGCTCTCTTCTTTATGGGGAAGCTGCTTTGTCATAATGGAAAACAGCATTTCTAACCTCACGGGGGCAAAGCCCTCACTCAACTTTGATTTCCAGGCTCCTGGTCATAAGAAGGATTTCACTGGTTTCGTATATCCATGTTTATATTACATTCACAAAAATTTAGCTACATGATCAATACTTTCTGTGTGTAACCATTCCTGTCTTTTTTTTTTATAGGAGGAGGCATTTTGTTCTGGGGCACTTCATCTGAAAAGATGTTAAAACTAGAGATAGCCAGGTATTTACACAGGAAAAACAAATCCTTAATATATACTATATATAATAAAATACTCACGGAACATTACTTCCCTGCAAGAGCTACTATTGCAGCCTGGATTCCTGTGAATGTGCTTCACCAGTTCTCTTTACACTCAGCAAGACCCTGATCACATGCTGATCACACAGACAGAGCCAGATTCAGACAATTAAAGCTGTGATTTGCTTTTGCTAGCATCAGAACTTGATAAGCCAATGGTAGCATTCATTAATGTAGTATATTATAAGCAACAGTGAATTACCCACAGTTAGTGACTAATAATAAATTAGCATGGTTATACTAATCACAAAAAGAAGGTCTACAAATAGTAGATCATTTTATAGCATGAAAAACAGAAAGTTTGAATCAGGTTACACAAAATCACTAAATGGACAACTCAAGAAGACACGTTTGCCTCCCTTTGACTTATGCCCAGTTCTGAACCTTGTTTCCAGAGTCTCTTTCACTACTGCAGGATGTGGCCTCCACCACAGCAATACTGCTCTTCTCTGTACATTTCCACCTCAATTAAGGAACCAACTTGTCTCTGTTTTACCCAGAACTTTGCTAGTTTTAGTACAAGAAGTCCCACATGGTAACTGTAATAGGCAGTTTTGGTAACTGTAGTAGGCAGAAAGATGGCTCCCCAAAGATGTCCACGTCCTAATCTCAGGACAAGCGTATTTATTACCTTAAATAGCAAAAGAGATTTTGCAAACGCCATTATATTAAGAATGTTGAGATGGAAAGATTATCCTGGATTATCCTGGGTCCTATATAATCACACAGGTCCTTAAAATTGGAGAACCTTTGGCCGGGTGCGTTGGCTCATGCCTGTGATCCAGCACTTTTGGAGGCCGAGGCAGGTGGATCACCTGAGGTCGGAAGTTCGAGGCCAGCCTGACTAACAGGGAGAGACCTCGTCTCTACTAAAAACACAAAAATTAGCCGGGCATGGTGGCACATGCCTATAATCCCAGCTACTCAGGAGGCTGAGGCGGGAGAATCACTGGAACCCAGGAGGCAGAGGTTGCGGTGAGCCAAGATAATGCCATTGCACTCCAGCCTGGGCAACAAGAGCAAAACTCCATTTCAAATAAATAAATAAATAAATAAATAAATAAATAAATAAATAAATAAAAATTGGAGAACCTTTTCCAAGTATGGTCAGAGGTAAATGTGACTCCAAAAGAATGTTCACAGAAATGGAGGAAGGTGGCCTTTGGAAGTCAAAGAAATGGATTCTTCTCTAGAGTTTCCTAGAAGCAATGCAGCCCTACTGACAGCAGCCCCATGAGATCTACATTGGATTTTTTACCCACAGAACTGTACTATCATAAATGTGTTTAGTTAGGCAACTGAGTTTGAGGTAATTTTTTATGACAGCAAATGAATGCAATAATCAACTCATCCTGATTAGCTCAGGACTGTCCCACTTTTGAAACTGAAAATCCCACACCCTGGGAACGCTTCCAGTACTGGACAAAACCAATACAATTGATCACCCAACCTCCAATTTTTATCCCACAACTTCCAAATTTTATCCCCTAGCATTGAGCTCTAGAATTCCCCACTGGCATCTAGGTACTCTTCAACTGAAACTACTGGGCTACTCCGAAGATAATCCAAGCAGTGGCTCTCAAACATTAGGGTCCATCGCAGGCTCCTGGAGGACTTGTTAAAACAGACTGTTGGGGCTGGGCGTGGTGGCTCATGTCTGTAATCCCAGCACTTTGGGAGGCTGAGGCAGGCAGATCACCTGAGGTCAGGAGTTAGAGACCAGCCTGGCCAACATGGTGAAACCTTGTCTCTACTAAAGATACAAAAATTAGCTGGGTATAGTGGTGGGCACCTGTAATCCCAGCTACTCGGGAGGCTGAGGCAGGAGAATCGCTTGAACCTCAGAGGTGGAGGCTGTGGTGAGCCAAGATGGCACCACTGCACTCCAGCCTGGGCAACAGAGTGAGATTCTGTCTCAAAAAAATATAATAATAAAAATAAAAACAGATTGTTGGGTCTATCCCCAGAGTTTCTCATGAAGGAGGTTAGGAATGAAGCATAAGAATGTGCATTTCTAACATGTCCTCAGGAGACGCTGATGTGCTGGTCTAGGGACCATACTTTTAAACCACTGTCCTAGAGACAAAAACCTCTGGGACAGCATTGAATAGAATTTCACCTGTTCATCTATATCCCAGACATAGGTAAAAATTAGATGGGTTTGTGGCCAAGTACCAATTATCACACCTCAACAAAATGGTGGTAAAGAACATACTCTGAAATCTCCCCCAAAATCTGCTAGAACATTTGGTAAGGGTTCTGATCCCATTCCTGCCTTCTACAAGCTTTGGGCCCCTGGGCAAGTTCTATTGTGTCAAGTCTCAGAACTGGAACTAATCCATGTAAACTACCTTGCATGGTATCTGGCATAGGACTTATGCTCAATAAATGACAGCCATGCATGAAGCCAGGTCTTTTCAAAATATCACTCACACAGCTCTTACAATCTGATGAAAATGTGGAAGAAAAAGGTGGATGTTTGCCTTTCAACCTTCATGTGAGGTTTTGCATATAACATCCAAGCTCAGCAGTATCTCTGCAGATGCTAATTGTACCAATTTCCTGGATTCTCCTGATTTTTAAAAAATTCATAAACATGTTGGAAGCACTCCTTAGGTACAAATGTCCAAGTTAAATGCCATGTTCTCTTTTAAATCTAGGATTAATTCACTTAATTATTTGTTTCACAAGTATGTATTAAGGACCTACACAGTGTGCCAGACATTATGGTAGATACTGGCATTTTAGCAGGTAAGAAAACAGAAAAGATGTCTGTTTTCACAAAATGTATGTTTCAGGAATATGAAACAGAAAAGAAGATATGTGGAGGGGAGAAAAGAGGAGAATGAAAATTTCGTACTGACGATTACTATTACAAAATAAAACTGGCAGGGGATTACTTTATATTAAACAGATGGCCAGGTGCAGTGGCACACACCTAGAATCCCAGCACTTTGGGAGGCTGAAGCAGGGGAGGGATTGCTTAAGCCCAGAAGTTCAAGCCCAGCCTGAGCAACATAATGAGACCCCATCTCTACCAAAAAAAAAAAAAAAAAGCAAAAATTACCCAGGCATGGCAGTATACACCTGTAGTCCAAGCTACTCCAGATGCTGAGGTGGCAGTGTTTCTTGGGCCTGGGAGATCGAGGCTGCAGTGAGCCGTGATAATGCCACTACACTCCAGCCTGGGCAACAGAACAAGACAGGTGTTCTCAAAAAATAAAAAACAAAAACAGGTGTTCAGAGAAGTCCTCTATAAGGAGATGACATTTGAGTTGGGATCTGAATAACTGGCAAGAAATTATTGCAAACAGAGGAACAGCTCATATAAGCTAAGAAGGCATAAGCTTGGTACATAAAAAGAGTAGTCAAAGGAAGGACAATGGGGCTGGATCATAGAGAGCAGTGAGGAGCATGTGAGACAGCAGGATTCTGTGATCTATAATGGTGTAGATCTTCGGTTGGCTTGGTTCCTAGATTCTGGCCCAGTGGAAAGTCTTATAAGGCAGAAAACAAAAACTGATTTTAAGGTGCATTTTTCATGCATGGTTAGTGTCTTAAGTCTGTTATTCTGATATCCAGTCTGGCTTCTGCTTATAGTAGACATTTGTTGTTATTGTGAGTCCAACATCCCCTTTTCCTTTTCTTCTAGAAGAGAAAAGAATTCTTTTCTGATTGTCACCATTTGGTTGACTGGAGTGAGGTTCTAATCAGTGTTCCTGTAGCCAAAGAGAGGATAAGTAATCTAGGCAAAACCAATCAGAAACTCTTCCTGGGAGTTTTCTAACTGAAATTTATAGGGAAAATCTCTTTTTATTACAAGTGATGACACTTTAAAGATAAAATTCTCTGTCATCCCAGCACTTTGGGAGGCCGAGGCAGGCAGATCACGAGGTCAGGAGATCGAGACCAGCCTGGCCAACATGGTGAAACCCCGTCTCTACTGAAAAAAAAAAAAAATACAAAAATTAGCCAGGTATGGTGGCAGGCTCCTGTAGTCCCATCTACTTGGGAGACTGAGGCAGGAGAATCACTTGAACCCAGGAGGTGGAGGTTGCAGTGAGCTGAGATCATACCACTGCACTCCAACCTGGGCGATAGAGTGAGACTCCATCTCAAAAAATTTAAAATAAATAAACAAATAAATAAAGATAAAATTCTGAGGCAACTTGTAACCATGGGTTCAGCCTTATGGGGAGAGCAGGTCTCAATAGTGAAAAAGAAAAAAGAAGCAGCGATAAAAGATTGGGAGATAGAGACAGACAAATAGACCTGAGGCTTTCATTTTCCTAGGTCAAGGCTGTGGGATCATCTCTACTCTTAAAACTCTCACAGTTTGATTCCCTAACCCAAAAAAATCCTCTAAGGTTTAAGGTAGCTTGAGTTGGACTTCTGTCATTTCACCAAGTCCTCACTGTTACACAGTTCACGTCTCCATCTTAAACCCAAGTGCTTCCCAATTCCTGTCTTCCTTCCCTGGTTCTTGCCCACAGTCTCCTCAGATACCTAGCGTCTAGCTACATACAGTTTCTCTTGGTTCTCCCAGTCTTGGAAAGGGAAATGACATAGTCATTAAGGACCTGAGTTTAAAGAAGCAGATTTATGGCCAAACTCCAGCTCACTTCAGTCTATCTACCAGCCTAAGCCAAATTACTTAGCCAGTCTGAATCCCAGTTTCTTCACCTGGAAAGAAATGGAAATAGTAACAGTGCTCACCCAAAAGTAAGTGCCATCTTCCTAAGCTGGGAGGGCACTTAAATTAGATCATGAAAGTAAGGCACTCTGCACCATGCTTGGCACATAGTCAGTCTTCCATAAAAGGTAGGCTTCATTACAACTCAGCATTTCAATATTGCCATAACTTCCTTTTAGCATTTGTCTTCTATGGCTGGCCAAATGTAATTAAATTGCTTCATTCTCCACCTCCCTTCCCATCCCAACTTTCACTGCTGCCCCTCTGACTAGCTTCTTAATCCATCATAGATATATAAAAATCATCATACATACACACACACACACACACACACACACACACACACACACACACACATAAAACATTGGGCTATGTGCCCATGAAGATCTAAATAAAACTGAGGTGTGTGACCCCAGTGCAGGTGCTGTGTACTTCAGATCATCAATGCTGATTGCCATATATTGTGTCACTGCTATGACATGAGAAAATATGAGATTGGCTGCACATGGTTTTACAAGCTGATACGTTTTTGGAACTCAGATATGATGCTGTTCTACTATTGGGAGTGTTGACAAGATAATATATGCAAAGCATTTGGTTTCCTTGGAAGACAGGTATGAGCAAAATACAAAGTAGGATTAATTATTGATTATCTGTGAGAATGAGAAATGGGGAAGCAAAGATACATACTTCTCTTTTGGCACATTCTACATTCTGCCTTCTACTGTAATTATTGCAATTGTATTGCAAATGGACTGTAAGCTTCTCAAGAATAGGGACTTTGCCTTATTAATTGTTGTATCTCCTATAATTCCTGGAAAATAGGAGGTTTTCATCAAATGTTAGTTAAATGAATGTTGAATAAATAATTGGAATACATGGTTAATAAGAAAACATTTATTCATTATGGTAGAATAAAGAATAAGCAAGAAAAAAGGAAGTGTTATTTTGTGAAATGAGAATAGGCTTTGGGTTTAAATATGAGCCCTCCCATTGATCAGTTTTTAAAACCTAAGTTGATACTTGATATATTTAATCTTTTCCTTTTCATCTAAATAATAGGAACCTACTTGATACTTTGTGCAAAAATTAAACATAGCAATGCCTGGAACAGCTCAAAAAATAATAAAATTATTAGTAGAATCCTAGTGCTTCCATTTATACCCATGGTGATTCTGTTTGTTTCCCTCCAGTGGACCAGGTTACCTCTATGAACCGCCTTGATCAGATGCTTCCTTAAAATAGCCCGTTTCCCTCAATTACAAGTGGAGAATGTTGCTTCTTAAAGCACTTTTTTTCCTCTTTTTAAAAATGTAATTAAATCAACATCACAGGCCAAGTAAGAAAAAAAGATTTCACACTTACTGTACTACAACTGGGCATATCTCCTACTTTGGTCAGGATTTCCAGATGGCTGCTGCATTCCCTCGGCTGTTCCTTTGCTTCAGGTTTTTCTGAAATTGAGTTTTTGTTTTTTTGTTTTTTTGAGATTATTTTTTAAAAGGCATCAAAGACCCTTGATGCAACATGGCAGGTGTTCTTTAAAACGTTCTTTAAATTTTTCACTTCGTTAAAAAATGCATAGGAGACAAATAAATCTGCTTGTGGGTACAACTCAAGAAGAAACTTGTTTCTTCTTATAATAACAAGAATTATAGAACAGAAAATTTACCCACAAATTGCTCACTAGGCCCAGCAAACTCCAAACTATGCAACAGTTTTTTTGTTTTGACTTATGAAGGTATACAATTGTTGCCACTCCCAGCCTCCATGATGAATGCTCCATACAACCAACAAATCATCTAGTTCTTTACTCAAGGCCAATTCCAGGGATTTTTTTTTATGGCATCTGGATGGAAACTTCAGGGCATGGATACGTAGGTAGATAAGGGACACAGGGCTTCTAGCAGCCTAGACTCAGAGTATAGCTCATAAAATCCAATCATACATCAGTAGAAGGTCAACCTTTTCAGCAAAATGTATTTTCTTCCCATCATTATGATAAAAAAAAAATTCACTTCCATCAGCCTTGAATTAGCACACAAAAGCCTCCTAACAATCTTAGTGCCCTAGGTACCAGGTAGGCTTCAAGGAAGAAAGGAGCCTGACTATTCTATAAATAAAACACAGAATAGCAGACTCAATCTGGATGAAATGAGAAAGAAGATTGTGGATTCCACCTCTAGATCAATTCTTCAAAAGTCATTCCGCCACAAGCAAACAATTGGCCAACAGACAAGCTAAGAGAATACACTTGTTGCCTGGTTTTCATTTTGTCTTCATAACAATGTTTTATGAAATGTTCAAGTTGTCTCTGACCTAGCTCCCTTCTGCTGTAGCTGGAGGGAGCAGAGAACAGAATTATTTGGAAGCCTTCATGGGCTGCTGCAATGATGAAGGGCATTCTCATACTTTGGCGACCTGGCACAATGATCATGGGTACAACTAGTCCAATCTTAGCAATAGGTATCTTTTTCCAGGCAACCTGTGGGCAACACCGCCTTCCAGTTTGGTCACTTGTCCTTCTCATGCTCTCAAGGCTCCTCTAATGTCCTCTGACTACCCAACACAGGTATCCACCTCCATTCAACCCTCCTGCTATACCTGTCCATTTTTCTAGGCCACTTCCCCCATCCTTCTTTCTTTTTTCCATTCCTTGGAACCTCACTAAGTGGTTTTCAAGGTAAAACTAGTTAAACTGACAAACAAAAGATATTTCTCCTCCCAGGAGGTATATTCATATTTTTGTGAGTGGTTTATGGAAGAATAGCCTTTGAATACTATAATAATAAATAGTTCCTACTTACTGTGCCTCTGCTGCACAGCAGGCTCCATGAAGCAGTTTATATTCATTATTTGTATTCCTTACCACAGTCATACAAGGGATATATTATTTGCAATTTTGCAGGATGAGGAAACTGAAGCAATCTTCCTAAGGTCCTAGATCCGGTAATGGACAAAGCTAGAATATGATACTGGACCTATCTGGTTCACTCTGATTGTGCATCTCTAATGCAGGACTAAGTCCTAAACATAATACAGAACAACCACAGAGCACTTTCAACACCCTAACAGGAGAGCCATTTGTGTTTAAATGGGGCTGTCAATGACCTTCATATCACACCTAGTCATAGTTTCCTTTCTCCACCAATGCATATAGACAGCTCTGCCCATCAGAAAGACCCTGATCCTTTTACTGATCATCCATCCCAAAGTAAGCTAATCTAAAGAAGTCTCTTGATCTCAATTCCTTGCAGGGCCTCTCTGCTTTCTGCTTTCTCCAGTTCAGAACTGGGGATTTCTTTTTCTTTTTTTTTTTTTTTTTTTTTTTGAGACAGAATTTTGCTCTTGTGCAATGGCGTGATCTCGGCTCACTGCAAACTCCATCTCCCGGGTTCAAGCGATTCTCCTGCCTCAGCCTCCTGAGTAGCTGGGATTACAGGCTCCTACCACCACGCCCAGCTAGTTTTTGTATTTTTAGTAGAGGTGGGGTTTCACCATGTTGGCCAGGCTGGTCTTGAACTCCTGACTTCAGCTGATCCACAGAAGTGGGGATTTCAAAAGACAGTTCATAAAAGAGGAGTCTTTTAGGAGGGACTTGAGAGGGAGAGTTCAATTGAAGCTAAAGACCACTGCTGGGTAAAAGGTGAAGCTTTTCATGATCATGGCCATGGCCATGGAACCCCAGAAAGCCCAGGATGGTCTACTGAGAAAAGAAGGACAAGATGGGTGAGAATGTAGGCTCTGTGAATACTCAAGAAGAAAAAGATGTAAACCAAGAATAGCAGAGCAGTGTATTCAGAAATGTTTAATCTTTATATAATCTGCAAAGCTGAAAAAGTTGGAAGTTCAGTCTGTTTAGGTTATCCCTTTATTTGTGAATCTAGACACTCACATCTTTAGTAAAGCAGAGTTTATTGTACCGAAGACAATAAACATGAGAGTGGACAATGTACTCTGTTGACAATGTACTCTGGTAAAAGTACAGGAGAAAGAAGAGGACCACAATAATTCAAGGTCTTTGGGTCCTTAATAGCTTTGCCTTTAGCTTTACCCCCATCTTCTCATCCTTCATACACACTCACTCCCTATATCCATCCCACCCTACTAAACTGGAATTCACTGAGTACGTTTTCAACATAAGGCTCTGTGCTTGGCAACTGTGAGGAATACAAAGGTCCATGAGACATAGCTTTAGCTCTTAAGAGGCTTACATTTTAGCAGTATTTCCTAGACTCAGAGAATCACAGAGCTGAAAGTAAAGGCCTTTCAGTTGAATTGCATCAAAATTATTTTGAATTTTTGCAAGTCTTTCAAAGGCAATCTCTTTTCAAGGGTTCCACTGCAAAATCTATGCACCTAAAAATAGCAGGCACTAACATTCTGGGACCATTTACTCTACTGACCCCCCTCACATGTATTCTTTACCTTAACCCTTACAGAGAGGCATTGCTACCCCTGTTTCAGAAATGGGTAAATTGAGGCCTCAAAAGATTAAATAAGCAGTGGCAAGGCTGGCACTCATACTGAGGTCTGAATCCAAAGCCTACATCAATACCTACTCCTCTCTACCATCTCCCACTTGCTTTCTACCAGAATGTGGTGAAAGCTGGTATCTAACATCACCTCTGCAACAATGGTGCAAAGCAGACACCCTGCTCTTCCTCTAAAATCACAGTGGGTAGGAGGACAGGTAGGACAACCTGTTTCTCCGTCACTCTCTTATCATCAACTAGGGGAAATGTTGGTCTTTAATATATCAAGTGAAATGCTAAGT
Organism: Homo sapiens; assembly: GCF_000001405.40. Classification (NCBI taxonomy): domain Eukaryota; kingdom Metazoa; phylum Chordata; class Mammalia; order Primates; family Hominidae; genus Homo; species Homo sapiens. The sequence goes on along the minus strand of NC_000003.12, from coordinate 115,406,397 downwards.
AAGAATACTGCCAAGAATTGCAAAGAGGATGAAAGTCTATGTTCTACAGGAAATAGTAAAATAGATCCCTGAAGCAGGTAAGGTTGCCATCTGGAAAATAATATAGAATTTTAGATAGCTGTCACAGCACAGTGGAAGGCAGCAGAACACGGTTTATTGAGTTTCAAATCTGCCACTTACTAATCATCTGACCTTGGACAAGTCAAGGTCTTTCAGAATCTGTCTTGTCATCTGTGAAATGGCCATCACAATGCCTGCCTCAAGGCCTGTTGTAGAACTCAATAGAATTACAAATGCAAATCAATTAAAAAACTGCAAATGCTCTTGCAAAATAGGCTATTTTAAGCTTTAAGCTATTTCCAGTCCCATGGAGATTTCCTTTAAGTAAAATTACACATCCCTATTCTGTATATCTCCCTGTCTTATGCTGTGCCATCTTCTCAGAAAGCAACAGTTTTCAATGTTTAAGAATCAAATATGATTTATTTGTGATAAATCATTCAAATAAGTGGGTCAGAAAAGTTTCATGAAAAAGAGACCAGGATGCTCAAGTCAACAGCTCATGGCATGTGTGACTGACACTCAGAGCAGCACCTTCTCACCATGGGCTTTAGGAATCCTGAGCTGGATGGCAGGCAAATCCCGCCGTTTCCTTCTGGTTTTCATCTCTGCAGGCTGGCATTAAGGAAAAGCAAACTCTTCTCCATTTGCCTGAGGGAGGAGATGCCTAATTATCATGTTTCTGATTTCCCTCTGGAAGGCTGGCGCCAGGGCCTGAACTCAGCTCTCCCCCAAGTCTCCAGGGACACATGCTCCTGGAAAGCCTTATACATCGCCCTTCCCCCACCACAAACACACACACACACACACACACACACACACACACACCCCGCTGAGAACATGGACAGTGGCTGTCAGCATTTATCCCACCTAGCCCAGTACCACCACTCTGATACCAGGATGGAGACAGGAAGCAGTGGATGACTGACAACTGCCCTGTAGTGCACAGAATACCTCATGGGGCTTTGGCCATGCCTGTTTTAAGTATTCCATTCACATGGATATTCCACCACTGCATCGACAGTTTTTCCTCTGCGAGCAGACCCTGATTTTCTTATGTCTTCTCCTCATATTTAGAGAGCTTGCCTTGTAGGAAAAAGTACCCCTCCCCCACCCAGTATGTATTACTAACTAAAGCTGTTTCCTGCCTTCATTCTCTGCCCTCTTCTTCTATTGCTTAGGGAAACTATACAGTGAAAACTCAGAAAATATTTTATGCCCCTTAGGAACAAGCAATCTGAATGATTTCGCAGGGAAATCACTTCAAAAGCATCTGTTTCCACCCACCCCCTCCACTAGCCTGAGAAGCCAGAAAATGAAGCCATATTCTACAGTACAGACACCATCAAGGAGTAAATCAGTACCACAGAGACTGCAGCAAGGGGCTCTTGGTTGTATAAATACCCAGCCACAGCCTGCTCAATGCAGCTGGTTTAACCAGATCACAAGGCTTTCTTCTGGACTTCTAACCCTAAGGGCTGCCTTTACTCTCATTGCCAGTCTGCAGCAATTTCATGTATATGGTTTCCTGTCCTCTTTCACAAAATGGATGATGCTGACCCTGCTAAATAAGAGAGGTTCCAAACCAGTGTTGGACACATGCTATTAGCATCATATACAGCTATAGCTTGGTTCTGACCACATACTATATTGCCTATCTGGTATTATTTTTTCCTTCCTTCTCGTTCTTTTATTCCTTTCTCCCTTCTTTGCCACCCTCCTTCTTTCTTTTCTTCCTTGGAAAAGGTGGAAGTTAGGAAGTGGTGGAAGAGATGAGAAAGTGTAACTACACTGTAGTTATGACCTGTTTCTTTCAGATCATTGGCTCCACTTAGCCTTTAAAGCAAGGGCCAATCTTGAGTTCCCTTTGTGAAAGATTGTGCGTTTCTGACCCTGGGAGAGTGGGAAACTGGTCCATGAGCCGACAGTATTGGCATCACCTGGGCACTTGCTTAAAATGAAGAATCTCAGGCCCCACCCTGGACATATTGAACCAGGGTCTGCATTTTAACAAGATTTCCAGGTGATTAAAATGCAAGTTAAGGTTTGAGAAGCACTGGCCTATAGTATGGTGAAACATTACATTCACCTGCCAAGACTTTTCCTGTTCATTAAGTCAGATAGAACAACCTCTGCTACTGTGTGTATAAAATTACCAAGTTCAGGGGGTCCACTGATGGTATATACACAGGATTATGCACAGGCTTAGTGAGCTCCAGGAGGCTGAAATGTAAAGAATTGAAACACTGGGAGAGGCCATAGGCCCCCTGCCCCAGAAGTCAGTGCTGTCTAATGGCTCAGCTTCAGCTGAGAAACGACTCTCCAGGAAGACAGGCTGCCTCAGGCCTGGATTTTATCAGCTGCTCCAAGATAGCCCTTAAGCTCCTGCTGACTCTGACATAATGGACAATCCTGGACCAGAAAGCAACAGACCTGGACTCGAAGTCTACCTTTCATCTCATCCTGACTCCATGACTTTGGACAACTTACTAAACTGACCCTCAGGCTCCTCATCTCTGCAGTAAGACTTAATACAAGCTTAGCCAACTGCATAAGCTAGTTGTGAGAATCAAACAAAATCACGTTTAAAAACACTACACAAACCACAGTCAACAGTCTTCAACTGACATTTACTATTGTTAATTGGTATAGCATTGTAGAATTGTGAAAGGAAAATAAAATCTTGGGACCCCAAATTCACTATGCCAATGGGAAAAGTTAAGCTTGGAAACTGAGTCATGCAAAAAATTGCCTTTTCTTTTGTACCTAAACAGACAGCTACAAGGTAGAAGGCAACATGTCTTCCTGGGTGGCCTCCTTCACCCTGACAATGTAAATTAACAGCTTATCTTCACAGGTCTGGGACAAAGACAAGGAATCATCCTTCCACCCACCCAGGACAAATGTGTAATTGACTGTTCTTCTACTCACTCCTTTCACATGTAACATGTTGATTCAGTGAGTGCTAATCAAAGCCTCACAGGAATGTGACCACTTATCTCACAACCCACCCTCCCTTTTTTTCCCTTTCCCTTTTTCCCTCCTGCCGGATCTTTACCCTTTAAATATTGAAGTCCTGAAAATCCTCTTGGTAAAAAGCGTGAGCCCCAGATACTACTGTGGCTTGTGTCACTTTTTTCCAGGCACATCCTCAATTTTAGCAAAATAAACCTCTAAATTGATTGAGACTTGCCTCAGTCATTTTCTTTGGTTTGTAGAATAAAGGGAGCTTCAGATTGGAAGGGAATTAATAAATTCATCTCCTTCCTTAACCAAGGATTCCTTTTTGCTAGTAAGAGAAATCACCAACTCAGTTCTATGATCACCAAAAAGGAAAAAATGGTCATAAAAGAATGGATGGATAGATGGACAGATGGATGGATGGATGGATAGATGGCCAAATAAACATTTTATGAGCATGAACACTGTGTTGTTTTCACATACATTCCACTGATGCCCAATAGAGTATGACAGCACACAGACATCCTGTGGTAGAAACCAATTATTATCCTTCAGGAATGAAGGATGTATTCTTCCAGCTGTTGGAAGTTATACTGAATAAAGCCCTTAATTGTCAGCCTCCATTGGAGATTCCTTAAGCTAAAGAGAGCCACTTCATTCCAGGTTTCATCCAATAACTGCTCCACACAAAGGTATTAAAGCCCAGCCCACTTTCCCAGCTCAGGACACCTCTGAAGATTCAACTGTGTCTTCCACTGAGACTGTGTCATAGCTTTACTTGTTCCTCTGCTCAATCCTGCTTCATTCCCTTCTATTTCATAGGGACTGACCCCAGAAGCACTTCCTAATAAACTACCTGCTTGTTAATCTTCATCTCAGAGCTTGCTTCCCAGGAAACCATCCTATGACATATCCTTATATGAATTTTTTATGTGACATGCCTCTCTTGTCAACCACATGCATTCACTGAACACCCTCATGGTGACTCACAGAGGAACAAAGACTATTGGGGCTGGAAGGGAACTTAGGGAGCATTTTATCCAACCACTTCATTTAATAGAGAATATTCTGAATTTAAGTAATTTACCCAAGATCACTTTCATAGTTAATGGCAGAGCTAAAACCAAACTCCAGGTCTCCTGACTCATAATCCAATATTTTTCTATTACACAATGATATTTTCCCAGAAAAACAAAAGGTCTTTGTGCACACTTGAAGAAGAATGTAACACTCTACATCAGCTTACAAAGTCAAAGAGCAAGAAATCATTCAATAAAAAAAAAATCCTCCTACCATGGTTTCTGGTTTATTTTCAAAAGCAGATATGAGTAATATTTTGAAATACTGCTGGTTTCCTATTCTTCATTAATATAAATAAACAGATACATCAGCTTGGTTGGGCCAACCTCCATTTTTGATGATACATTTGAGTTGGAAAATATCTTAAGACGGATTCAACAGGATCTGTGCTGGGATCCTGGAGGGCCTGCTGTAGTTAAACACAAACTTTAAAGTGCTTCAAATAATTTCTATGAATTATCATCCTCATCCTAGGCAAAATGATCATAATTCAGATCCTGAGTTAAGACACAGAGAAGGCCAGGAAGATTAACAACGAAGGCTCCAAGGAGGAGATGAAGAAAAGTGGAGACACTTACTGTTCTTCTTAGCTTATAAACAGGGCATGACAACTTTTCTTCTTGTAATAAATCTTATGATTTTTCCTATGTATTCCCATAATACCTTGTATGGATCTTGATTTTTGTGACCACATGGATTATGATTATCCTTTTTCTCCCTAACTAAACTAAGAGTTCTTTGCAGTCAGGCACTGTGCTTAGTCACTTTGTTATGGCTGGAAGAGATCGCGTTATCCCAAGTTACTGGCTGCATATTTGTCTGGGTCTGTAGCAACTTCAGTCCTTGCCTCCTCAGAAAAAAGAATTCAGCTGAGAAATTCTTTTATCTCAGAAATTCAGAAAATTCTTTTTCTGAATTTTATCTCAGAAAAAGAGACTGAGATAAGTTTCAGAGCAGGAATGGAAGTTTATTAAAAAGTCTTTAGAATAGGAAAGAAAGAAAAGAACCCTTGGAAGAGATCCAAGTGGGCACCCGAAGGTCAAAGACAGAAAAAGAAGCAAAAAAAAAAAAAAAAAAAAAGTCGGGGCTTTAAGCTTGATCCTAGGACTTTATAGGCTTGCCGCTTTCCCAAGATTCTTCCCTTAGGGTGGTCTTCCTGCATGCACAGTGCTTTCCTTACCTTTTGGAATTGAGCACTGGCAGTGTGTTTAGGACGTCATATGCATGCTCACCTAAGGCTTTCTTCCCTTTTCTGATGGCGTGTTCCAGGAACATCATACCTTGCAACTTTTGTCTCTTAACTCAGAAAGTTGCTTTTCCCTGGGGCCTGCATTCAATTAACATTTTGACGTTCACGGGTATGGACCATGAGGAAATGGACTCTCCCTGGTGTTGCCAAATTATAATTTTTAGAGAGGCAATGCCATAATTGCTGAACCATCACCCAACATTCCTAGTGGGGTGCAGGGGAGAGCCCCCTCCTGTAACAACTCGAGTGCCTAAGTCTGATTAGCACTGATTGAATGTTTGTCAAATGCGTGAATAGTTGAATGAATGACCAATGTTGTGGTCTCCTCGTCATTTTTTCCTCAAAATATCTTGCCCATAGAAGCCTTTATAGGGCCTGAGGACCTCATGGGAGTCAGGAGCAGAGAGGAAAGTTAAGAATTATTTTATGTTATTGCAACACATTTTACATATTAGGAAAAGAAGCCAGAGGACTGAAGAGATAGAAGGATTGTGAACTTATGCTATCAAAAGAAGTGTGTTTTGTGTGGGGTCAATGCTTCAGAGGAGTGAGCAGGATCCCAAAGTATATGAGTCCAAAATTTTCTCACCCTCCTTACCTAACTTAGAACTTAGGTAAGCATTCTCAGTTCTTATGTTTTAAACCTCTTTCTCTGAAACCTACAAATATTCCTTCAGGTCTAAACCTCAGGATAAAACTGGAGAAACAGAGCCCCAAATCACATGCATAGGCCCCAATCTGCAGAATAAGGGCCTTCAGCCACTGATCTTTCTATGAACGTGAAATGGGAGAGAGCACAGCTGGGATGCCTACCTCAAGTCTTATTAAACTGGGAGCTAATCTGATCAGAGGCCCAGCTTAACTGAGGCCAACTATATTTCCTCAGGGTTTTTGCTGTCCCTGAGGAGGAGAGGAGTCAAGACGCAGATCAGAAATACAGTATAAGTGCTTTCACTGAGGCATGCCTACATTTGCAATTCAATTCAGAAAGAGAGAAAAGAAGATGGAACGGGCTACCAGGCTGAAGCTAAATGCCATGGGGTCACTGGGTTCCTTAGCAGGAGTGGCTATTCAAAGGGATAGGGGGGATCTAGGGAAGGGTAAGAAGCATCAAATGTATTCTCCGTCACTATGGAGAGAGAGGGGCCTCCTGGGAAATGGGGAAGATTGCATCACCAATTTGATTAGCAGAAAGAGCCAGGCCAGGACTAGCTGGGGTAATCCTATGCACTGCGATTTTTTAAAAACACCTCTATCATCTACTGTTGTTGCTTCTGATGCTGCTTATTAAACAGGCTATCAAATCCAAGCAGGGAGGCACTGGATGATCAGAAATATCATCATCCTTGTTGTATTATTGTTTTTGTATTGTTACTAGGTCCCAGAAATGTGCTTTGCATAAAAATGCTTTTTATTGCTAGGATTAATGAGATACTTCTGAGGAGCTCAAAGCATAGAATTAGCAGCAGGTCACTGAAGGTAAAGCTCAGAACACAGGCAGACTTAATATACAGCAGAGGCCAGGCACCCCAAGGGAGCATGAGCCCTCAGCATTAGAAAAATTAAGAATTCCTAAACTGGAAGATAAGTGAGAAGTAATAGAGAATTATCAGCAAGGCTACTTTTGGATTAATTTAATGTGAGAAACAATTTAGAAATGATTTGTACTCAGATTGTCATTTGCTAAAGAATTAAGTGGCATAACTTGATTACCTGGTTATTAAATCCAAGAGATGAACATTATGCATACCAGGCCAAATGTATATCTGACAATAAAACTGGAGAGACCAGTGTTAAAAATCCCTCTGCCTGGGATAGCCTAGAGCCGTAAAGTACACCTTAACTGTATTCACCTATGAAACCCAAATGGCATAAACTACAATAATTTCTACTTAGGCAGGATATGATATGAGAAGTTTCCAGAACATACACCTAGATAATACAAAGCAAGTATAATAAACAGTTGTGCCTAGCATCTCAGTGATCGTTTATATTCTTCAAAATGGTTTTGTGGACCCTTTGATCTTGCAGTAACTAAGACAAGCATGGCAGTATTATTATGTCCATTTTGCCATTTTACCTCTTCTCCCTTAATTGTCACATTAATTAGTGAGAAAAACTAGGTAAGTTTAGGAACCAGATTTGCCAATTTATTCTATGGCATTAGTTTCATGATAATGGAAAGTTCAGAATTCTATTTTAGACCTGTGCTTCTGGTATCCAAACCAGATTCTATGAACAATGGAGAGCCTGTCCACCATGACAGTTCATCCTGGGAAATAAGGAGTCTCAGGACATCTGTCTACTGTCACCATTGATCAGTTCAGGAAGATCACTGCAATTAAATGCAGCCACAGGAGCCAAAGACGATCACGAGTGTTCCAGTCCAGGAGTTACAATGCAACCAAAGGAAATTCATACCGTTGAATCAGTCCAAATGGAGCACATTAGCCTTCATCAGTGGGCTTTTGCAAAGTCAAATGACAGGTCCTGATGAAAAGATAGGGAGGTTCAAAGGGAAGAAACAAAGGTGCCCTCACCCTATTTCTATTTTATGTGCCACGAAATAGAATGGATTTCTAGAACAATCAATTTAAAGGGTCATCAGCCTTTAGACCACCCAGTATGACTCCTGTTACCTTTAGAAAGATCTCTAAAACTTGCTGAGCATGGTGGCATATGTCTATAGTCCTGGATATTTAGAAGGCTGAAGCAGGAGGATCCCTTGTGCCCAGGGGTTTGAGTCCAGCCTGGGCAATGTAGCAAGATCCCATCTCTTTTAAAGAGATGGTATGCCATCTATAAGAGAGGCTTATATGGTAAGCCTCTCTTTAATAAATGATAGATTTCCAGACCATCATTGAGATTTTAGACTTTTAACTTTATATTCAAATACCAATATTTCTGAGAGCAAAACAAAATAATATTAGCCTGTGAGTATCTTTTGTCTTTTCAACATTTTGAGAGATGTATGAAACAGAAGAACAAAATTTTAGCAGTTCACAATCTTTCTGTTAAATGACTAATTGAGGCAAGAATTGGAATAGAACACTAAATGAGCTCTAGAATATCATAAAATGCAGCTAAGTTTGAAGAAGTAGAAGCAGTGGTAGGGAAACATTTCAGGTGGAAGAGAGCAAGATGGAGAAGAACCAATCTATGATGGGTGAGCTGTCCAGTCACATGAGCCCCTCAAGAAGTAGTATTTACACTAACAAAGTCACAGAAATAACAGCTCCAGCCCACAGATCAGGGGAATAACATTGATAAACTATTGTCAAAGTCAACATCATTCTTCACTGTGTTAAGAGAAATGCTGAAGTATGAGGATGCCATGCAGATATCCCTTCTGTATTTCCTCACTTGAAGGCTGTAAAATTCCCAGCCATGATAATGCATATTCATGGGAGGTTGGAAGTTAAATAAACATAATTTGAGTAAGCCAATTCTCTGTGGTATGCTTTCTGTAATGGGTAAAAGCTAACTGAAAGGATTAGTCATTATATAAATAAGGCATTGATCATATAATAATAATAAGACTTGGCTTCCAAACATCATTTATACAACATGAAGCACTATACAAAAGCAATCGAAGATATGTCAGTTGGCCCTCTTAGCAGGCCTGAAAGGCAAGAATTATATTATTGTCCTAATGTTGTAAATGAGATGCCTATGGCTCAGGGGAATTCAATAATTTGTTTACTGTTTTACCTCTACTGGAGAAATTGGAACTAGAATCCACTTCTCTTGATTCCCCACCCACACCTCTCTCGTAATCCAGTGTTAATTGTATTTTAATGCCTAGAAAAAGAATTGACCTTGAGAAAGTTGTGAGTTTAGTGACTTCTAAACATCAATTTTGGCCAAAGTCCATCTCTTTAGCTTTCATATCCCCTCAGGGGTAATCCATCTCACTCAGCCCCTACCCCATTCACCATCTGACCTGCCATGCTCTCTGGAAATTGCAACTGTGTTTTACCTTTGGAGTAACCAAATTCAATTATAGTTTCTGCCTTTGTGTTTCCTCAGTCTTTTTTCCTGCACAAATTGATGGTGACAGCAGCGATACCAATTCAATTACATACCATCTTCTGGTTCCCAGTAATGATTCTGAGTAGGTCAACAGAGACCAGGTAGGAACTAGAATGACCATGAATTAAAGGGAACTGATAAGAAGCCAAAGCCTGAATTAGAAACCCATTGTCACTTACTGGGAAATTTAAGCCAACTAGTTTACTAAATTAAGTGATTTTTTTTTTTGCACCCATGACAATCCTTTAGAAAACCGAGTTCTAAATAATCTTTCTCTCCCTCTTGCTCTACAACATGTTACCTGGTTGCCTGCTCTTGGTCAGCTACTTATCTTTTTGTTTTTTTAAGCTACTTTTTATGGATTTTCATATTATTTTACATAGAAAAAAAGCCTAAACAAGCAACAATTTTGCTATTTTTTTCTAAATCAGACTTGATTTGCATTTAATAAACTGGCTTGTACTACAGATTTAAGTCAATCCAACAAATACTTGTGGTAAGACACTACTAGCAAACTAATGTGTTAAGCACCAATGGGAGGAAAAGATTGGCAAAACACTATCCTTGCACTTAGACAACATACAATGTAGCTCAGTAGATAAGCACACAAATAACTACAATATGAGGAAGAACTGAGTTTCTCTCTCAAAGAAAAAGAGAATTTCTTAAAGTTGAAAGAGGTGTAGATGAGGAACATAATTTCAGGGAGGAGGTGAGATTTAAGATGAGTCTTAAAAGCAGGGTAGGATTTCAAACTAGAAACACAAACTGGAAGCCATTTCAGACCAAAAGAATATTGTAAATATATTAATGAAGGTAGAAAGAGGTAAGTCATGTTTAAAAAAGGGCAAATACTCTGGTTTGGTTTAAATGCAGGTCATTAATAGGAACGCAGTGCGGAATAAATAAGGCAGTGAGAAATAGCCTAGGACATTATAGAGAACCTGCCATGCTGGAAGGCAGAGAAAGCCACCAAGGTGTTTTCAGTTGGAAATGTCTTTAAGTGTGTCTACTACGTATGGGAAAGAAGTAGACTAGACATGAGATGGGAGACCAGCTAGGAATGTATTTTGAAGGTATGAGGAGAGGTAACAAATGTCTGAAGTAGAAGGATGGCATTGGGAACAATAATTTTTGAAGAGAAAGACAAAGTCGTGATGTTCAATTAATATATTTTGGCAACTAATTAAATGTAAGGCAAGATAGGAAGAGCAAAAGGTTATTTTGAGAAAATAGTGGCACCTTTTGGAGGAAGTTATTAAGGAGAGGAAATGAAGAGTTCAGTTTTAGAAAGATGAAGGTATCTCTAGAAAATGCAGATGGAGATGAGTAGGTGGAAATCTGGCATTGGACCTTGGGGAAGAGTGAGGTAGAAGAAGTCATTTCAGAGGTGAGAGTTGTGGCCTTGGAAGGGAATCTGAATGTTGAAAAAATTGTAGAAGAAAAGGGTAGAAAGATAGGATTTAATCTTAGGGGGATATTTTTGTTACGAGCAGCAGGAAAAAGAACCAGACAAGGAAAGAAATCAGGAGCAGTTAGAGGTGGGATAGCAACTTATGGAAACCAAGGGAGGTGGCACTTTCAAACACATAAAAAAAGAGTGGTCAATAGTGTCAAATGTGACCTTGAGATCAATGAAGCCTAGAAATGAGAAAAGACTGTGGGACTTGCTACTTAGTGATAAAGAAAAGCTTTTTAGGGTACAGCATGTGCAGACACACATATACACAAAGCAAAAAAACTTAGAGAGCTTACATAAAATGTGAAACCCAGGTAAGAATTCTTAACACAGCACCAAGGGAAAGATAAAAACCAGTGCCTATTTTGGCACAACACTGTGCAAGATACATTTACATTGTATCACTCAGGTCTCATACTAACATTGTGAGAAAGTTGTTATTATTTTGTATTAAAGAAGAAAATCTAAAGTGCAGGAAGGTTAAACAAATTGCTCCAGGACATCTACGAATCTGAAAAGGGACTGAAATTCTAACACTTGTAAGGCTAGGGTTGAAGGCCGTGTTTTCTCCATAACACCATGACACTACTGTGAGGTAGGAGGCCTTGGACTAGGTTCAACAGTTTGATCGGGGAGGAAGAACAGTGCCTCCTCCTCAAAAATGGAAACAAAAAAGAGAGAGATGGTAAAAATGCATAGAAAAGGAAGCCATCTGCTGAAAATAATTGACTGGAAAAGTAGAAGAAGAAAAATTTAGAAGTGGCACAAAGCACAGGAGGCAGGACATTCTATAATGACAGCAGGTGCATAATTGAAACAACCCACCATGCCTTATAGGATGGAGAGGGAGGCAGGTGAGGCCAGAGCAGAGTTTACAGGCAAAAGGATGAGTTGAGGGCCTGGAGGTCATAGAGACAAGGAACAGGGCATGCACATGAAATGAAAGGAAAGGAAGGATCACAGTTGGGAATCTGGAGCTCAAGATCGTGAGTGTGTGACAATTTTGAGTGAAATAACAAGACTCGAAGAAATACAAGAAGTATGGTATACAGTGCCAAGGCATTTATTATAAAGTCCCAACCATATGAATGGCTAAGTCTTGCAAAGGACTAAATCATATGAAATGTGCTAGACAAAAATAAATAAATAACAATTGGGATTCATGTATTGAACTTGGAGGTGAAAGGTTTCCTAGATATAAGTAGATTTCTTAAAAGGAAAGAAAGAACATAATATAATCAAATGGAAGAACCTTAATGAAGAAGATGTTGCTATGGGAGAGTGGACTAAAAGTAGCCACAGGGAAGCAAGGATTGACTGATCTCTTCTCCTGGTCATAAGAGACAGGGAGTTAAAAACCGACTGAGTTCCATCAGGGAGAGTTGGAAGAGAAGTGGTATCCCTGAAGAAAATGCCAAATGGCTAACAAAATCTTTGAGAAAAGATTTGAAGACAAAGAGAAATTTCCCCAGAAAGGACAGAGGGGAAAGAACTGGTTGAGGTGTGGATAGAACATATTTATTTAATTTAATTTTTTTTTTTTAAGAGACGGCGTCTCGCTTTGTCTCCCAGGCTGGAGTACAGTGGCACAATCACAGCTCACTGCAGCCTTGAACTCCTGGGCTCAAGCAATCCTCCCACCTCAGCCTCCCAAGTACATGGGACCACAGGTGTGCACCACCATGCCCAGCTAATTTTTAAATTTTTGTAGAGACAGGGTCTCCCTATGTTGCCCAGGCTGGTCTTGAACTCCTGTGTTCAGGCGATTCTCCTACCTCGGTCTCCCAAAGTGCTGGGTTATAGATGTGAGCCACTGCACCCAGCCTAAGAGGGCCTTTTAGATGCCCATTGCTGAACTGAATAACGAGGCAGATATTAGGGAGGAGGATTTCCATTCTGGCTTGGTGCAGAACAAAAATTAGAGGAACAGGGTTAGGAAGTAGGTGAGAGGAACTTCTTAGTAACAGAGCAGGATAAGTGCCAAGTAAATAGTGATTAATGTAGGCAATGGTAGAACTAAGTAGCCCCAGCTTTCTAATAAAAGAAGTGAAGCAATGGGGAAAGGGGAACTGATGTTTTATAAACCTGCCTCTCTAAGTGGTTCATCACAATGATAGAAATTCACACTTCCTGCTGAGATAGAAAGACTCTTTTTTTTTTTTTTTTTTTTTTTTTGAGACGGAGTCTCGCTGTGTTGCCCAGGCTGGAGTGCAGTGGCACAATCTCGGCTCACTGCAAGCTCCACCTCCCGGATTCACGCCATTCTCCTGCCTCAGCCTCCTGAGTAGCTGGGACTACAGGTGCCCGCCACCACACCTGGCTAATTTTTGTATTTTTACTAGAGATGGGATTTCACCTTGTTAGCCAGGATAGTCTCAATCTCCTGACCTCGTGATCCACCGAAACTTTTTTAAGAATCTGAGGAGAACCACACAGCTACTTGATGTCTCAAATGGCTATGTTAAACAGGGACAGGACAACTGTTCAGAGCCTCGCCTTAGGTCTATTTCAAATTAGTTCACTATAATATTTTTCTTCACTGACCTTATCACACTTAGCACTTTATTTACATTTATTTATTTGTTTCTCCACCTGTGTTTCCCCATCTCACCCCCCCTCAACCAAAATATAAGCTAAGTGAGGTCAGGAACTTTGATTAATTCACTGCTGAATCCCAGCACCTAGAATGGTTCCTAGTAAACAATAGTTGGTTGTGATATATAAATAAATTAGATATAGCCCCTGCCTAAAGGGTCTTGTAAATTAGAAGAAGAAAGAGATCAAAAAATATATATTACTTTAGAAGCATAAAAGAGAACATAATCAATTCTGCCTCAGTAGGGATTATCCTAGAAGACATTGCAAATTAGAGAAACTGGTCTACCAAATTTAGTGCTCTTACCCCAAGAGACACAAGGCAATCCATAGAAGTGAAAATAAAACTTGGAAACTTGTAGTTATTTTTTATTTCTATTTTTGTGTAGATTTTATAATGTGTATATAAGTGGTTTGTATAATACTACAAGTATACAACTTTGAATAAACAATTAACATACCTAAATTTTGGTTGCATACTCTTAATTTTTGGCTCATGGGGTGCAGAACTGAAATGATTAGTCACCGCTGGACTAAGGAACTGGAGCCTTAAACTGCATCTTGAAGGATAACTAAGACTATCCCTTCCAGGCAGAAGTGTGATGGGACATTCTAGAGTGAAGGTAACAGCATGGATCTGTGAAAAATCCAACGGAATACTGGGAAGCCTCATATGTCTGGAGAGTACAATGAGCACAGGGATTTAATAGGAAATAAGCTGAAGAGCAATTCTTTTGAAAAAGGGAAATTATCAATAGAGCTATAAGAAAAGGAATGGCAAGATGAGATTTTCATTTAGATTATTCACCTCAATGGCAGATGAATTTGAGTGGTAAAGAACTGTAGATGTGAACACCAGTTAGGAATTATTTTAGCAATCTGAGTCAGAGATTAGAGTCTAAACAAAGCCTAGGTTAAAAGACATAGAGAAAAGGAGATAGATTTGGAACATAGTTTGAGGTAAAATCAGTAAGTCTTAGTGATAATTAGATACGGGTTTTATATTGCTTAGGATAAGTTCAACTGTGAGAACAGAAGCCTGAAAAAAAATTAGTACTCAGGAAGGAAGTGTACTTCTCTCCCACATAAAAGAAGTCAGTCTAGAACTGGCTCTTACTCTCATCGGGGATGCAGCTCCTTCCATCTCTTTGTTGTGTCTTCACTGGTGTTGAGCTTACTCCTCACTATCAAAAATGGCTGCTGGAGTCTGAATCATTGTCTTCATGTTAAAGGAAGAAGAAGGAAGGAAGGGCAAAACTATTGTGCCCTTTGTCTTTAGAGAAGACATCCTAGAATACTTCTGCCTGCGTTTCAGTGGCCAAAAGTGAGACACATACTTAAGCCTAGTTGTGAGGTAGGCTAGGAAATGTAGGCTTTAATCCAAGTACCCAAAAAAACATTTTGGTTCTTTATTATAAAGAAGAGGAGAATAGTTATTGGATGGCAACTAGAATTCTTGATAGGGAGTAAAGAAAAGTAAGAATCATAGATAAATTCCCAAGTTTCTAATTCGAGTGACTGCATAGATGGTAGTGACACCAAGTGAATGAAAGACTGTAAAAGTAGGGAGTTTAGGGGAAATAATGGTGTTTAATTTTTTGAATGTTGAGTTTGCAGCGAAAGACATGCAAGTAGAAATGTCTCACAAGCAATTAAACAGCAGGCAATGACTTAGATTTAGGTATTATTAATATCTAATTGGGATTACCAATAAAAAGTGTACAGAATTAGAACTGTGAGCTAAGGATAGAACCCTGGTTGATGGGCAGGGTGGGAAGAGGTTAGCAACATTTACAAGGAAATGAATCTATGAAGGAGCCAAAGAAGCAATAATCAAAGCTTTTAGGAAAATATGTTGTATGTATTCAAAGGAGAGAATGAGCAGCTCTGTGAAATGAAGCAGAGAAGTACAATAAAACACAAGCACTGACAGAAAAACAGCCATACATTGTCACAGTTGGAAGTCACTGGGTAGTACTGAGAGAATTTTCACAGGAATGGAGCGGGCAGAAGCTAGATGGGGTATAATCAGACCTGAGGAGGTGGGAATAATAACTAAAATCAGCACTTGCAAACTTCAATGGGCATGCTAATTTCCTAGGGATCTGGTTAAAAATGCAGACAAAAAAAGGGACTCAAGATTCTTCATTTTTTATCATTTTTAATGATTCCCCTGATGCTGCTCTGCAAACCATATTCTGAGTAGCAAGGTTGTGGGCCAGTGATTCTGTAACACTAATTTGCATCAGGATCACCTGGAGGACTTACTGAACCAGATTTCTGTATCCCCCTCCCAGAGCGTCTAGTTAAGTAAGTCCATTGGTGTGGGACCTGGGAATTTGCATTTCTAAAAAGGTCCCAGGGGATGCTGCTGCTATTGGATAAGGGATCAGACATGGAGAACTGCTGCTATGACTTCTTGTTTTGATAACAGATCAAGAAAGCCTGGACTACAGCTAGAGAGACATGGTATCAAGAGAGGGGAGGGGTTTGTTGATAGTTCTACCTTCATTTTATTGTTGGTGATAGCAGTGCCAATGCATTCACACTCTCATTGGATGAAACACAAACATCCACTATAGGCTAGTGTGATACATATTCTCAAGTTTTCTCCCTCCATATTTTCTGTACGTTAGCCTACATTATAGACGTACTGCAATTCAGCCAACCATCTGTACCCAGTTTCACAGTCTGTGAGTGAAATCAATATGTAATACAAAGAAATTAAAATGTTCTAGTATCTCTAGCCAGAGCAGCCTCCCCATCATAAAGGGATATTTTCTTCTTAGTTGGAAAAATCAGCCTACTCCACTCAGCCTCTTGTTTGTTTTCTATGTCAAAATTATTGGGTTACCTACTGATTACCAGACCTGGCCAATTAGTCTGATTATCTCATCACATATTTTCAACTTCCCCAGCTGTGAGAGTTACTTTTTATGTTGACTCTTTCAATGAAGAACTCCCCAAGCTGAGATAAATGACAAGTAAAGTGATAATCGCCCACCAGCAATTTAACCTGAATACTTACTTAGAGTAGCACAAGTGGTACAACTGAGCCATGGAGTAGAATTCAGGGAATATATCGTGGTGCTGTACTTTGAGGATCTGAGGAAGTCCATAGCTCCAGGCATATAAAATTGGTGCTAGTTTCAAATTGAATCCTATTACTGTTGTGGAATATATTCATATGAAAATAGATGCAATTACTTTGGGAAAATGCTAAATGTTACCCCTAAACAAAGATTTATTGGTGTTTGGAAGTCTTTATTAGAGGGGTAGAAATAAGAACAACAAACTGGCAAAGAAGTAGGATACTAGGATACAAAGATGAATAAGACGAGCCTCCTGCACACGAATGTGTAAGCTAACACTGTCCCGTACTCCTACCTCCTTAGGGAAAGAGAGCGACATCATGAGCTGTTTGTGTTTTTCCATAGTTACCTTCTATACTCAGAGAGCAGCAGGGTAGATGATATGTGAAAGAAAACTCACAGTTCCAGTTTCTTCCATATGGTCTACCTGTCTTCAATGGACAAAGTAGTTATGTTCTGAAAAGCCACCAAAATAGAAAGAACTTAACCTGCTATCTCAAGTCTAATGTGGGCCACTTCTTTCAGCAAGGCCCCGTCTAGCTATTCTTTGATTCTCAAAAAAAAAAAAAAAAAAAAAAAAAACACCTTAGAAGTTCCAGGGGAAAAGAAGGTTACTCTTAGGCTACATTGGAAAGCTCAAAGGGTCTTTATCATTGAGACCATGCCCCCATTAGCAAGATGGTTGGCAACCACCCTATGTCTTGTTCAAAACCTGCCTTCTCTCCAGGCTTCCAACCTGTTCCCTCCAGCTTGCTCTCTGATCAGTGAGATTCTCCATGTCTTTGTGTAAAGGTCATGAAATTCTAACAGCTGCAAAACATACTGAAGGGGGATTAACTGTCTTGATTCTAACATACTGGCTCAAATACATGACTCAGAATGAGAATCCCAGATTAATATTACAGATCATCATCCCAGACACTAGGAAATTCAGATACCTCTGTAACCTCTCTTGGAAAACAGGCTATTAATATCGTTTTTTCGAAGCTCTTGGGAAGAAAAAAAAACAATCATGAAGTATTCAAAACTCCCTGATGGAGGTGTTCAGTTTCAGTCGTGAGAATTGTAAAGACAATTGCAAGGACCAAAATCCATTCAGTCACACAATGTCTCTTAATTTTTAGAGAATACAGTTAAGATCAATGTAGGAAGAGACTGCGTGTGGACCAACTACCCACCGCACCCCCCCACCAACACACACACACAACAATTTGCTAAATTGACTGCTAATTGAAATAAACATATAAACCAAAGCTGGTTTCCAGTGGTTTGGACAAGTCTATGAGCAAGAGTGAAGCAGGCAATTTGAAGTTTAATGTAGACATGATGAGTTTGAGGGCAGCAGCATGTTTATTTGTTCCTAAATAGAAACACAGATAGCTAGTCCAAGCAAGAACTTCCTCCACAGAAAGAAACTGCAAATAATCCAATCCCTGGCTGCCAACTAGAGCTTATTTTAGAAAGAGTAAGTGGGAACAAGCTGCCTGGCCAGTCCAGGAGAATTTAGAGGTGCTCCTCCTACACACCAAGAACTCATTAGCATGTCTACTCAGTTTCTTAACCATGTAACAGCTGCAAACAGACAATAGTGGGAAACTGTCACAGAGAAGGGAAAAAAAAGTACTGGAAAATGCTGTTAATTAAGAAAAGATGGAGGGGAATGATTTCTTTAGAAAGAAATGCAGCTCTTGGACGGCAGAAAAGGTTTTACAATAGAGTTTTGAGGGAAAATAACTCAAGGACAAGAAATCATAGCAAAATATAATATCCTGCTCACAAAGTTAACACTATAGTCACTTGTTCCACAAGCATTTATTGAGCACTTACTGAGTACAGTGCACCATGCTGAGTTATATGGATGGGAATAGAAATATTATCAGAAAATTCCTACCCTTAGGCAATTGCCATTTAGTTGTGAGGATAAAATATTTATATCGACCATGGCTGTGCAAAATCATGAGTTGCAGTACATCATGTTCAGAACTCTTGTCTTACCAGGCACATTTCTAGGTGAGCTTGAGAGGACGACAACTTAAAATGCCACCCTTGATTTTAAGGAAGGAAAGGAATGTAGACTATAGAGTCAGGATGATTGCCTTTTGTTCACTTTCCTTTCCTTAAAACCTAACAGCTAAGGAAAGCACCTCTAAATTTATTGGCAGCTCACTCCCACCATCAGCTATATGCTATTTACCCAGAAGAGAGAGAGAGTTCAGAGCCACTGTCTGCAATGGAGATATCAGAAACCTTAGGGGATGGAAACTTGAAAACAGTCCAACAAGCCAGGTAAAAGCCAGCTCAAAGCAAATAGAATCAAGAAAGCACGGCAAATGTACCCAGGACGCAAATGTAAAATAAAAAGTCATTTTAAAAAAGGGAGAGTTGGCCGGGCGTGGTAGCTCACGCCTGTAATCCCAGCACTTCGGGAGGCTGAGGCAGGCGGATCACGAGGTCAGGAAATCGAGACCATCCTGGCTAACACGGTGAAACCCCGTCTCTACTAAAAATACAAAAAGTTAGCCTGGCATGGTGGCGGGCACCTGTAGTCCCAGCTACTCGGGAGGCTGAGACAGGAGAATGGCATGAACCTGGGAGGCAGAGTTTGCAGTGAGCAGAGATCGCACCACTGCACTCCAGCCTGGGCGACAGATCGAGACTCCGTCTCAAAAGAAAAAAAAAGGGAGAGTCAATACAGAAGTAAAAATAAGATTGCATTTGATGAGAAATGGAGACTAACCATTTACAGTTTACTCATTATTGCTGTTGATCATGACCTTATGAGGCGCCAATAGTAGCTCCATTTAACAGAAGTAACTGAGACTTGAACAGGTTCATAAACTTACTATAGAGCAGAGAGATAGCACATTGCACAGCCAGAGTTTAAACTTATCAACCATGAGCTAACCACTATGCAACATGGACTCCCACTATATGGAACTTGCAAATAGCAGTAGTGGTGGGTTCCTGAGATGTCCATCCTATGTCCATGTTTCTTCTCTTACCAGGTTTTAGGTTGGGCCATTTGTATCAAGCTTCTATAGGCAACAAACAGCACAGAATCTAAGTGAATGGCATATTTAACCCACAACAGACAGTAACACTGCTGTGTGCCATCATTTTCTCCCCACCCAATTCCATTATGTTCCTCCTCTGGGAGTGTCATCTAGAGCCTTTGTTCTTCTAGGTAGGCCATAATGACTTGAGGAAAATTAAGCTCAGCAATCACACGTGCAGAGACCAGGCTCACACCTTCAATAACAAAGTCCTTTCTTCAGAACTGCGTCAGCTCATCCAGCCCAGAGCTACCGGCCCCTTTTGTCTCTGCAGGAAAGAGATCAGAATCCAGGGCTCATGCAGGCCCTTGTTCAAGTGAATAGACATCCAGGAGGTTGGGGTGAGAAGTGCAACATTCAGATGGGGCACAATGGTCAATGGCTAACTTCAACCAGCTAAAGAAACAAGGTTAAGCACTGAATACAAAGCATAATGAAAAATATTCTAGTTTCTCACATTTCTTATGGCTGGCTCTGAAGTGGATCTCCTTAGTGTGTGGATGTGCATATATGTTAATTGTTTGAAAGGAGCAAATGCAGGAACTGTGGTTCAGCTTGCTATTCCATTGTTGCTTTTAATCTCTATGCTGAGCCTGCCTTCTAACACATCCAGGGAGTGTATCTAAGCAGGAGGCCAAGAGGGAGGGCGCCAATGGAGCAGATATGTGCTTAATGCAGACGGCATTAATAAATCACTGATAGTTAAGATATAGATTGGCTGATGGGCGGCAGATGGGAAGGAGGTACATCAAATTGCTTTTCTCATATAGATTATTGGATTAACAAGGAAGCAGCAGACAAGTGGCAAACTGGTGTAACAAATTACTATCATAAAAAAAAAAATTGAACTTATCCCAGGATGGTAATAAGGCTTTGTCAGCCATTAGCCCTCTGGAGAGGTGATTGAAGCGGGAATATCCCTCTGAGATGGCAATACAGAAAACACTCTCCATTTTCCTCCTCCATTATTGTACCTAAGTACATCCTGGTGAGGGCTGGGGGATGGAAAGAAAGCCCAACTGCAGAGGCTAATTAATTAATTAATGTGCCTATTAGCAGGCTCTTGCCCAGCCCAGTAAGTGATAAGTGAAGGTGTCTATCACACCATTCTGGCAACCAGTTCTGCTTGCAACCAATACTGCTTTACTTTTTTGTGCTCTCCTTTCTTCACCCAACTTTTTATTTTGAAAAATTTAAAACATATAGAAAAGTTGCCCTAGTAATACCATGAATATGTGATACTATTTACCTAGATTCACAAATTGTTGATGTTCTGTCACATTTTCTTTCTCTCATTTTGGTGAACTATTAAGTGGCAGGTGTCATCTCCTGAGAACAAAGCCATTCTACTACATATCCACAGCAGAACTGATAATTTTCAAGAAATTTTAACCTTGATTTGTACCATGCCGTGTAATATACATTCCACATTCAAATTCCCCAAATTGTCCCAATAATGTCTATTATAAATTTTAAAAATCCAAGATCAATCAAGAATTATGCATTGCATTCAGTTGTCATGTCTTTAGTAATTTCAAATCTAGAACTGTGCCTAGCCTTTTTCTAAAAAAAAACTTTTAAGACATTGATGTTTTTGAGGAATCAATTTTAGTTGACTAGTGTAGTTTCTTTTGTTGTTTAAACAATTTCTTTAGCTTCTGTGTTCTCCATATTGTTTCCTTTCACAGATGTTTGTGTGTATGTATGTGTGTATTATTTCTTCTTCTTTCTTGCAAAAATTGTACCTATTTGTTTTGCAGACTGTTTCTCAATTTGGATTTATCTAATTGCTTCCTCATGACTAGAATGAAGTTAAACACTTTTGGCAGGATGTTATGTCCTTTCTAGTGCATCACATCAGGAGGCATATGTCGCCAGTTTGTCAAACTTGGTGATAGTAAGTATAATCATTTAGTTAAGGTTATGCTGCCAGATTTCTCCATTGTAAATACACCATGTCCCCTCTGAAATTAGTAAATAATTAATTAAATGATTATAAAGACCAATATTTTACACAAAGTTTTAGCATGCTTTGATTTTTGCTTGAATTATTACAACTGTGATTGACAGCCTTAGCAAATTATCATTTTACATTCTTTCTACATTTATAATCTGCTATGCTTCTATAGAGATGAACTTTCCTTTCCTCTTTTCATTCACCCCCTTTGTTTCTGGTATCATTATGGACTCACAGTTATAAAAATAAATCTATTACTATGAATCATTGGATTCATTCCTGCCATTATTTGTTTTGATATTGCGGTTGTCTCAGATTTGAGCAGTGGAAGTCCCTTCAAGCTGGCTTCTTTGTTTTTTGACATTTTCCTATCAGTGTTTGAGCACAGCTTTACTTTTTGGTGCAACTCAATGCTCAGGCTCACCTTGTACTTCATTGCCCCAGACTTAACATCAAATAGTTTTCCAGGGGTCCCTGGTTCCTTTGGGAAACGGTAGTTAGAAACCAAGATCAGGATAGTAGGTACATTCATTGCTACTGCGTGTGATTGCTTCTAAACTTTTTCATTGTACCAAGCAAGTAAATATGTTTTCATAAAGTCAAGAGTTCATATGCATACCTCCAATTCTAATCCAATACAACAGAGTTCTCCTTCTCCCTTTCCATATTCGTTTCTTCACTCTCCTAAAATAAAAGCTCCATTCCCTCAAAACACCAGCATACCTGCTCATTTGTTCACTTACTACAATGCATACAAAATAATTTAAAACCATTTTACTATCAACAACAGTTTCTTTTTGTCTTTAGAAAATATCTCACTGAGGGTGAAATGCAGTTATAGTACAGTATTTAAAATTTACTTGCATTAATTCTGGTTTTGCTTCTTTGTGTTCATATTATCAATTTGATCTGAAGTTGGATGCATGTGTTTCTATTTGTATTTAATTTTAGGAATTTATACTTGCTAGATTAATTTTTAATACGTGAAATATTAATATAGTTTTAAAACAAAAGCTATATTGAAAGGTAAACTTGGAAAACTATCATTCCCTTTATTATTGCTTCTACTTTATATCTACCCATCCTCAATAATAGAACAATTTCTTTAGTTGCTGTGTTATCCATATTGTGTTTGTGTATATGTATGTGTGTATTCTTATTTCTTCTTCTTTCTTACAAAAATTATACCATACTATTTGCACCTTGCTTTTTAAATCAGTAAGATATTTTGATAATAGAAACTGCTTTCTGAATCCTCTAGTTGTATTTTATTCAACTTCTTAGACAACAAAATCATATATCATCTCTAGGTAAAATGAGTGGTTCATGCAAAAAAAAAGGAGTTAAGAATATGAATAGGAGGTCGATTGTGTTAGCTTTGTAACTGACACAGGGATTTTTGTGCCAATATTTCAATTAATATATTTCTAAGTGTGTTTCAAATGAGCTTGAATCAGATAAAGGTGCTCATTAAAAATTATTATTTTAAGGCCCCACTCCCAACCATGTAGATGGAGCTAGGGAATCTCCATTTTAAAACTCAGATAATTCCATGGACCTTCAGAGGAGCTTGTTATAAGTGGAATAAGTAACTGGGAAAGCCACAAGAGTAAGTTATTATCCATGATCAATTCTTTTAACCTGAGCATCTGAGGCTGCTTTTCCTCTGAGAGCATGGATTTTTGTTTTTTAATAAAAAGTTTGTTTTTTTGATCATAAGTTTTGAGCCCATGTCCTCTGCTGGGGTAAGTCTGGTGGAAAAACTCTTTATCTGTCTAAGATCTTTGAGATGAATCAAAGAATTACATGGCATATTAGACCCACGTGGTTCCTTCTCTATGTTCCAAATATCAGGGTAGAGTTTCCCAGGAACACAACTGTCTTCCAAATGTTCATAGTAGTCCAATTGTTGCTACATTTTCACCAGTGGAAACACATGCCATCTTGGGAAAATAGGCAGGAAGAGGTAACTTTAAGAATCATAAAATCCTAACATTTCCATTGCTTCTACCATATTCCCTAACTCTTTCATATACTCCAAAGATATTGTGATTTGAAGATACCCCGGGACACATTGCCCCATCTAAAATTAATTCCTTTATAATACCACACGAGATATTCTTGATACGACGGTAGGCAGAATAAATCATCTAGTTCACTTCGAAACTGTGAACATTAAGATGCAGAGAAACAGTAGGGATGAGAGGACAGCCGGCTGGATCAGCATCTTGACATCAGGAGGGCCCTTCACAGCAATATGAAGTAGGTAAACCTTGCCTTTAACAACCTCCTCATTTGCAGTAGCCAGTGTTTATCAAGTACCTAGTAAAAGCAAGGACTTTGCAACGTGCTTTACCTACTTTAGCTCATTTAATCTTTACAACAACACCATGAATCAGGTACTTTTACCATCTGTCTGTCATAAGTAAATTAACTGCAACTTAAAGATGTTGTTATGTACCCAATTCACATAGCAAATCAACAGTCAAATCTATGTTGCTCTAACCAGAATCTGAGCCCTTAATTCCTATACAAGCAAAAAACCATTTTTCTTTTTTGAGTACCAACCTAGATGCTCAGTGTCTTGGCCTGTCAACTGTCTGCCCAAGAATCTCCATGTTAACACTCAACAGGATCTATCCCTCAAATTCCAAAGAGGCAAGGATTCAGGAAACTTGCTTATTATCTTAGCCACGCCACTGTACTTTCAGAGGGATCAGTATTCTCACTGTGCAAAAACAACAGAAATGGATAAAAGCTTAAATACACACACACACATATATTTCTGAGGGCTCTGTCATTTCCTGATAGCCTATAATCCAAAAGCCAAATGCCTGATTCATATTTTCACACTGAGGCATTAAATATTTTTGTTTTCTCCCTCTTTATTGTTTTAATATTATAATGTGCCTTTTAAAATTCCAAGTAGCATTTGAAATCCAAAAGGGGGTAATGTATTAACCAAAGAAGTGAGTCTTTAAAGTGGAAATTTCCAGGCAGAGGATCCAGTGATTGTTGGAAAGATGCTGTATTCTGATTATGTTTCTTTTCCCATGTAAGGATGATTGTGTTCAGAGAATGCTCTCTGAGATAAGGTTGGATAAAGTGGGAACCGGGCCCAGCTCTCTGAAACAGCGTTGGCAGAAATAAGGTGAGAAAACAGGGCCCACGAGCCAGCTGGCATGCATGACAGAGGTCCCTCCCATGCGGCAGAGATTCGGGGGAACCATAGAAACCATATGGTAGAGAAACCCTGGCAGAAGAGGGATGGCATATCAGAATCCTCTGTGCATGGGGGTAAATCCCCAGAGCTGCAATGTGATAGTGGTTTCCAGAACTTCTGTCTCCCAGTACAGAGGGGCAGAAACTCTTCTTCACTACACCCCCCACAACCTGACTGAGGCAAGAACCACTACTCTTTCCCTCTACCTTACCCTGGGTAACCTCTCCTGGTTCAAGGGCCCCTCATCCAGCAGCGGACTGACTAGTAGTGACTTGTGTTTCTCTTCTACCCAATTGTAAGCTGATGAGAACAGGATAGACATTATTATATTTTGGTATTCCTCACAGCTCACCGCTCTTCTACAGAGCAGGTACTGACTGCATGATGTATCAAAGGAAGAATAAAGAATGAAGCCATGTGTCCAACTTGGAGAAATCCAATTTGCCTCCCAAGTGAAATGGGTCAATAAGTAGCCCTGGTTCTTTTTAATATTGTTTGCAATTCACTCAGTTATTCAACAAATATTTTTGAGCACTCACTATGTACCAGGCACCCTACTGGCAGCTGGGGATACAGCACTAAACAAGGCGCATACAAAATCCTTCCCTCTTGGAGTTGATTACATATTGTAGGAAGGCAGGAAATTAATATGCAAGCAAATAAATAAGAATCCTAGATAGTGATAATTGTTCTGTGTAAAATAAAACAGAGTAATCTGATACACAATGATTAAGATAAGGCAGAGGAAAGCACTTTAAGCAGGGGAACCAAGGAAGGAGAATGAGGGAAGGCCTCTGAACAGGTGAAGAGTAGACATGACCTCTGACTAGGAGGGCCTCATTAATGCATGGAAACTATTTCTAAAGCCATCAACTACTTTTGATAGTAGATATAAAGGCAATACATGCACTTGCTAAAACATTTTTATAATTTGGTAGCATATAAAAAAGGTAATATCTACCTCTGAACTCTACGATTCAAGGAAATACTTAACCATTTTCTTATGTTTTCTTCTAAATACTTACTTTTATTTTCTTTTTGTTTTTCTTAACTTTTATTTTAGGTTCAGGGGGGTATATGTGCAGGTTTTTTACATGGATAAATAGCATGTTGCTGAGGTTTAGGGTACAAATAATCTAAGAAGCAGCACCTCCTATCACAGGCCCTGAGGTCTAGAGGAAAAGAATGTTTCCAGGGTTCAGGTCCCCCCCACCCCACTTCCCTGTGCAGCCTCAGGATATTGCTCCCTGCATTCAGGCTGCTCCAGCTCCATCCTCAGTTCAAGGGCCACAGATATAGCTTGGGCTGCTGCTTCAGAGGGTGCAAGTCATAAGCCTTGGCTGCTTTGATATGGTATTAAACCTGTGGGCATGCAGAGTGCAACAGTGAAAGAAGCTTCACAGCTTCCACGTAGATTTCAGAAGATGTGTGAGAAAGCTTGAGTGCCCAGACAGAAGCTGCTGGTATGGCAGAGCCCTCAGAGAGAATATTTACTAGGGTAGTGTGAGGGGATAGTGTAGGTTGGAGCCTCCATACAGAGTCCCCTCTGGGACACTGCCTAGCAGAACTTTAAACATAGAACTTTATAATAGAATGATTTATATTCCTTTGGGTATATACCCAGTAATGGGATTGCTTGGTTGAATGGTATTTCTGTCCTTAGGTCTTTGAGAAATCACCACACTATCTTCCACATTGGCTAAACTAATTTACACTTCCACCAACAAAGTATAAGTATTCTTTTGCATGCATATGTTCATTGCAGCACTATTCACAATAGCAAAGACATGGAATCAACATAAATGCCCATCAATGATAGACTGGATAAAGAAAATGTGGCACATAGACACCATGGAATACTATACAACCATAAAAAAGAATGAGATAATATTCTTTGCAGGGACATGGATGTAGCTGGAGGCCATTTTTCCTTAGCCAACAAACACAGGAACAGGCAACCAAATACCACATGTTCTCACTTATAAGTGGGAGCAAAATGATGAGAACACATGGACACATAGAGAGAACAACACAAATTGGGGCCTAGTGGAGGTTAGAGGGTGGGAGAAAGGAGAAGATCAGGAAAAAATAACTAATGGGTACTAGGCTTAATACCTGGGTGATGAAATAATCTGCACAACAAACCCCCATGACATAAGTTTACCTATGTAACAAACCTGCACTTGTGCCACTAAATTTAAAATAAGTTTTAAAAAAAATGTATCTTCATGCAAGAGCGAGTGCTTGTTTTTCTTGATCCAATATGCTCAATACCTAATTTTTAATCTATGACAATCTGATCAAAGAAAATTGGCACTTCATTAAAAATTTTATATTGTAATTGCCTAATTACAAGTAGGTTCAGAATAATTTTATATCTTTACTCACCACTTGTATTTATCTACAAACTTCCTGTTGGTATTCTTCACCATTTTACTACCAGGCATTTGGTCTTTTTTTATTGATTTGCTGAAGGAAATGAACTCTCTTTCACACATTTTGTAAGTATGTGCCTCTATTTGTGGTTTTGATTTAAAATAATTTAATAGCATTTTCCTATTTAATAGTTTTAATTTGCATGTAGTCAAATTTATCCATCTTTCCCAATAAAGCTTCTGGGTTTTGTGTCATGATTATGAAGTTCTCAGCTCTAAGGATTTTTTTTTTTATTTCAACTATTATTTTAGCTTGGTGGTGGGGTACATGTGAAAGTTTGTTACCTGGTTATATTGCATAATGATGAGGTTTGTGGTACAAATGATCCTATCACCCAGATACTCATAGTATTTTCTAAGTAAGCCCTTATCTTATTCACAACTATAGTTCCTTTTTTCCTCCAATAATTGGGTTTCATCTGCAAATTTATTTTGATATACGTAATAAGTGTAGGATGTCAATTTTTTTTCCCTGATCAAATTGTCCTCATCACTTTTGAATATGCTATCACTTCCCACTAATTTTGAATTTCCCTTTTATAAAAGACTAAAAACACATACATCTATTTGACTCCATTTCCGGACTTTATATTGTCTTCTACTGATCTATCTTGGTATTCTTCACTGATACCAAACTCTTTTATTATTTTGGATACATAATCTTTTGATAGCTACTAGGAACTAAGCTCTCTAATTTTTTTAACTCTTTCAAAATTATCTTCTTTCTTTAGGATCTTATTGGTCACTCACATTTATTACTGTATTAGTCCATTTTCACACTGCTGATAAAGACATATACAAGACTGGGCAATTCACAAAAGAAAGAGATGTACTGAACTCAGAGTTCCACATGGCCGGGGAGTCCTCACAATCATGGCAGAAGGTAAAAGGCATGTCTCACATGGTGGCAGACAAGAGAAAAGAGCTCATCCAGGGAACATCCCCTTTCTAAAACCATCAGATCTCCTAAGACTTATTAATTATCATGAGAATAGCATGGGAAAGACCTGCCCCCGTGATTTAATTACCTCCCACTGGGTCCCTCCCACAACATGTGGAAATTCAAGATGAGATTTGGGTGGGGACACAGACAAACCATATCAATTACCAATATTACTTTTTATACATTATTTTCCACAGATATCCCTTGCTTTGTGTGAGTAGCTAAAATTTGATTTTAAATTTTCAATTCAATTTTACCTTTGATTTATTTTACTAGGTAAAATTCAGCATTATTTTAAACTCTGTCCTCAAATTTTTCTATTTAAAATGGGATAGAATTGGACTTCTAAAGTAAGCAAGTTTTTCGTATTATACTATATCTTTATAGGATGTTACCACTGGGGTTAAAAAAAAAACTGGGTAAAAGGTACATGGGATCTCTCTGCATTTTTCTCCTACAATTGCATGTGAACCTACAATTATCTCAAAATTAAGTTTTTTTCTTAAAAAAAAAACCTAGTACAATGTCTGATACATAGTAGATGCTCAGTAAGTATTCCTTTCCTGCTTTATTCTCTGTCTCCTTTCAACATAATTTCTTACATGTATTCTTCAGTTTATGGGTAGGCACTCATAAACATGTTTCTAAAGTAAATAGAGTTTAGCTTTAAGCTAAACTGTAAAATTGGTGTTATGCTCCCACATCTCCAGGAGACTGATTTGAAAAATAGCGATAGCAATTAAGAGAATGTGCACTAAATCATAATAACCAACTTCTAGATCATGGGAACTTCCCCAGCAGGGTTCTTTTGATCTTTGCAGGAATTCTTATTTTTAATCTTCTTTCTCACTTTGTAATTTCCCTACAAACCACCAGAACCCCTTTCACTTCCCAAACTATTAAGAAAGACACTGCATATGTGAATGCCATGTAGCTTTTCTTCTATGTTTTCCATGACCAGAAAATCTTCATGCTTAGCATTTTCTGGGAAAGACAGATTACCAACAGAGCTAGTCCCAAGAAAAACTGGGATGTAAACAAAACTTGCCTTGAATCCAAACCTCATCTCCCTTTCCAATACCACTTCTTTCTCAGCTCCCAAGGAGTTGGGGCTGAGGGATGTTGCAGTTTCCGTGTGCTTCTACATTGATTTCTGCATAAAAAGACTTCAAGCTTTGAGCTGTTTTAAAACTGATATTTCTCAGATTGGCCAACAATAAGTCCAAGTAGAACACACTGCACTAGATATGAAAATATGAAATGTAAGCTTGTCCATCTCTGTCTTCTTTCAATCCCTTCTAACCATTCTCGGTTCATTCAAACCAGCTCTTGGACCATCATGTTCAACATGTATTCCTCCACCTGCCAAACTGTCAAAACTTACTTTTCTTCTGTCTGAAAATCTTATTTCCAAAATTGTGTTTAATTTTCTTGTCCAAAATATTCCATGTAAGACATAAAGGCTCTGAACCGGTATCAATGTGAAACCAGCTGCTGGTAGCAACAATCTGGTAGGTTAATGGCCTTTCTATTATTATATGTGTATCAACTCTTAAATGTTCTAACTAATAAAGGAGAAAGTTGTTGTTCTGTACTTCTAAAGGCTGAGAAGGGATAAGGAATAAATTTAGCAGAAATGTACATTGGTAAATCCTCTTAGCATTGACCAGATAGGAGATTTAGCCCTAACAAGATCAATAATTGTTCCTGCTCCATCTCACAAGGTGATTTTGTCTTTGGGCAGAAAGAGAGAACTGGAAAACAAAGAAAAAAAAACCCTAAGGTTACTGAGTGCACAATAAGGCCAATGGCTAATAGAAACAATTCTCTAATGCTGACAAAAAGTTTATCAAGAAGTATCTTAGAGATAGTGATAGAGAAGATAAAACCATAGGCCCCTGAAAGAAAAAAACCCACGTACCTTTGACACTAAGCTAATCAAAGCTAAATCTCAATCAAATTTCAACAGTAAATTAGATTCAGATCCAGAAATGCAATCAGATCAAAGCCTATGCACTGGGTCAGGAGTAGATTAAAGCACACTTAACAACAGTTAACAGAGTGTAAGAAAGGCACTGTTTTGTTCTACTAGCATTTATTTCTATATAAAAAAGACTTCAAGCATTAAGCTGTTTTAAAGCTGTTATTTCTCATACTGCCCAACAATAAGTTCAAGTGCTCATTAGAGCACATTGTACTAGATACGAAAATGTGAAGTACAAGATTGTGCATCTCTACCTCAATTAGCAAGGCCAAATCTTGAGCCCTAAGAAGACATGGCAAAATAAAATGGTCTTAGGAGTAAAAAACCTGGGTTTTAAATCACATCTTAGTTACTAACTAGCTATGCAATCCTGGGCAATTTACTTAGACTATCATAGCCTATTTCTTCATTTGTAAAATAAATATTGTGTTACTAAAAATAAGATTTTGGGGAAAATTAGAGATCATAGACGCAAAATAGCACCGTGTCAGGCACACAGTAGGTACGTAATGAATGGTCATGATTTTTATGATCTTGGCACATTTCAGTCCCTGATGGCCAGAAATTTGTTTCTAAGTCCAGCTTCTTTGAGTCATAAATAAACACATTTTCCAAATTAATTCTAAAGCTTAAATGATGATGTTACAGAAAATGCCACAATTTCTTTTCCTTAGCAATAATCATCTGCTTTGCAACCAAAAAGACTAAATTCCTGCTGACGTCATCACAGCTTCCCATGTTAGTCTTTCTTTGGTATTTTATCCAGGTGTTTTATCCAGGAATTCTAATTAATTCATTCAACAACCTACTATGGTTAAGGAATATATGAATTAATAAAATTATCCCTGAGTCCATTTTGTGTTGCTGAAACAGAATACCCGAGACTGGATCATTTATAAAGAAATAAGCTTTATTTGGCTCATAATAAACCTAGTTGGAAAATCTAAGATTGAGTAGCTGCACCTGGTGAGTACCTCATGCTGCTTCCACTCATGGCAAAGCAGAAGAGTCAGTGTGTGTGAAAATATTTCATGGCAAGAGAGGAAGCAAGAGAGAAACCAAGGAAGCCAGACACTTTATAACAGGCTGCTCTCATAGAAACTAATCTATTGTCAAGAGATAGTGAGAACTCACTCACCCTCAGGGAGGACATTAAGATATTTAGGATGCATCCCCCCTCATGGCCCAATCCCCTCCTACTGGGCCCCAACCCTCAACATTGCCACATTAGGTACCAAATTCCAACGGGAGTTTTTGTGTGGACAAACCACATCCAACCCACAGCAGTCCTGGTTTTCAAGTAGCTCATGAGAGTTTACAGGGATTTAACATAAAGAAAAAATTACTTACAGATATGAAAATATTTGCTTTCTATTAACATGTAAAAATAAACAAATAATTATATATGTATATATGTTTTAAAATAGATTCATATATCTCACAGTATGATTCTAGTTAAGAAAATAAATGCCATGCCAGTTATTTTAACAGAGACAATTTTATATAGGGATTTAGTTAAGCAGGTAGTGAAGGACTAGAAAAAGGAAAGAAAGAACACCGTGGTAACATAGAAGTAGTAACTGCAGAATTCAGCTACTGTCCCTAGGGCTGGGGCAACAAAGAGAAATGACTGGGGTTATTAGAACAAAGAGCTTGGAGAAAGAATGATCCCACAGAGCTGAGACCCAGAATTCTGAGGAAGAGATGTTGTCTGGCTGGTTCTGATGGCTCAGGAGCTCAAAGGAAAGTGCCAGTGGAGCTGGTGCAGGCATCTGTGAGAAAGAGGGCTTGAGTATCAGATTATGGAGAAAAAACTGGGAATTGAAATAAACGGTTACTGGAACCAGCCACTGCTGCTGAGGCATAGAACCACTGCTGATAGTGATCATAACAGAAAACCAACAGAAAGGAGCATGACCCTGCCTTTCCTTCTGCCTTTCAGACTCTCTCTAGTATCCTCTATCAGCAGCTTTTCACGGAGCAGGCAGGGAAAGCAGAAATGTGGTCTACAGGGTCCCAGCCACAGCATCACAGAGCAGAGTATAGAACAGCAGATTTGAAAAATAATAGCTTGATAACCAACTAACTACTTGTTTTTCATAAAATTTATTTACTCAGAAATTTTGTTCACAGGTGTCTTCGGCTAGGAGAAGAGTTTTGCTTAACCTCGATAATGACGTCTATTCATGTATCCATGGACCTATGTGACAAAGGAGATGTTTTAAAAAGACTGTCAAGAAACCTTGACTCTAGGACTTTCTCTACCAGTATCTGGCATTAAATTTTTTTTAAGAAGAAGTAAGTAATTTTTTAATTGTTTGGAAGGAATCATAAAGATTGTTTAATCTCATCCATTTGTTTTATAGAGCATTTTAGTAATTTTTATACAGCAGAAATTCTTTACTATTGATACCCAACCTGTTTTGTTTTCTATAAAATAGGAATGTTAGATCAAATGACCTTGACTCTGAGTCCAAACTATGGTTTGTCTTTATCACCATTCTGCCAACATCTCCCCTCCCAGCCATAATTAATCATTCAGTAAATATATCATTAAATGTTAGGCATTGTACTAAGCCCTGGAAACAGAGTTTCTATCTTTAGGAATATTACAATTTAGATGGAATATTA
Source organism: Homo sapiens (assembly GCF_000001405.40). NCBI lineage: Eukaryota > Metazoa > Chordata > Mammalia > Primates > Hominidae > Homo > Homo sapiens. The sequence goes on along the minus strand of NC_000003.12, from coordinate 115,373,643 downwards.
CAATTTAAACAGAGACAAAAAACACATAGCAGATTATAAGACACTGTAAGGTGTTCTGAGGAAGGTATGCAAGGGTATGAGGCAAGCAGGAGAAGGGGCATTTAATTCAAACTAAATGTGGAGCTTAAGTTGAATCTTGAAGAAAAATGAGAATTAGACAGCCAAGAAGAGGAGCAATCAGGAAGAAAAGGAAGAAATCGGGAGGCCATTTCAAGTACAAGGAATAACATGTACAAAGGTTAGGACATGAGAATAAGTTGTTTTCCATCCCCATCAGGACAGGCCTAAAGCCAAGGAAGATTGCAACGCATGTCTGAATGCTTTCAGTTGCAATTAAGAAATTCCTAGATAACATTTTAAAAGCACTATTATTTCTTATAACAAGAAATCTGAAAGAAGGCAATCCCAGAATTGGTTAATTAGGCAGTTTAGCAATTTCAGTGATCCTTCTTTGTGATTCTTTGCGGATGTCCCCTCTTTTGTGATTCTCTGGCCTTTTTTTTTCATAGCTCCAAGCATGATATCCTCAAGACAATGTTCAAAAGTGACAAGAAAGGGCAGACCTTTCTCCTCATACACCTCTCTCCTTTTAATCAGGTGGGATCATCTTTCCCAAAAGCCTTTATAGTAGCCCGGGTTTCCCCAAAAAAACAGAGCTTAGAGTAAGAACCCACATGGAGGTAGTTATTTTGGGGAATGTGAGAAGGAGACTGGATTGAGGGAAACCAGAGAGAAGTGAAAGGCAATGCATTATTAAGCTGGCTACCACCATAGAGAATTGTGGCTTGGTCCCACAGAGGTCTTCTAAAATAACATGTAGACTGGACTTCAGGGTTTGTTCAGACCAAGGAACAGAAGAAAGGAACATTTGTCTGCCAGTCCTGCCCTCCATTAGATAAGGTTGTCCTAGGGATGTTAACTCTTGCACTTCCAGTATTACGGATGGATGATATGACTGAGCACATTTCCAAAGGTGTCCCACAGAGAGCAGCAGAGATGGCCCAAACTAGAAAGCAATAAATGCATGGAAACAAACTTTAGTGGGCTACACTTTGATACATATTTATTTGTTGTAGCACCAACAAAAGCAGAGATAGGCTGAGAGAATAAGAAGCAAGTCTGTGATTTCTAACACATTGCCCAGCCAACTTTTACTCAGGTTCCACTGGTAAGGTCTATACCTTGGCCCATTATATAACTACAAAGGTGGTAGGGAGTAGGGACAAAAGAGAGCCAAGGACCTGCCATCCGTAATGTTGGATCAATAGATAAGACATAAGACTAAAAAAAAGTAATTAAAAGATTATTTAAGCAAAATATAGGTATGTTAGAGATACAGAGATAAATTACAAAAGAAAGAGATAAAGGTATTGAAAAGAATTTGTCTTTGTAGAGCAGGAAATGGGGATGGGGATATAGAACATTGTTTATTTTTTTATGTCCTAGTCTTTGACTTCTCAAACAAAGTTCATATTTCAATTTAAAAAATGAAATCTAAAACTTGTATATGGAAACTACCAGACACTATGAAACTTAAATAATTCATACACTTTATGCCTTCAGATGTCATGGGTGGCCCTTGAAATGTCTGCTCATTGATAAGAAGAGCAGAGTAAGGGACAACTACTAGAGTGTAGTGCCTCATTTGTAGCAGAGTTAACAGGTGCTTAAGAAATGGAAAGAGAGAAGGAAACAAGAGAGAAATGAGGAAAGATAACTCTTAGAATAGAAAACCCTGAGTAGCACTGCTATAATGAGTAACTCACCCTTATGGCTCAGTGAAAAGCTACCCAAACACAGCAAAATCATCCTGGAGCTTCCAGTTACAGGGCTTCACTATGAAATATTTCCAACATGGTCACAACAAAGACTAGATGGAAAAACTTGGCCTGACTTAGTCGTATCATTCTGTTCCTGTTTGTAGGTGGATAAAATTAAATAATGGTATAATTTTAGAGTCTAAAATATCAAGGTTGTACTAGGTACATAAAGAGCTCCACTGGTAAATACTTATTGTCCCAGACAACAGAATAGCAAACAATCATCCTGCTAGATCTTAGTTATTTACTCCTCAAATGCTGCTATATAAACTCTTTAGTAAACATTAGATGAAAAGTGTAAAATATGACAATTCTCTCCAGTAAAAACAGTAAATGAATTTCTGAATTAAATATACTTGACTATAAACTCCTTTAATACAATATGTTAAATATCATCTTTGTGTCGCTAGTGCTTACTAGGATGTCTTGCATGTAGGAGGTACTTTATAAATTACTGTTGAAGTGAATTAAACTGTATTAAATAGTGGAATTTATTTGGCATGGTTCCCAGTTATTCTAACCCATATCTACCCTTGGCTTTATTTATCTCTTACACTTGCGTGCATACTGGTGAGTTTTTTGAATCCCTTATTGCAAAACTCTGTGATGAGGGAGAAGAGAAAGAAGAAAAGGAAGGAGGTAGGTGGAAGGAAGAAAGAGAGAGAAAGGAGAATGTGGAAGGAAGAGGATGGAATAAAAGGGAATTGAAGATTTGAACTGGGTCTTTTAGAAAGACATGGCAGTAAGAGACAATGGAACAAGGGTGATTAAAATTGCTCTCTCAACATTTCTCAACCAGTGGATTGAACCACAGTATTTCTTTTCACTCTTACAACTTTTCCTTTTTTAAAACAACTTCTCAACACCTTCAAATTTTCCCCACCACTCCATATTCATTTTGAAAAATTTTTTTCATGGAAAGATTTTTACCTAAAACATTTTTTTCAAACCCAATTCTATTCTTTAAATTTCAATATGTCGATCTCCCAATTTTCTTCCTTATTTTTCTTATTCTTGACATGAAACTGATATCAAAGAGGTTGGTGTATTAGTCAGTTTTTGCACTGCTATAAAGAAATACCTGAGACTGGGTAATTTTTAAAAGAAAGAGGTTTAATTGACTCACCATTCCACATGGCTGGAGAGGCCTCAGGAAACTTACAATCATGGTGGAAGGTGAAGGGGAACAAGGCACCTTCTTCACAAGACAGCAGGAGGGAGAGTGCCGTGAAGGGGTATCTTCCAAACACTTATAAAACCATCAGCTCTCATGAGAACTCCTTCACTATCACAAGAACAGCGTGCGGGAATGGCCCCCAGGATCCAATCACTTCCCTATAGGTCCTCCCTCAATACGTGGGGATTATGGGGATTACAATTCAAGAAGAGATTTGGGTGGGGACACAGAGCCAAACCATATCAGTTGGTTTAGGTGCCACAGAAAGCAAGGCTTTATTTTCCAAGACTGATTGACTAGATTAAAATGTCACAGGCCAGCATGGTGGTTCACACTTGTAATCCCAGCAGTATGGGAGGCCAAGACAGGCAGATCACTTGAAGTCAGGAGTTCAAGACCAGCCTGGCCAACATGGTGATATCCCACTTCTACTAAAAATATAAAGATTAGCCAGGTGCAGTGGTGTGTACCTGTAGTCCCAGCTGCTCAGGATGCTGAGGTGGAAGAATCGCTTCAACTTGGGCAGCAGAACTTACAGTGAGCTGAGATCACACCACTGCACTCCAGCTTGAGCGACAGAGCAAGATTCTGTTTCAAAAAAAAAAAAAAAAGTTATGGTCAGCAAAGCTAAACACAATTCAGCAATAAAATACTCTGAGCTAAAAAGGACTAGGTTTTAGATGATTGAAGCATATTACGTTGAATTGGATTTTAATGTTTTTTCTATTTTTAATATTTGTCAATCTGTAGTAAAGAACGATTCAAATTTTGATGCCACAAGTGGGACTGGGTCCTTGGAGAAATTCAAGTTGACAGAAACAAAAATGATTCCAGAATAGTGGAATGAGTACAAATATGACATTCCAAAGGAGCTGAAGTTATATATGTGTTAAAAAAGAAAGGGGAAGAAACACATAGGAAAATTTTAGTCTTTCAGATATTACTGGATAAGGCAGGACTGATGGTGGGTAATTATTTTTTGTTCCAATTAAGAAAATAACAAGTGGTAATAATCTTTAGTATCAAGCAAAATGATACAAATTTGAAGGAATATCTTCACTCTAAGTTTAGTGAAACTAGACTTTTTTTTTTTAAACTATATCAAAGCCATCAGGTCTGTCTCAAATAAAAGGATGTCTTCTGGTGAAATTGTGTCACAAATGTGCAAGGAACTAAACTTACTTTTGGGTCACAATTCTGTTTTCATATTCCATAGCCTCTGAAAAAAGTATGTTAGCCTGTGGTTTTCTTATTTAGCCATGCTATATAGAAATCTGCCTTCCTATAGACTGAGGAATGTCGTCTTGAGAAAGTAATCTTGGTATCCAGCTAAGTCACTGCATCCAGCTGAAAAAGGCATAATTTTGGAACAGTGAATTTTATAAATCCAATCTCTTTCATTTTCAGGCTGGTTAGCCAATTCATAGCTTAAGTTCTCAAGGATACTCTATCTTGCTAAGTTCCAGGCATAATTCCAGTCTGACAACTGGAATTACTGACAACTGAAGCTTGAGTTACATGTACCCCTGAGTTTTGTACCCAAGATATCTTTTAGAAAGCCTCCTTTCAGTCAGTTTTCTTACTTGAATCTTCCACCACAGTCATTATCTTCCTGTTCACACATAGAGATCATCATCATATTCATCTACTTTTGTTCTTTTCTGTTTTAATGCTGGATAGGCTTATAAAATTGACATTCAGAAACCCAAATTTTTATCAGCATGCTTTAGATAATTCAACAGACGGAGAACAATTTACAATCAATGGGAAAGCAGGAAAATTCATCAGAATAGTTGGCATTCTTCAAGTCTCCATCTTAGGCCCTCTTGTTTTCTATTTGTTTGTTTGTTACCAGATTTAATAAGGTATAATTTAATTGACAAACAAAATTGCACACATTTTGGGTGTATGTACTACTTTGATATATGTATATATTGTGAAATGATTACCACATTCAAGTTATTTAACACATCCATCACCTCACATTGTTACCAATTTTATTTTTTGTATTGAGAGCATTTAAGATGTACTCTCACAAATTTCAATTACACTCTACAGCCTTCTTAACTATAGTCACCATGCTGTGCATTAGATTCCTGGAACTTATTCTCTCATAATTGACTATTTGTATATTTTAACCAACATCTCCTCATTTCTCCCACCCTCTAGACTCTGGCAACCACCATTCTACTCTCTCTTTTCTGAGTTTGCACTTTTTAGATTTCACATATAAGTGAGATCATACAGAATTTGTCTTGCTCTGGCTGACTTATTTCAGTTAGCATAAGGTGCTCCAGGTTCATCTACATTGTGGCAAATGGCAGGATTTCCTTCTATTTCATGCCGAATAACATTATATTATATATACACACACACCCACACACACACACACACACACACACACTATGCATACTATATATATAACATTACTACATATATTATGTTTATATTATATATAACATTACATTCTACATATAGTATATATAGTAATATTATAATGTTATACATATAATAATACAATACTATATGTGTGTGTATACATATGTTTATAACATTTTCTTTATTCATTCATCCATCAATGGCTACTTTGGTTGTTTCCATGTCTTGGTTATTCTGAATAATGCTACAGTGAACATGGGAGTGAAGATATCTTTTCAACATATGGATTTTGTTTCCTCCAGATATATACCAAGAAATGAAATTGCTGGATCATATGGTAGTTATGTTTTTATTTTTTAAGGAAGTCCTATACTGTTATAAATAACACCAGTACCAACTTAAACTCCCATCATCAATGCACAAAAGTTCCCTTTAACCTACATCCTCCTAATAAATCTTATCTCTTACTTTTCAACAACAAGTGTGAGGTGCTATCTCATGATGGCTTTGATTCAAATGTTCCTGATGATTAGTGATGTTGAGCACCTGTTCACATACCTGTTGATCATTTTTATGTCTTCTTTTGAAAAATGTCTGCATAGGTCTTTTGCCCATTTTTAAATCAAATTATTACTATTACTATTATCACTATTGAGTTGTATGAGTTCCTTATATATTTTGGATATTAGTCTCTCATCACATATATGGTTTGCAAATATTTTCTCTCAATCCATAGGTTGCCTTTTCATTTTGGTTTTATTTGCTGTACAAAGTTTTTAATTTTTTTATTTTTTCATTGAGGTAAAATATACACATATAATTTACCATCTTTACGCTTTTAATCGTACAGTTCAGTGGTAATAAAGATATTTATATTCCCTTTTTTCTCCCTTCATCCCTGACTCCCTTCTCTTTCCGGGCCTCTGGTAACCACCAGTTTACTCTCTATCTTCGTTAAATCCACTTTTTAAACTCTGGCATATGAGTGAGAACATGTGATATTCATCTTTCTGTACCTGACATATTTTTTCTACTTTTATTTTAGATTCAGGGAGTACATAGGCAGGTTTATTACAAGGGTATATTGTGTCATGCTGAGGTTTGGGGTAGGATTGAACCTGTCATACACATAGTGGACATAGTACCCAATAATAGGTATTTTTCAACACTTGCCCCCCTCTCCCCTTTTCCCTCTTGTAGTCTCCAGTGCTTGTTGCTCCCATCTTTATGTCCACATGTACCCAATGGTTAGCTCCCACTTATAAGTAAGAACATGTGTTATTTGGTTTTCTGTTTCTGTGGTAATTCACTTAGGATAATGGCCTCCAGCTGTATTCATGTTGCTGCAAAGGACATTAGTTCATTCTTTTTTATGGCTGTGTAGTATTCCATGGTGTATATATACATTTTCTCTATCCAATCCACCATCTGTTTACTCTGTTGATAGTTTCTTTTGTTGTGCAGAAGCTCTTTAGTTTAATTAGGTCCCACTTGTCAATTTTTGGTTTTGTTGCAATTATTTTTGAGGACTTAGCCATGAATTCCTTGGCAAGGCCAATGTCAAGACAGCGATTTTCTTGGCTTTCTTCTAGGATTTTTTTTCCCTTCGACTTTTATTTTAAGTTCCAGAGTACATATGCAGGATGTGCAGGTTTGTTACATAGGTAAACGTGTGCCATGGTGGTTTGCTGCACAAATCAACCATTCACCCAGGTATTAAGTCCAGCATCCATTAGCTATCCTTCCCAATGTTTTTCTTCCCTTAACTCCACCCCTGTCAGGAGCCCCAGTGTATGTAGTTCCCCACCATTTGTCCATGTTTTCTCATCGTTCAGCTCCCACTTATAAGTGAGAACATGTGGTGTTTGGTTCTCTGTCCCTGCATTAGTTTGCTGAAGATAATGGCTTCCAGTTTCATCCATGTCCCTGCAAAGGACATAATTTTGTTCCTTTTTATGGCTGCGTAGTATTCCATGGTGTATATGTACCACATTTTCTTTATCCAGTCTATCATTGATGGAAATTTGGGTTGATTCCATGTCTTTGCTATTGTGAATAGTGTTGCAATGAACATATGCATGCATGTATCTTTATAATAAAATAATTTATATCCCCTTGGGCATATACTCAGTGGTGGGATTGCTGGGCCAAATGTTATTTCTGCCGCTGGATCTTTGAAGAATCACTATGCTCCCTTCCACCATGATTGAACTAATTTACACTCCCACCAACCATGTAAAAACATTCCCTTTCCTCCACAACCTTACCAGCATCTGTGGACTGAACTCTGTGCTTGAGCAATACCATTGGCAGGGATGTGGTGCCACTGCCAAAATTTGTGTGCTGGTCACTGTGAGCTTTACCCCTCTTTTGTGTTCATAATGGGCCTCAGGTGGTCTAGCCCTGCCAATTCCCTTCATGTTGCCCAGGCAATAAATAAATTAGCCTCCTGGAAGTGATGTGGAATGCTGAGGAAGCTGAATGTCTGCCTTAGGCCCTTTTTCCTACTGTTGAAACAGTAGGCCCAAGGAAACCCTCTTGGTGTGGCATTGTGTCAGCCTGAAAGAGGAGCAACATGGTCAAAGTGAAACTCTTTGCCCCTGTAATGTAGCTTTCCTCGGTGTCAGTGGGCCAATGGGATTCTTATGCCTCACCCTTGGCTGAGGGATTTTCACAAAGGCATTCTTGTCTGTAGATATTTGCCAGTTAGTATTTCTGTGAGGGATAGTAGAGGCAGCCATCTTGCTGATGTCACTCCCACTCAGATCTTCTTTTTATTCTGCTCAAGTTACATGACTGATCTTATCTGCTCTGATGGCCTGATTGCTTATTCAGTGATGATTCTCAAATCTGTATCTTCAACCCATACTTATCTCCTAAGTTCCTGATTTGAACATTCAACTGTATATTTCTACCACATCTCAAATCCAACTTGTCCAAATTTAAGTGATTTAGCTCCATCCTCTTCTCCATAATTTGCTTCACCTTCTGTGTCTTCTACCTAAAGAAATGTCCCAGCCTTCTCTATCTAGTAGTTTAATGTAAAAACTTGGTATTCATCTTGCATTCCTCATTTCCTTTTTTCCCACCTATATAAAAATAATCAAGACCTTTATCAATTATACCTCCTTAATTGCTCTCAAATACATTTTCTTCTCCCCATCCTCAGCATTATTAATTTAAATAATTATTGCAACAGTCATCACTAGGACTCTCTGCCTTCAGATATGCCTGTACCAATCCATTCGTGTCCTGACACCATTCATTTATTCAACAAATAATTTCTAGGGTCCTACTATGTGCCTTGCTCTGCCCTTGACTCTGACCTTTACACTGAATTCAGTGTGATCTACTAAAATGCAAATTTAGTCAAATGATTGTCTTATTTCAAATACTTTCTTGTTTCTCCAGAACCTAGAGTCTTTAGAATAAAACTGAAGTTCCATAATATAGTTTACTGGGCCTATGTATCATGGCCCCTGTCTACCTTGTCATTGTTATTTTTTTTGACATTCCCCTTTATCCCTATTCCGACTCTGTTTTTCCACAATATTTAACCATTTGCAATTCCCCCACTGCTCCCTCACCTCCTGGCATAGGTTCTGGCTGCTGCCCAGAGTGCCCATTTCTTCTGCTTCAATGCCTAATTCACAATTGCCCTTCAATACTCACTGCTGATATTTTCTCCTCTGAAAATCTTTCTTTGACTCTGTCCTACTGCCGTATCTGACTTAGGCACTTTTCATCTACTTGCTCCCATATGTCCAGTAATTTTGTGGTGGTTGATCTCGTGTGTCAACTTGACTGAGCTAAGGGATGCCAGATAGCTAGAAAAACACGATTTCTGATTGTGTATTTAAGGATATTTCAAGAAGAGATTAGCGTTTGAATTGATAGACTGAGTAAAGATCACCCTCACCAATGTTGGCAAGCATCATTCAATCCATTGAGGTCCCACTCAAATAGAACAAAAGTCTGAGAAGATGCAAATTCTCTCTTTCTCTCTTTGTGATCTGGGTCATCCATTTTCTCCTGCTCTTGGATATTAGAGTTCCTGGTTCTAAGGCCTTTGAACTCAGATTTTCACCAGGAACCCCCACAAGTCCTGGTTCTTACGCTTTCAGTTCTCCTCATTCTCAGCCTTTCAAAGTCAGACTGAATTACACTACTGGTATTTTTGGCTCTAAAGCTTGCAGACAGCATATCATGGAAATTGTTGACTTCCATAATCACATGAGCCAATTTTCATAATAAATCTCCTCTTATATATCTGCATATATCTTGTTGGTTCTGCTTCTCTGGAGAACTCTGAGTAATAAAATTTACCTCTGATACATCTCCTTTACCATGCTATTTGTATTTGTCAGTTTGCATGCCTATCAATTCCCCTAGATAGTGAGGTCTATATGGGAGCATGGTTTATTTGTTTTAGCATCCCTGGTGCTTAGCACATGGTAGGTGCTTAATAAATATTTATTTGTCAAATTCTTGGATAGTTGGAAGGATGTTTTTAGAGATTGTGAATATACCTCTTCTCTTTAAAAGGAAAAATGCTACTTTCGGGGATAGTTTGATATCAGTGAGAGATGTGAGCAAAAGTAGAGAGAAAAAATGAAGCCATTTAAGATTTCTCATCTTTTTTAATTAGAAAGGAAGTCACAATGTTCTTGTGAAAGAGGAGGAAGGTCTGAAACAAGCAGAAAATGCAAGGCATGGATGTTGTTGTAGCCTGAGGGGGAGATGATATTGATGTTGTTATTGCTTCATATATACTGAGAATGAAAGCAAGTGATTAAGTTATGAGGGAGAGTCAAAAACTTTACCCAGCTTATGATAGGTGCCCCCCAGAAAGCTGACTACAGTTTTCTGCTATATTAAGTTGGCATAGCTGAGCACAATGCACCTGTTTTTTACTTCCTGCCATGACTAATGATTTGCTTTTTACATTCTGGAGACTGCCATTCCATAGAGGCACCTGATTAAGTGAGCAATAAACAAAATGAGATAATGATACAGCATGCAAATGAGTCACTAAGAATTCAACCAAACCACAGTTCAAACCTTAGGAAAATTATTTGCGACAACCCATATTTATGAGGAAATGGGGAGGGATAGGAAGCATAATGTAATCAGTGTTCAATGTGATTGTGTTAGTTTAGACAGGAAAGTCTTACTGAGGATATCAGAAATTTCATTAAATTCAGTATAATGTCTGTCTACCATGTTGATTTTAGTCAACTGATTTTCTATAAAGCTCTAAAACCATGGAGCTGAAACAGGCTTCTGAGATATCCTGATCCAACTCTCTCATTTTACAGGTGAGGAAACCAAAGCCTAAAAAATACTTAAAAAGTGTTTATTTGAAAATTATTTTGCATGCTGTCCTTCTGTGGTCTAGATTAGCACAAAATATGTTCTTACATTTCAAATAATTTGATCTTAGTTTAGCTAGATAGGACATCCCAGTTTACAAAACCTCTCAACTCAGGAGTCACTGTTTTCTTTGGCTGCATTTCCAAGCCACCACTTTAATAGTTGTAACAACTTTAGAGATATATATATATATATATATATAATCTGATATATATATCAGATTAAATAGTGAGGTGCTTCATGTGTATTTGCACGCATGTGTGTGTACAAATCAGTACGTTTAATATATATGGTAATTTTTCTTGTCTTTGAGGGACTCTTTACCTTCAATGCCTTAACCTGGTTAGCTTTTTTTATTTGGAAGGAATGGCCAAAAAGAAAGGAGTTTGCAGATAAACGTATGAATCTGTGAGGGCCACAGTAAAATTAACTCTAGCATAAAGTTTTCAGAAAACTAAGTTATAGCCTTTCCATAACTCCTAAGAAATAGCTGCAATCTCAACAAAGAATATGTTGGGGTCAGAAATCAATGTATGTAGTTATTAAAAATAATTTCAGTCATGCTCTTCTTCCCTTGGACTGTAGCAATACACTTACAGGTAACTGAGAAATAAATGCCCATTTTTAAATTTTCTTCTTCTTTTTTAAAACGTAGGCTGAGGAGAAGAATCCAGGCTGACTCTTCCTAGATTAGAGCACCCAGGAAATCAAGTGCCTAGAGTTAGTGGGATATACAAAGCTCATCCTGACTGGCAATGAGCTTCAGGAAGCTGCTCAAGCCAGAAAAGGCTATTTGAACTTCAGATTATGCTGTCTGTCCATGTAGTTTCTTTTCTACTGAATCTAGAGAATTTTTCCCAATTTTGGCAATCAGTTTATAGTATGGACTTCCGCCCAGGAAAGCTGGATGGCTACCAACTCCTGCTTCACAGACAGCCATCTACAGTTCTGAGAAGCTGTAGCTCAGTCATTGATATAGTTTGGATGCTTGGCCCATCCTCATCTCATGTGGAAATGTGATCCCCAATGTTGGAGTTGAGGGCCAGTGGCAGGTGTTTAGGTCTTGGGGGCAGATCCCTCATAAATGGCTTGGTGATTTCCTCACAATAATGAGTGAGTTCTCACTGTTGTAGTTCCTCTGAGATCTTATTGTTTAAAAGAGTCTGGCCCCTCTTCCTCTCACTTGCTTCGTCTCTCACCATGTGACACTCCAGCTCTTCCTTCACTGTCCACCATGACTATAAGTTCCCTGAGGCCCTCACTAGAAGCAGATGCTGGCACCATGTTTCCTGTACAGCCTGCAAAACTGCAAACCAAAATAAACCTCTTTTCTTTATAAATTACCCAGCCTTAAGCATTTCTTTACAGCAATGCAAACTGGCCTAATACAGTCATGAACCCCACAAAGTAAAGTTTGAAAGAAAGTTTCACATGAAGTAAAGTATTCCTGGAAAAAGTTACCAATGGATGTCTAAAAAATATGGACTACCAGATGACTTTGACAAGCTGGGTCAATTCTAGAAAAACACTGGGGAGAAAACAAGGTAGGGTGGTGCAGGGAGAGGTGAGGTTTGCTTTGATTCCCTCCTAGTTCTGACATTTTGCCATTACTCATTTTTGATAATGTGATAAAATAATTTTTAAAAGTGTATTAAGCTTCAACTATATGCAAAGTGTGCTAGACACTGCATGTAGCTCTAAAGAGGTATAAAAATAAATGCCACACTCAGAAGGCTTATTACACAGTTGGATAAAAAAGACAAGAAGGCAAGCAAAGAAGAATGTGATAAATACCAAATGAATTCTACAGAATAAAGGTAAGTGTTTTATTGGCTGAGATAATTTATGGAAGATTGAGCATTTCAGGAAGAGAACCATAGTACTTGAGCTGAAATTTAAAGATAGTGTGGTAGAGATGTTGATTGCCATTCAATAGCTGTTCTCTTCTTTTTCCTAAGAAAGCTCATTTCTCTCTCTCTCTCTCTTTCTCTCTCTCTCTCTCTTTCTCTCTCTCTCTGTCTCTCTCTCTGTCTCTCTCTCTCTCTCTCTCTCTCTCTCTCTCTCTCTCTCTCTCTCTCTATATATATATATATATATATATATATATATATATATATATATATATATATATATATAGTGGAGATGGAGTCTCTTTATGTTGCCCAGGCTGGTCTTGAACTGTTGGGCTCAAAGGATCCTCCTGCCTCAGCTTCCCAGTATGGTGGGATGACACAGTGAGCCACTACACCTGGCCACTCTGATTCTATTTGCATGGAAAACAAATTTTAAAATAACATTTCCCAATATGCCATACACCTAGTTATGGCCATATGATTAGGTTTTGACCAATAATATGTAGGCAAAAGTGTTGTGTGGACAACTGGTAAGGCTTTTTAAAAGGACATGAATCAGCAGGCAGAGGCACCAATTTTATACTTTCACCCTTTCTGGTTTTTTTGACCGGGAACTTTAATGTGATATCTGAGCTGTAGCAGCCATTTTTAATCAGATGGTAATCTGAAGGACAGAAATCACATTCTAGGAGAGTGAAGAAAACTAAGAGCAGGCAAACTTTATGGCTATGGAAAGGTGAAAAGATCTATGAATACGCTTGCCCCCAAGAAGTACAAAATTCAATAAAATTGTCTAAAATGATCATTTTGGAGGCAATGGAAATTGGCCACCGACAAAAAATTAATTGAGAGTCATTTATTACTAAGATTTTTTAACTTATTTATGAAGGTAAAAAGAGTGATGATCTGTGGCTTTTGCCTCTAGGCAAAATTCTCATTCCACCACTACTTGTACCCTCCTTCCTGCACCCTACCTCCTATTTTTTTCAACAAGAATGTTATTTTTACCCCTATAGAGCTGGCCAGAGAAACTATCAACCTTTCTGCCAAAGGAAATTGACTTCATTTAGGTCAGTGGGCAAAAATCCATGACAGCATTGACAGTAATCAGCAAACTTGAAAGGAAACAAAGAAAACCCATGGCTCTGAAAACTCGAGGCTTCAATCCCATTTCACATAAGCAATGTCCAGCCAGAAACAAAATGAGGAGATTATGAACACGAGAGTGCCAGAGAAGGGCTAGATAAACTCTCCATATCCCTGGTTGATTAAAAAACTATACACACACAAAGAGGAGATCTAAGGGAGTCAAGATGAAAGTGAAAGTCAAGATGAAATTGAGAGCTAGCTGAACTTTGCATGTTCATGTAACACTCCCCCAAGCACACATAGAAGCTCAAGTTGTTTAAGAACAAATACTGTTGCAAACATTAGCTGAATGCAAAGCTGTGCAGACAATGGAACAAGCACTAAAATAGCCAGGTTTAACACAACAACAATAAACAAACAAAAATAGCAAAGACATCAGCAACAAAACACTAAAGTTTAAGTCCTGAAAAGCTACTTATTACAAAATGCTCAGGCCCAGCATGGGGGCATGCAACTGTAGTCTTAGCTACTGGGGAGGCTGAGGCAAGAGAATTGCTTGAGCCCAGGAATTTAAGTCCAGTCTAGGCAATATGGTGAGTCTCCGTCTCTAAACTTAAAAAAATAAATCAATTAAAAAAGAATGCTAAGAAAAAAAAAAGCCAAAGTTGCTAGAAGGCCTTGTGTAAACATTTCAAATTTAAACAATAACAAAAATATACCAGCACATATCCTTTTTTTTGCACTTAACTTTATTGCACTTGGCAGATATTCAATTTTTTAAAAATTGAAGGTCTGCGGCAACCTTGAGTCAAACAAGTCTATTGGCACCATTTATTCCATAGCATGTGTTCACTTTGTGTCTCTATGTCATATTCTGGTAATTCTCTCAATATTTCAAACTTTTTCATTATTATTTTATCTGTTATATTTATCTCTGATCAGCAATCTTTGATGTTACCATTGTAATGTTTGAGGCATCACAAATCACACCCATATAAGACAATGAACTTAATAAATGTTGTGTGTGTTCTGACTGTTCCCCCCTCTCTCTCCCTCTCCCCAAGCTTCCTTATTCCTTGAGATTTAACAGTATTGAAATGAGGTCTATAATAACCCTACAATGGCCTGTAAGTGTCCAACCAAAATGAAGAGTTGCACATCTCTCACTTTAAATAAAAGGCTGAAAATGATTAGGCTTAGTGAGGAAGGCATGTCAAAAGCTGAGACAAACCAAAAGCTAGGCCTCTCGCAACAGTTAGCTAAGTTGTGAATGCAAAGGAAAAGCTCTTGAAGGAAATTAAAAGTGATACTTCAGTGAACACATGAGTGATAAGAAAGCAAAACAGGCATGTTGCTGATATGGAGAAGGTTTTAGCAGTCTGCATAGAAGATTAAACTAGCCACATTTCCTTAAGCCAAAGCCCACTTCAGAGCAAGACCTTAACTCTCTTCAACTCAGTGAAGGCTGAAAGAGGTGAGGAAGCTGCAGAAGAAATGTTTCAAATTGTAGAGGTTCGTTTATGAGGTTTAAGGAAAGAAGCCGCCCCTATAACATAAAAGTACAAGAGGAAGCAGCAAATGCTGACGTAGAAACTGCAATATTACTTATCCAGAATATCTACCTGAGATAACTTGTAAAGGTGGTTACACTAAACGACAAATTTTCAATGCAGATAAAACAGTCTTACACAGTATTTGAAGAAGATGCTATCTAAGATGCTATCATAGACTTTGCCTGACTTTAAAGCTTTAAAGGACAGGCTGACTCTCTTGTCAGGTGCAAATGCAGCTGGTGACTTTAACTTGGAGCTAATGCCCACTTACCATTCTGAAAATCCTAGAGCCCTTAAGAATAATGTTAGGTCTACTCTGTGCTCTATAAATGGAACAAAATCCAGATGACAGCACATCTGTTTACAGCATGGTTTGCTGAATATTTAAAAACCACTGTTGAGAACTATTACCCAGAAAAAAAATTCCTTTCCAAATATTACTACTCATTGAAAATGCACCTAGTCACCCAAGAGCTCTGTTGGAGATGTATAGATGATTAATATTTCATGCCTGCTAACACAACATTCATTCCACATCCCTTGGATCGAAGAGTAATTTTGACTCTCAAGACATATTATTTAAGAAATACATTTTGTAATGCCATAGCTTCCATAGATAATGATTCCTCTGATAGATCTGGGCAACATAAATTGAAAACTTTCTGAGAAGGATTCATCATTGTAGATGCCATTAAGAACATTTGCAATTCATAAGAGAACGTCAAAACATCAAAATTAAGAGAAGGTTGGGAGAAGTTGATTTCAGCTGTCATGAATGACTTTGAGGGATGTGAGACTTCACTGGAGGAAGAAACTGCAGATATGGTAGAAACTGTAAGAAAACTAGAATTAGATATATGAACCCTGAAGGTGTGACTGAATTGCTGCATTCTCATAACATTAATAAAGCTTGAACAGATGATGACTTGCTTCCTATGGATGACTTGCTTCTTATGGATAAGCAATGGAAGTTAGTTTTTTTGAGATGAAATCTACTCCTGGTGAAGATACTATAAACGTTTTTGAAATGTCAACCAATGATTTAGAATATTATTAGGTTGGTGCAAAAGTAATTGCGGTTTGGCCATTATATTCAATGGCAAAACCCACAACTACTTTTGCACTAACCTAATACATAAACTTTGTTGATAAGGTGGTGGTAGTACTCGAAAGGATTTAATTCAATTTCGATTAAAGTTCTATAGGTAAACTGGTATCAAACAACACTGCATGTTGTATAGAAATCTTTTGTGAAAACAGGAGTCAATTGAGGAAGCAAACTTCATCGTTGTCTTATCGTAAGAAACTTCCACAGTCACTCCAACATTCAGCAACCACCTCTCTGATCAGTCAGCAGCCATTATCATCAAGGCAAGACACTCCACCAGCAAAAATATTACTCTCTGAAGGCTTAGATGACTATTAAGCAATAAAACACTTTTCAGTTAAAGTATGTGCATTCTTTTTTAAAGACGTAATGCTATTGTACATTTAATAGCCTACACTATAGTATAAACATAACTTTTTAAAATTTTTAATTTTGAATTTTTTTGGGTACATAGTAGGCATATATCTGCATGAGATGTTTTGATACAGGTGTGCAATATGAAATAAACACATCATGAAGAATGGGTTATCCATACCTTCAAATATTTATCCATTGATTTGCAAACAATCCAATTGCACTTTCAAAGGTATTTTTAAATGTACAGTTATTATTGACTATAGTCATCTGTTGTGCTATCAAATAGTGGGTCTTAGTCATTCTTTCTATATTTTGTACCCTTTAACCATCTCCATATACTCCGCAACTCCGCACCACCCTTCCCAGCCTCTAGTAACTATCCTTCTACTCTCTATATCTATGAGTTCCAGTGTTTGATTTTTAGATCCCACAAATAAGTGAAAAAATGCAATGTTTGTCTTTCTGCATCTGGCTTATTTCACTTAACATAATGATCTCAAGTTCCATCTATGTTGTTGCAAATGATGGGATCTCATTCTTTTTTATTCCTGGACAGTCCTCCATTGTTTATATCTACCACATTTTCTTTCTCCATTCATTTGCTCATGGACACTTAGGTTGCTTCCAAATCTTAGCTACTGTGAACAGCATTGCAACAAATATAGGAGCACAGATATCTCTTCGATATACTGATTTCCTTTCTTTTGGATATATCCCCAGTAGTGGGGTTGCTGGATCATATGGTAGCTCAATTTTTAGTTTTTTGAGGAACTTCCAAACTGTTCTCCATAATGATTGTACCAATTTACATTCCCACCAACTGTGTACAAAGGTTCCCTTTTCTCCACAGCCTCGCCAGCATTTGTTATTGCCTGTTTTTTAAATACATGTCATTTTAACTGGGGTGAGATGATATCTAATTGTAGTTTTAATTTGCGTTTTTCTGATGATCAGTGATGTTGAGCACCTTTTCAATGTCTTCTTTTGAGAAATGTCTATTAAAATCTTTGGTCCATCTTTTGATCAGATTATTAGATTTTTTTCCTATAAAGTTGCTTGAGCTCCTTATATATTCTGCTGAATAATCCCTTGTCATGTGAGTAGTTTGCAAATATTTTCTCCCATTCTGTGGGTTGTCTCTTCACTTTGTTGATTGTATCCTTTGCTGTGCAGAAGCTTTTCAACTTGATGTGATCCTATTTTTCCATTCTTACTTTGGTTGCCTGTGCTTCTGGGGTGTTCCTCAAGACATTTTTGCCCAGACCAATGTCCTGGAGATTTTTCCAAATGTTTTCTTATAGTCCTTTCATGGTTTGAGGTCTTAGATTAAAATCTTCATTCATTTTGTTTGATTTTTGCATATGGCAAGAGATAGAAGCCTAGTTTCTTTCTTCTGCTTATAGATATCCAGTTTTCCCAGCACCATTTATTTAAAAGACTGTCTCTCCTCCAGCATATGTTCTTGGCATCTTTGTCAAAAATGAGTTCAGTGTAGTGTGTGGATTTCTTTCTGCATTCTGTATTCTGTTTCATTGGTCTATGTGTCTGCTTTTATGCTAGTACTATGCTGTTTTGGTTACTATAGCTCTGTAGTATAATTTGAAGTCAGGTAATGTGATTCTTCCAGTCTTGTTCTTTTTGCTTAGGGTGGCTTTGGCTATTCTGGGTCATTTGTGGTTCCATCTAAATTTTAAGATTGTTTCTTCTACATCTGTGAAGAATGTCATTGGTATTTTGATAGAAATTGCATTGAATCTATAGATAGCTTTGGATAGCATGGATATTTTAACAATATTGGTCCTTCTGATTCATGAACGTAGAACATTTTTCCATTTCTTAGGGTCTTCTTCAATTTCTTTCATCAGTGTTTTTATAGGGTTAATTATAGAGATCTTTCAATTCTTTGGTTAATCCCTAAGTATTTAATTTTATGTATAGCTATTGTAAATGGGATTACTTTTTTAAATTTCTTTTTCACATTGTTCACTGTTGGCATATAGAAATGTTACTGATTTTTGTATATTGATTTTGTATTCTGACACTTTGCTGAATTCGTTTCATCAGTTCTAATAGTTTTCTTGTAAAGTAGGCTTTTCCAAATATAAAATCATGTCATCTGAAAATAAGGATAATTTGACTTCTTCCTTTCCAATTTGGATGCCCTTTATATCATTCTCTTGTCTGATCACTCTAGCTAGAACTTCCATTACTCTGCTGAACAACAGTGGTGACAGTATTGTGTTCCAGTTCTTAAAGGAAAGGCTTTCAGTTTTTCCCATGCATTATGATACTAGCTGTGGGTCTGTCATACATGGCTTTCATTAAAATATAACTGTTATATACGCTGGGAAAAAATATTTGTATGACTCACTTTATTGTGATACTCCCTTTATTGTGGTGGTCTGGAACCGATCCTGCAATATCTGCAAGGTATATGCCTGTATGTTACATTTTCAAAGTAGCAAAGCTTACTTCTCAAGGGGAAAAAGCAGTCAATGAAAAACTGACTCTAAGTAGATCCAGATACAGGATCGAGCAGACAACACATTTCAAAAAGCCATTATAAATATATGCAAAGAATTAAAATGAACTATATTCAAAATATATGACAGTGACTTGACAAATAGAGAATTCAATACAGAAACAGAGTGTATACAAAAGAAGCAAGTACTGCTTGTGGACATGTAAAATGGTGTGGCCACTTTGGAAACAGCCTGGGAGTTCTTCAAAAGGTGAAACGAATTATCATATGACTAAGCATTTCTATTCTTAGGTATATATGCAACATAATTGAAAACGCATGTCTACATGAAAACTTGTTTACAAATATTGTTAACAACATTATTCATAATAGCTAAAAAGTAGAAACAATGCAAATGTTTATTAATTGATTAATGGATAAATAAAATGTGGTATATTCATATAATATTTTTCAACAATAAAAAGAAATAAAGTACTGAAACTTGCAGTAACATGGATGAATCTTGAAAACATTAAGCTAAGTAAGTCACCCATAAAAGAAACATATTAATTCCATTTATGGAATGGAATGAACAGAATGAACAAATGAACAATGTCCAGAATGAACAATCTGTAGAGACAGAAAGTAGATTTGTAGTTGTATAGGGTTGGAAAGAGCTGTTAGGGAATGGTTGCTTAAAGATACTGGATTTTTTTTTTGGTATAATAAAAATTTCTAAAATTGATTGCAGTAATGGCTGTCCAACTTTGTGAGTATATTAGATACCATAGAACTGTACACTTTAAATGAGTGAGCTATGGTATGTGAATCATATTTCAAAAAAACTTGCCAGCAAAGACTCAAATGGAAATTCTAAAATTGAAAAGTACAACAAGAAATGAAAACTGATTAGATGGGCTTAACAGCAAATTTGAGATGGCAAAAGAATCAGTGAACTTGAGGAGAAATTAATGGAAATTAATATAAAAAACAGTGAATAAAAAATGAAGGGAAATGAACAGCATACAAAATCTGTGGGATGACATCAGTCATATCAATATACATGTAAATGGTCAATCCCAAAGGGGTAAAGTCAGAAAAATCTGCAACTTGAAATAACATGCTTAAACTTATGAGAGATTGAGAGAAAATATTAAAAGTAGCAAGAGGAAAAATTGTTTATTACATACAGGGGACAAGGACATAATGATCACTCTCTCATCAGAAAGAATCAAGGCCAGAAAACAGTGGAATGGTATATCGAAAGGCTTAAAGTATAACAAAAACACTTGCTGGCAAGAATTCTATGTCCAGCAAAACTATTCTTCAAAAATAAATGCAAATGAACATATTTCTAGTTACTTGCTTTTTGAAAATAATTTGCTATTAGGAGATTTTTACTACAAGAAAAAAATTAAATTTTTTTTAGGCTGAAAGAAAATTGTACCAGTTACTTGAATCCACAGGAAGAAATAAGAAGCATCAGATATAATATGTGGGTAAACTTTTTTAAGTATAAAAATATTTTTATCTATTCTCTTACTTTCTCTCAAATGCATAACACTGAATAAAGCAATAAATATAAAACTGCTTATATATAGATGTACAGCTATAACACAACAATCAAAGGGGAGAATAATATAGGACTACACTGGAACAAAACTATTATATTTTACCAGAATTGGCCTGAAATAGATTGTAACAATCTATTGTATTCCTCAGAACAATTACTAAGAGAATAACTTTTAAAACATAGTTAATAATGAGCAGAGGAATCTAATGGTACACACAAATAATATCTAACACAGAAGAAGGCAGAAAATGAAGAATAGAGGATTAAAAGAAACGCAAGACATTTAGAATGAAAAGAAAAATGGTAGATGTAAATACAACATATCCATAGCTACATTAAATATGAATGAATGGAACATCCCAATCAAAAGGTGAAATTGTTAGGCTGGGTTAAAAAAATCATAACCAAAGTAAATATGTTCTATAACAGGCACATTGAGATTTAAAGACAAGAGAGAAAAAGTTAAATGATGGAAAAATGTATACCATGCAAACCATAAATATTAGAAAGCTGCAATGGCTAAATTAATAGCAAATTAAATAGAATTTAAGACAAGAAACATTACTCAAGGCAGACAAATAAGGAAATTTAATAATAATGAAGGAGTCAATACTTCAGTAATACTTGAAATTATAAATGTACCTAACAAAAGAAACTCATGATTACAAAGCAAAAACAACAGATTTAAATGGATAAATTATCCATTTATCTTCAACAATTATATGGTTGGAGATTTCAATACTACTTTCAGTAATTCATAAAACAACTATAAATATAATCGATAAGGATATAGAAGACTTGAATAGTAGTATCAGATTTCTTGACCCAACATTTACAGACTCTGTATCCAACAACATCAGTGCACACATTATTGTCTAGCCCACATAGAACACTCTAAGATCAAATGTTAGGCCATAAAAAAACTCAATTAATTTAAAGGATTGAAATCATACAAAATATTTCTTTACTATAAAAAATTTAAATTAGAAATTAGCAACATAAATACATTTAGAAAATCCCCAAATATTTGAAAATCAACACGCTTCTAAGTAGTCAATAAGTCAAAGAAGAAATCACAAGGGGAATTAGGAAATCTCTTGAACTGAATGGAAACAAAAACACAAATGACAAACTTATGGAATTATTCTGTGCCAAGGGCTTAATTTTTAAAGGTGCCTAAGTACATGAAAAGATGAATGCCACTGAAAGAAAAGTTGAGTGTTACTCACAGTTCCCCTAGAAATGAGAGTCATGGCTTGCTACAAATGGCTACAGAAGGAACACCAACTTTTGGTCAGGAAGCAGAAGCAGAAATGAGGGGAAGGTATTAGGCCAGAGCCTTTGTTGGGGTTTCTGCAGGAAAGGCAAGGCAAGGCAAGGCGAATGATCTAGGATTGGCTCATTTGAATATTTTAATGAACTCTTAACCATAGGAAGCCCCTGGTTGCCCCGTACCTGGCCTTGGGATGATTAAAGTAGATAAATATTGTCTCCTGAGATGTAAGGGCAGATAGAAGGCATATGGTTCCAGATTGGTTAGTTTGCATATGAAGGGCGTACTCCAAGCTGAGCCCTTGCTATCTATAGAGTTAAGCTACCCCTGCTGAGGAGCAGTATCTCCCCAACTGCAAAGATTTTTTAAGATGTGAAAGCATCATAATATACAGCAAATTAAAAGTACATACTATACAGTCGTGCAGCTAATTTTTTGCTTAAAGTGTATAGTGTTAAAGCTTTATATTGGAAAGAAAGATTTTAACATTTTCCACTCTAAGAGCATAGAAAAACAAGAGAAAAATTAAACCAAAATTAAGTAGAGTGTAGGAAATCATAGAGATAAGAACAGAAACCAATTATGTAGAAAACAAAAAAAGGGAAGGAAACAATCAAACTAAAATATTATTCTTTTATTAACAAAATTGATAATAAAACTTTAGCCACTCTGACAAGAAAAACAGAAAAAAAAAAACAAATGACCAAAATCAGGAAAAAAAAATTAAAAAAGGAAATGACACTAGGGAACCTATCAAAATTCAGAGGATGAGATGGGAATATTATAACTAGCTTCGTGCCGACATGTATAAAGGCATGCCAATGCAAACACAGCTGGCATTACGTCACTTAATGCCTTTGGATTTCAGTTCTAATTTCTAAATTAAACAAGCAATGTGTCTTTAATATCACATAAATATAATTTGAGGAATCTAAAGTTTTTTGGTCATGATTTCTCCTAGCAGGATCTCTGCCTCTTGCACTTTAAGTGATGGGAAGACTAAAGACTAGGGCAACAGAGTCTTGTTTTCTTCTTGGTTTTTTGGGTTTTTTTTTCCCCCGTGAGTAAAGAAACAACCAGAGTCTCAAAAGCTATGAACATCACAGACCCTTTAAAACCCAAATCCAAGGATATAACATTGCCTCTGACTCAGGTAACACCAGCTCCAGGAAGATGATCAAACTATCTCACACGTAAGAGTTTTCACTCATCAAAGACATTCACCATTTATGAACTCATTTTTTCCCTCATCTTACAGTCTCTACAAGGCAGACCCACAGATAAGCTAGAGCTTACTTCTCTGAGGTATCCTTACACATAAGATCACAATATATGAAAGGAGCACAAGAATAAGTGGAGAATCTGCAACCTTTCAAGATTAAAAGACTAGACCCGTGGTTTCCTAAACTGTGGTGTTAATCAATCACAAAAGACTTATCAAAATAGAGAACAAGTATTTACATGTTTTCAATATAAAGTCAGAATTTCCTCCTCCATCATCCTCACTTTATGTGAGAAAACTTTTTAACATTAAAAATAAGGCATAGTCTCATAATACTCATAAATTGAATTCACTTTACAAATAAAAAATTCACATATTATCCATAATTTTACTTTGATACAGACCCAGCAACAAGCTTTCAAAGATCAGAAGTTTACGCATAAATGTTGGTATTGTTCCAGATTTTAGAAATTTTATTCTAGAGCAATATTTCCCCAAAATGATTTTGAGTGGTACATGAAATGATCTTGGGTGGTGTCTTAATTTATTTTGTGTTGCTATAAAGTAATATCTGAGGCTGGGTAACTTATAAAGAAAAAATATATATTTGGCTCATAATTCTGTAGCTGGAAAGTTCAAGATTGGAAATCTGCATCTGGTGAAGAGTTCCCAGACTTTTGCTCAGCCTGTTCCCACTCATGGTATAAGGTAAAGGAGAGTCAATGTGTGCAGAGATCACACGGCAACAGAGGAAGCAAGAAAGAGCATGGAAAGTGCCAGACTTCTTTAAACAACCAACTCTAGCAGGAAATAATAGAGTGAGAACTCACTCACCTCCAAGGGAGGGCATTAATCTATTCATCCATGAGGAATCCACACCCATGACCCAAACACCTCCCATTAGGCCTCACATCCAACATTCCCCTCAGATTTCAGCATGAGATTGGAAGGGAATCAGCATCCAAACCAGTTGGTATATGAAAAGTGTTCACATTACGGCTAGACAAGGCAATAAATAACATTGAATCATATAATGAAATTTCTATATTCTTTCAGCTCTTCTCATTGGAGAGGGAGACTCGATTTGGTAATAGTCATTATCAATGATCCAACACTTAGGTAATATCCCATTTAATAAAGAGAAAGTGTACATCAAATATCAAAGCCTGGCAAAAGTGCAAGAGTAATCAGCTACTCATTACTCTTAGTTATTAATAATTAGTTACTAATTAGGTATTATTATTAGTTATTATTATTAGTTATTAATAATTAGTTGCTAATTATTAATAACACTGCCTTGTTTCCATTGTACTTATATTTATAGTTACCTTCCTTTTACAGTGAAAGATGTTCCATTTACAATAGTATTAATAATACAAAGTTCCTTTTTAAGACAAATGTATTTATGGCTTTAAAAAGTCAATTGATATAAGAAAATATAAGTCGATCATATGATGGTACATGAATATACCAAAACTCATGAAGGTATTAAATGAATTACCTAGTAAATGGAAACCTACCTCTGTGAGGGCTATAAAGAGTGACTTGGTAGAGGGCTGTACACTGGAAACCTGAGCAATCCATCCAAATGAGACAATCTGGGGCAGCCAGGATTCTCTTCAGTATCTCTTTGGCTTACTTTTCCGGACTTCTCTTGCCCTAGTCTAGCTAACCTGACACTAAATCTTGTCTAGTTTTTATCTGAAACATGAATTCATATTGCTGTGAAATCTCCGCCACTCTATTCTCCCTTATCCAGCTCAGTCCCTCCAAATCCTGCACTGATGCCAAAAACTGCTGCTAATCTAACTTCCTCTGTCTGGAGGGTGGATATACCCATTAATGCCACCTTTGGTAACACTGACTCTTAGTTAACTCTACCTCCCGTGACAAGATTTATTGTCAATTCAAGACCAACAACTATTATTAGACTTCCATTCCAATTCAAAAAGATAAATTTTAATATAAATTTTTCAGAAAAGCTGGAAAAAGCATGTTTGTTTCTATTTTCTTATTGAATCAATCCAGTTCAACACAGCCTAATCATTAGCTGCATCATTCCACAAATTGGATACTTTCCCAAATACAGTGTTTCCTATCAAAATATATTTTCATTCCATGAAACAAAAGATCATTGCAGCTTCCAAAACCAAACCAAACAAAAAATCTCCTTTTTCTTTTCTTCTATCAAATCCATCAAAACTTCTTTTAAGATTTTAAACCAATTTCTTCTCAAAGTCAGTTTTCCTCAAGAATACAGTTTTCTGACCCCAGAACCTCACATTTATTTTGCTAGCTTTTAAATAAATTTTGTGCGGGTATCAGGCTAAAGGGGTCTTTAAAGGTTATCTAATTAACATTCCATGCAATGTTTGAATTCCTTCTGCCAAAAACTACATGGAAATGGCTTTCACTTAAGAATGTGTTCTATTGCTTGAAAGCCTTATAGCATTTGTTGTTTCTCTAAAAGTGATGAAATTGCACTGGGAAATCTGCGTTCACAGGCTGAGGCCTCTTTCAGTCTATCTGAGAGATGGATGGCCAGGGTTGGTAAGATGTGCTATCTGTGGCAATGTAACCATTTTTCTTATTGTAGAACTAACTGACCCATATAAAGATCAACTGATGACTTGGCCTCTTTATCACCCTGAACCAAAAGAGTCATCTGGACCAAATACTAAAAATTATGATAGTAAAACATTTATTTGGGGAGGATATATGTCCTGAAATTTTTTTAAAGACACAAACAGAAAATATGTAATTTATTGTAAAATTGCAAAGTTGCACTTTAAGAAAACTATAGGTATTTGACTATATCTTTTGGTTTTTATTCAAAAGAGAATGGAAGAAAATTAACATTTAATAGGTGTCAGTATTCATTCTAGGCATTTTCATCTATTTTATTTTGCTTAACCACAACAATTTATAGAGACTCAGATTGAGGTAATCTGTTCAAGATCACACAGCTAGTAAGCAATTGATCTGTGATTTAAAAATTTAACTGTAATGATGGATACATGACATTATAGATTTTTCAAAACTCATTGAACTGTATAACACAAAGAATGTACCTTATTGTAAACTATGGGCTTTAGTTAATAATAATTTATCAATGTTCATTTATCAGTTGTAATAAATGCACTACATTAATTCAAGTTGTTAACAATAGGGGAAACTGTGGGAGGTAAGAACTATATGGAAACTCTCTGCTCAATTTTTTGGTAAATCTAAAACTGCTACAAAAATAATCTATTTTTAAAAATTTGCTTAAATAAAAGAGTCATACAAAGACAAATTTAAATGTCCATTTACTCTCCTCCCATTTTCTCCCAAACTCACTGCAGTTTCATTTTCAAATCCCCAACTCTCGTTATCAACATTGCCCTTATCAAGGACACCTAAGACCTCTGTCTTGTTACATCTAATTCTCAATCCTCATCTTACCTGACTTACCAATAGCATTAGACACATTAATGATATACTCCTTTGTATACTCCTTTGCCTGGCTTCCACCCCAACACATTCACCTGATTTTTCTCCCTCTGCTCTGGCCCCTCCTGTTGAGCCTTTGCTGGTTCTTTTCTCTCTGACCTCTTAATGTTGGAGGGCCCCAGAGGTTAGGCTTTTTGACTTCCCCTCTTTATATACCTCATTTCTTTAGTGATTTTATTTACTCCGATGACTTTAAATTTAAGTTATATGCTGGTGACTGTCAATTTTGTATTTTTAGATTCAGTCTAAACTCAGACTGAAATAACTATTTAATATCTTCTATTATTATGGGCTCTCCGGAGAAACAGCCGACAGGAATAAATCACTTTATATTGAAATTTGCAGGCCGGGCGCGGTGGCTCACACCTGTAATCCCAGCTCTTTGGGAGGCCAAGGCAGACAGATCACTTGAGGTCAGGAGTTCGAAACCAGCCTAGCGAACATGGTGAAACTCCATCTTTATGACAAATACAAAAAATTAGCTGGGCATGGTGGCTCATGCCTGCAGTCCTGGCTACTTGGGAGGCTGAGACAGAAGAATTGCTTGAACATGGGAGGCAGAGGTTGCAGTGAGCCGAGATCATGCTATTGCACTTCAGCCTGGGTGACAGAGTGAGACTCCATCTCAAAAAAAAAAAAGGAGAGAGAGAGAGAAAGAGAGAAAGAAGGAAAGAGAGAAAGAAAGAAATAGAGAGAAAGAAAGAGTGAGAAAGAGAAAGAAAGAGAAAGAAAGAAAGAAAGAAAGAAAGAAAGAAAGAAAGAAAGAAAGAAAAAAGAAAGAAAGAAAGAAAGACAGAAAGAGAGAGAGAAAGAGAGAAAGGGAAAGGGAAAGGGAGAAAGAAAAGAGAATGAAGCAGACCCAGGAAAGCTGATGGTGCAATTGCAGGCTGCAGGAAGTCTTCTGGAGAATTAATACCCCCTTTCTTGAGGAGGACAGTCTTTTAGTTCTATTCAGGCCTTCAACTGATGGGATGGGACCACACATATTTGGAGGCCAATCTACTTTACCCAACGTTCACTGATTTAAATGTCATTCTCATCCCAAAACACCCTCCACCCTCCAAGTTGGCGTGGGAGATAAACCATCCCACATCTCAAATATAATTTGAAAAAAACACCTGTTTTTTCCCCCCGATTTAGTTAATGAGAACTTCTTTCCACTTGCTCAGTCCAAAAACCATGGAGTCATTCTTGGTTTGTCCTTTCTTTTACATCTCACATCCAGTTTTTCTTCTCACAACCACCACCGGTCCATGCTATTACTAACTCTTACTCAGAATATAGCAAATGCCACTTAACTCTCTCTGGCCTTTTTCTCTTACCCCCCTCCTCTATATATTACTGTTTGTCAAGTGGTATCATGCCGATAAATTACCTTGGGATCTTATTAGAGGCAAATTCTAATTTAGTAGATCTGACATGGGTCCTAAAAGTCTTTATTTCTAACATTGCTCTAGGAAATGTTGATACTCCTGGCTCACAGACAACACTCTGAATACAGAAGTCAGGGTGATACCTTTTATTTTAAGTTTATTTCATCTTTAATTTTGTTAATTACCATCTTTTTAAAACTTGCTGTACAAAAATAGTTTCAAAAGAAATATCTCAGTTGTATGTGTTTGTTGGCAAATCTTTCTATATAAGTTGGCATTCTGACTCTCTAGAAGTAAAAGTGATACCTTTAAAACATAAATCAAATTATGTTTCCCCTCTGCTCAAAATAATTCAGTGGCACCCACTTCACTCAATGTAAAAGCCATACTTCTTGCAACAATGCTCCAACAATGCTAAGTGATCTAAACTCTCCCTTTATCTCTTTCACCTTCATCTCCTATTCTCCCCTTCAGCCAAACTGGCCTTGCCAGTATCCCTCAAATAGGTCTTTATACTAGCTCCTCTCTCTGCCTGGAAGGTTCTTTTCCAGAGAGCTCCCTCTCATTTGAGTCCTGGTTCAATTGTCACAACATCAGTGAGTCCTACCCTAGCCATCCTATTTAGAATTGTAAGCATTCTCCACCCCAGCACTTTCCATCCTCTTTGCCCAACTTTATTTTTCTCTATGGTACCTTATCAACTTTACCATACTCCATAATTTACTTACTCATTAGCTGTGCTGTCTATCTCTCCCCTCATATATGCTCCATGAGGGCATTAATTTTTGTCTGTATACTCACTGCCATACCCCTATCACTTACAGCAGTGTCTTGCACATGGTAGATATTTAATAATCATGTATTAAATAAGTGACTTAAAAGTAAATGAATTGCAAATGCTATGCTTGTTCCAGGACATCAGACTGTATCTCCAACAATCAAAAATTTATCTTAACAAAGGTTCAGAAGAAACTGATTCAAAAGAAAGTCCTCGTATAAGCTATATCTAAATTTAGAAATGAATTAATTTTGATTTAGAAAGATAAGCCACCAATGTAGTGAAGTGCAATGCAATATAAACAGTGTGAGCTTGCTCTTATTAAAATATATGCTGAATAGAAAAAGAGAAAGGAAGAAATATTAAATGTTAGCAGTGGTAAGTTATGGGTAATGCACACTCCTATATTTTCCAACTTTTGAATAAAAACAAATAAGTGGTAACAGTTTTAATCTATGCAATATAATTGTATTTTTCTACAATGTCAAATTTTAAACGCATCATTTCTTTGATGTGTGCTAAAATGGATATAAGATGCTGCATTAACCCATCTTTTTTGTTTCAAATCACAGAACCCATCTATGTATTTCAAGCAGAAGATAAATTGGTTGAAGAGGAATATCATAGAATCCCCAAAAGCTCACAGCCAGAAAACCAGACTGAAGCTCAGCTCTGAGGTTGATTTTCCCAGAATAAGAGCCAGGTCACTCTGTCACTTCCCTGAAGATGTGATCTACCCACAGCAGGGTGCATGGAGACAGCACAGTTCTCACAGCACAGGAGACCCAGAAAGCCACCATAGGAGCAGCCCAACAATACCCCTGACTACCCATGCCCCTCCTTCGTGTTCCACCAATGCTGCCAGGGAGGGAGATTTCAAACAGCACCTTCTTCTTCGGTCCTATGCCTGTGTCTAGAAGCAAGGGAGGTAGAAGAGACTTACAGGACTCTAATATAGGACTTACCAAAATATTTAAAAAGTACTTAAGAGCTATTAAGGAACCGCAATTATGACACAGTTCTGCTGTGTGTCAGACTCAACCCCAAGACCTTCAACACTATTAGGTCTCTGGGCTCAAAGCAGTGGTTTCCCAGAAAATGCCTAATGACTGTGTCTTTGGGTAGGGGGACACCTGTTTCCCAGCATTTGCCTGTTTCCATGCTGTAAGTAATCGCACCGCAGCTGATCTCTAGCTATCAACATGGCATCACTGAACACAGAGATGCACAGTAGCCCACATAGTGTCTCCACCACACAGATAATTCTAAGTTTCCTTAAAAGCAAAGCAAATAGTAAAATCTTGTAAAACAAGTAGGAACTGATAAGTTTGAAGGATTCATCAACTTTTAGTATAATTTATTTAAACTTGACAGTTATCTTCATCTGTTCAGGCTGCTACAACAAAATACCAAAGACAGACTGGCTAATGAACAACAGAAATGTATCTCACAGTTCTGGGTGCTGGGAAATGCAAGATCAAGGTGTTGGCAGATTCTGTATCTGTTGGGGGCCTTCTTTCAGGTTAACAATGGGGCCTTTAGCTGTGTCCTCACACGGCAGAAGGAACAAGGAAGTTTTCTGGAGTCTCTTTTATAAGGCCACACATACTCTCACCTTTATATACTCTCATATTGACGATTAGGTTTCAATAAAGGAATTTGGAGACCGAGGAACAAAAACATCAATCTATAGTAAAGGAATATACAATTTAATTTTTAATAATGAATGTTTAACAACCAGCTGTCAGGATTTTTGAGTGCTTAAGAATTGACTCTCACAAGCTGAACAGCCAACTCTAGCACACCACAGGCTCAAAGTAGATGACATTATTATCTTCTTACATAGCTGATATCTATATAGTCTTGACATCAAAAGCTATACAGGTTTGCTTTTTCTAAAATAATCAGATAATCTTTTCACTGAAGATAAATATTCCTAATGTATTTTTTAAGAAGGGAAATGGAATTCATATTAACTTCTTTGCATTCTCATTGTCATGGGGCATCTGCCTTTATTTTTGAATGTCTAATTTAGGGCCTCTTCTTAAATGTTCAGCTTTGAAAGCCTCACTCAGTCACAGCTATCACTGAGAGTCTATTTTTCCCTGTTAAGATCTCTCCTTAATCAGAGATACATATAAACCAGTTAGGTTTATACTTTTGGGTAATTGATCACTGTATTTAATCTCTCAAAGTAAGTCTGTGCATACCCGAGACTTCTGTTGCTGCATTTGGGTCTTTTATCCCCCCTAGTATCCAGCTAATTCTTATCCATGTCCCAATGCAGATATCACTCATTCAAAAAAAGACTTCTGAGCATCTCATGTCCTAATGCAGCCCCGATTAAAAGTCCCTTCTCTGTGTTCCCACAGAAACCCACACTTACTTTTACCATAACACTGAGTAGGACACTGATCATAATTTTTTTTTTTTTGAGACACAGTTTCACTCTGTTGTCCAGGCTGGAGTGCAGTGGCATGATCTTGGCTCACTGCAACTTACACGTTTCGGGTTCAAGCAATTCTCCTACCTCAGCCCCCCAAGTAGCTGGGATTACAGGCACTCACCACCATGCCTGGCTAATTTTTGTATTATTAGTAGAGATGAGGTTTCGGCATGTTGGCCAGGCTGGTCTCGAATTCCTGGCCTCAAGTGATCTGCCTGCCTTGGCCTCCCAAAGTGCTGGGATTCCAGGCAGAAGCCATGGCGCCTGGCCAACTTTTGGAGACTATTATTTTACTTGTCTGCTTTTACAACCACTTTAAGGGCAGGGATTCTGCTTTTCTGTCTTAAATCCCCAGCTTGGTACAGTACTACAGATGCAATAGATACTCAGTTCATCCATTTATTCATTCACTGACTCCACACACATTGAGCATCTACTACACGTCAGACACTGTTTTAGGTGCCAGTGATATAACAGTGAAACAAATCCTGCAATTACAGAGCCAATATTATAAAGAAAATATGAGTAACATAAACTATGTTGGATGATAATAAGTGCTAAGAAAGAAATTAAAATTATAATTTTTAAAAGTTAAAATAATAAGGGAAGTTTGGGGGGCAGTGGTGGTGGGTTTTAAGTAGGATTGTCAAAGAAGATCTCATTAATAAGTTGACACAAAGACAAGAAGGAGATGAGGAGGCTAATATGAATAGCCAAATACCATTAGATCCCTCTCTATTTTCACAGGGGAATATAAAATGGGATCTTTCTCAGCTGTTTCAGACATGGGCTTGTTGGTTTCTAGCAGTCCTGCATCCCCAAGCAGCTCCCACCCCCAGGGCAGTTGCCATCTCCACATATTGAAGTCTCCTTTCTCTTCCTCCTACTCCTCCATTCAAACCTCAGTTCCTCTCACTCTTGTCTGACTCATCCTGCTTTTTTTTTCTTGGTCATATTTCTGTGTTCTGACTCACTCAGTTCTAATCAATGAGGATTTACTTCCTATGTGGCCAACACAATACTAGGTGAGAGGAAAGATTTCAAAAAAGCACAAGGGCCGTGAGAACCTTCTGTCTAAATCCAGACAAGAGACAAACAAGTCCCTTCCCTCCACAAATGCCTGTGATGATGTCTTACTATCTATGAAGTAATCTCTATTTAACAAAGTCAATGCATAAGATCAAAAAAAAGGAATGTACATGGTAAACATCGAATCGGGAAAAGGTTTATTCATTATCAATGCCTGCATCTTCTAATTATTTCCTAAATTCAGGTGTTAAAAAGGACGTTTTTAGTAAACAGGTAGTAACTGGATATACATTAGTCAGGTACTCAAAGCATTTGTATTCATATTTTAGCAAAATACCTCTCTTCCAGATCACACTGTAACAATCATATAGCGGCTAAAACAACAACAACAATTGGGTTGTTGTTGAGCAATGAAAAGTTTATTTTTAATGATTTTAAAAGAACATGCAGATTTGTCCAAATTGCATTTTTTATTTGTTCATGTGTTTCTAATTTAAAGAGGGCAGCGTTTTGCAAACAGAGCTGTATGAGTGAGAAAGAGCACTTCTAGCATCTTGGTTTGGTTACAAAGAAAGAAGGAAAAGATGTGAGCAACTGAACACGTGCTTGGTGACAGGTACTGCAGCAGGTACTTTCTGATATATTACCTTATTTAACATATGCTGTCTCACAATAAGCACCCACGAAAGGTGGAAGGAAGGTGATATTACTAGCCTCAGTTTAAATAAAATGAAATTTAGTTACTGAGAGTTTGAATAAGTGTTCTGATGAGACATAGCTTGTGAGTGGCAGACATGGGATTCTAATCAAGGTGTGTCTGACTCTGAGAGCCATGGTTTTCCCATTATCCATGCTTCTCTCAGATAAGAGCATTATGCTCATGAGGCCAAGTCCATGAGGCCAATCATCCCCTTGTGCTGGCTTTAATCCAGGCCATAGTCTGCTCCCTCTATTCTCCAGATTCAGGTTAGATCTTTATAGATCAAAACTGTCATCAAAAAATATATCAGAAGAGAATGTATAAACTGGATGGGTAGAAACCCATCCTGACCACTGGATCAACAAGGCTGAACACATGTATTATTGATGATGGGCCATTAGTGCCGTCTTTGTTGTGGTCAAAAGCTCCAACAACCTGGCCTCTCTTTTCTCATAAATTTATGTCACTCCCCATCCTTTAAACGACAGGGCATTAT
The DNA here is from genome assembly GCF_000001405.40 of Homo sapiens. Taxonomy (NCBI): domain Eukaryota; kingdom Metazoa; phylum Chordata; class Mammalia; order Primates; family Hominidae; genus Homo; species Homo sapiens. The sequence goes on along the minus strand of NC_000003.12, from coordinate 115,340,091 downwards.
CATTCACCATGTCAAGAAAGGGAGTTAAGGATTCCAGCTGCCTAGATCAGGAGAGAAAATGGCCACATGCATTTTGGCTAATCATAACCTTCTTAGTGGAAGAATAACCAGCCAAAATTTACATGTCTGCTAATTCACTGCTTCCCTTTCACTGGGGAATCACAGTTATGACCTGAACTCCGGTCTTTAGCGCTGCTGCTTTAGCTGTAGAAATGATGTGCTGTGTGTGTTTATTCTGATACCTGGATACACACATGGCAATGACTGGAGTGGTTAATTAATAACATAAATTGAAGGGGTTCTAGGGCCCCTTAAGGGGAGATAAAATGAATCTGAAATCCAACAAACAATAAATCAGTGGACCTCAATCTGTGCTGTAGTTTTTCTGGCTGCCAAATTTTGATCAATATGTAAAACTTATTTTTACAGCAACTAAGTAAACACATGGATTAGTAATATGTGTCAAATGGACTATTGAGCTGGGTAGATTTTAACACATTTTGGAAAAAGAGGTACATTTGATGCCAAATGAAAATAAGAGATATATCATTAAGTCAAACCTGCTCCGAAGAGAGCATTTGTTTACTGGAATATTTAGAAACTCTATTTTGCAAGTGTGTAAGAGAGTTAAAATCAGTGACCTGCACTAACATCCAGTCAGGGGCTTTTAAAAAGGAACAAAGGTAGAGCTTAGGAGTGATAGGAATAAATCTAGAACCTGCTTCTAGGGACTTGGCTCTATTTATTTATTCATCCATTGAGTCTATCAACAAATGTTACTGAGTACTTACTAAATGTGGTAAACAGTTCTAGGGAACTATTTCAAAGGGCACCAGTCACAGATAGAAAAACACTGTCAGTTAATGACTACAGAGCTCAACCAGGGCCTTAATTCAAGTGCGAAGAGCATCATAACGCAGTGCACTTCTCCAGCTCAATGTGTGTTTATCTCTCACCTATACAGGACCCACTGGGGACCTGCAGCGTCTTGTAACTTTTAATTGCTGGTGAGCCTCTGGCAAGTGTGGCTTACCCTAATACACTGAAGAAGTATCCATTGCTTTCAGTTTTGTCCAGAAAAGTGCCCCGGTCAATGGCAAACCTCTTTAATTGGGCTTTTATCAGGTTCTTCCCTCGAAGTAGGGACGGCTATTGGAAAGAGAATCAGTGTGGGTTTTAGGGAGTGCTGACACATGTTTTTGAAAATGAATAGAGGGGGTGGCTTCTTTTGATGTCATTGAAAATCACTTGCTAGAATGAATTTGATATGGATCAGCCACAAGGGCTATGTTATTGATGGATAACACAAATGAATTCGTAGCAGCATTGAGGCCTATTGATTCTATCTCCTGTACATTTTGAAAGTGCTATATGGCCAGTAGCCTAAGGCTTTGTCTCTGTTCAGGGATTTGGGAGAAAACTGACTACTGCAGAAAATGAATGTGCATTTGCTCACTTTACTACTGAAAGTACATTAGTTTCCTACAGCTGCCACAGGAAAATATCACACGCAGGGTGGCTTAAACAACAGAAATCTCTTGTCTGGAGTTCTGGAGGCTAAAAGTCCAAGATCAGGGTGTTGTTAGGGTTCCTGCTTTCTGATGGCTATGAGGGAGAATCTGTTCCATGCCTCTTGCCCAATGTCTGGTGTTTTGCTGCCTATCTTTGGTGTTCCTTGGCTTGTAGAAGCATCACCCGGATCTCTGATTTTACATTCATATGATGTTCTGTGTGCATGTCTATGTCCAAATTATCCATTTGTATAATGACTGGTTATTGAGCTTGGGCCCACCCTACCACAGTCTAAATTTCTGTTAACTAATTACATCTGCAAGGACTCTGTTTCTCATTTGGTCACATTCTGAGGTACTGGGGGTTAAAACCTCAACATATGAATTTGGGGGAGATGTGATTCAACTCATAAAAATTGGGAAGAAATAGACAAGGCCTATATCCTGTTTCATGGAATGAACATATTATCTACTGTAGAACATTTCCAGAAGCCAACCAATATGGGCATAACATAGAGAAGTCTCATAAAATTTGCAAAACTGAAAATGTGCCCCATTCCAACTTTGTCAGATCTGCCTTGTGGCCATTTTATCCATCTAGGTGATCTATTTATTAAGTCTTACTTATAAAAATATTTAATGAAATAGGTCACTGAGGTGGAGTACTTTGCTTTAATTAAAGTAAAATTTCTATTATACCCTATTTTTCATATTGGTTCTATTGTAATACCATAGGCATAAATAAAAAGTACAGAAAATATTTGTAAACATATTTCCCAGAAAAATTTGTATTAAAACAATAACAAAATAATCATAAAACTCTAGTAAATTTTTTAAAAGACACTAAAATGAAACTATAAAATAATACCTGATATCCTGTGAGCAGATTTATGTGTCCCACATGGACATCCCTTAGCAATTTGGCTGAGATTGTTAACAGCTTTAATTTATACTAACATTTCTTCCTCTGCATTCAAGATAAATATTCTATTTTTTAAAACTTTACTCCATAGTTTGAACTTAGTAGCTCTGCCTGGTAAGACCTGTGTAGTTGTTAGAATAGTCCAGGCTGAGAAGATAATAAGATCAAATTTGCGAGTTGAAATGTTTGATCCTTGCTTATCATTGGAGCTCAGCCTAAAATTTGCTAGAACATGTGGTTGTCTAGCAACCAACTAATGTCCTATAATGATCTACAAATTGATGCCTGTGCTGAATGAACGTTCTAGTCCAAACCCAAAGCTTTATATAGTTAATTAAAAGCTAATGTCCTCATTAGTAGCTGTTGGGGAGGCTCAACAAGTGCAGTCTGCATGTGCTAAATGTTGAATATTTATTAGACATGATGTTAAATACAAAGTAGGAGGAACTGGACCATCCATCTGTTGACAACTATATGAATAAAACGGTGATTTGGAACTGCCCGATCCATAAGTAAGTTCAGGAGAGCTGATGCCTGCCATACCATTCAACTGAACTGCCTAAATCTACATTGCATGTTTCCAGTTCATGCATTTTTTCTTCACCTGAGAAGAATGTCGTTATTAACAAGTCCAGACTACTCCCAGTCCAGCAGGTAGAGCCCAGATTGCTTATTCTATTCTGTCAATCACCTTAGTTCATCATAAAGTTCGCAGGAAAAAAATGAACCTTTGATATCTATCAGGCCCTTTTGAGACACTAAAATAAGAGTAAGCTTAAAATACATTAAAGGTTGAGAAAATTATCTTTGCTTTGATTTCTGTTCACACAACTACTCGCATACAGGGGTCATCCTGACATCCTCCTTTGTTTCATTTTTGTTTTTTTAATCTCTTTTTTAAAGATATGGCTATTTTGAGAAAATTCTCTAAATGTCTGTAACTAAAACAGATAACTGATTAGTAAATTATTCAGTTGACATACTGACCATCTATTATGAATTTAGGAATTTGCTAGATTCTGTGGATAATAAAAGAGAAGTATTCCAAGCAATTCTTTTCCTCCATCACCAAGGAACCCAGTTTCTACTTAGGTGTCACAAACACAGCAACTTTTTTTTTAAATGAAGTAGGATTACCAGTTATGTTTCTTTTCTAACCAATTTCCATAATAAACCACACCTTTCATATCATTAACTCAGAACATGGTTCTATTATTAGCTCCATAATAGCCTTATTTAATTCTGTCTGCTCTGATATGGTTTCTTAAGTTTAAGACCAGTATCTTCTTGTTTGTGTCGTGTGGACCTAGACTGAGTGAACATACTGCCCAGAACATAGTAGGTACTCAATGAATATTTAAGAATAAATAAATGAAGCTTTGATACTGTCTCTTCAGTCCCCAGGTCTATTAACACATGTCTGCGATGCCTCTAGACAAACTTAAGGACATCTCTTTGGCCACTAAGTAAAGATATTAATGGCCTATGCTGATGTCAAAATTCTGCCTTATTAGTAACCTCAACCAACCAACCAACTTAGATATCTAAAAAGCCCATCAGCAAAAACAAGTATCTTTTTGGTAGCTTTATATATTGGCATTGTCCAACAGAACTTTCTGCGGTGATGTATGTGGTCTGCACTGTCCAATACAGTAGCCACTGGCTATCTGTAGCCAGTATGATTGAAGAACTAAATGTTGAATTTTATTTAATTGCAGTTAATATAAATAGCCACATGTGGCTAGCAATTACCATATTGCACAGCACAGTTCTATATGTTTCAGAATATGAATGTAAATTAAACACCTCCCAGTTTGTTACCATAGTTGGTAACACAACCTGGCTTCCTGACTTGTGATGTTTGGTCTATATTCTAGTATGTTTCTTTGCTCAAGGACACAGAAGTAGACAAGGAGTGAATCGAAGTCTAGCTTTATTATGGGAAATTTTCATTCTGTAACCAGAATTTAACATTAAATGTACCACACCAATTTCCTTTCTTTCCTGATGCCATTAAATAACACCCTTAATTTGAGAGCAGCTTTTCAAAAAAGAAAAAAGGGAAAAAAGAAGAAAGAAAATTTCTACTTTTTTCTATATGGCATTTTAAATTTCAGAAACATGATATGAAAAAAATGTGCATCACAATTTTAAGATAGAAAATTACTCAGGCTTCTGATGTAAAAAAACTGACAATTCCACTTTTGTCTGTTGTTGTGTCTGAAAATATGAATTGCAACAGCTACTAAATTCCTGAATAGAGGTGTGTGTTCCTTTCTGAAAAACAATAAAGTTTTCAAACTATATGTGTTTCAAAGACATGGGCTTTTTAAGTTTTAAATTGCTCATTTTATTAAACGTGTTTGATTTTTCAAACTCAGAATTTTGGGAAGCACTGATGTTATTCTCTGCCTTTCTCTTCAACCTTTTAAATCTCTCATTCTCTCCTTTTACACCTGACTCCTTCACTAAGTCCCTAGATTTCCTCCATTTACCCAAGTATATTTTTACTATTAACTGCATAATTTAATAAGAGCTTTGTTCTTTACTTTTAAGTTGATAATTCTTTCTTTCTCAAAATAATAGCTGAGCACAGTGGTGCACAAGAGGATCCCTTGAGCCTAGGAGTTCCAGGTTAGCCTGGGCAACATAGTGAGACTTCATCTTAAAATAAAGAAATGACTAATTTAACTGCTTTTTAATCCACATCATTGCCAATTAATTTTGTATTTTGTCTCAGTTGCCCGCACTTTTTTTAAAAAGTGTACCTTAAAAAGTTCTTTTATAGCAAAGTATTATAGTGTAAAAAATAATACTTTGCAAATTTAGAAAGAAAACAATTTATTTCACTAAAGTAATAATTTTCCAAGGCAAAGAAGATAATTTTTGTTTAGGCATGGCAGAGTTCAAGACCAAGAGTATCTTATGGTTATCTTAACTGATTCCTTAGTCTAAATAAAAGTTACATCTGGCAATGAAGCTGTGCTCTCCTAGATAAAGGAAATTATAACAATAGTAATAAAATAATAACATATCTGCCATGTCCCAGGAACTCTGCTAGAAATATTACATACATTATGTCACTTAATCTTAATATCACTTTCATTCTATCCCTTTCCCTCACACAACACACACAATGCACACACTGCCAAAACATGGAAAAACCCCAAATGTCCATCAACTGATGAATGGGTAAATAAAATGAGGATATGTCCATACAGTGGAATATCGTTTAACAATAAAGACGAGTTAAGTTCCAATACTAATGGACCTTGAACACATCATGTTGAGTGAAAGAAGCCAGTCACAAGAGACATTTTGGCAACTATAAATAAAGCTGCCATGGACATATATATATGAGTTTTATATGAACATGTTTTTATTTATCTTGGGTATATACCTGGGAGTAAAATTTCTCAGTCATATGGTAACTCTATGTTTACCACTTTGAGGACCGTTGAAACTGTTTTCCTAATGCACCATTTTACATTTCCACATGTACAAGGGTTCCAATTTCTCCATATCCAGCAGAACCTCTTCTTCCATCTTACACATCTTCCAGTTTAGTAAAGGGGCATTTCACACAAACATAAAACCCAGGAAAGATTTTCCAAAGGTTAATTTGTATTGCTGTTGAATTTTCTGGAATGTAAAAGGGAAAGGGAAAGAAGAGTTCATTGTAGGTGATATTTGGGCTGTTTGCATCCTGGTCTCTTGGCTTGGAGAATAACAATCTGAGGTTCTTTCTCAATTCCAGAAGATAACCCACTAGAAGTGCCTAATTCTTTGAATTTCATGCATCTATCATTACATATGGTTTCCTTTTGTATAGAAAAGGACATTAGTTCTGGTTCCCAGGCTAAGCATGATCACAACAACCAAGTGTAAAGTGCTTCATTCAGGGACTGGCACATAGACAATTTTCAAAATGTACATAATTATTATAGTCATTAGTATTTTTTACTAATATACAAAATATACCAAAAACTGTTGGTCATTTACAATGCTGGAAGGTTGCATTTCTTTCATTATGTAACCAAAAGATGGCCTTCCTATTTAAATTTTCTGAAATTCTGAAATTTCAAACAATGATCTCCATGTTTTCCTACAAAAACAAACAAGCAAAAATCTCCAAAAACTGCGATAATTTTGTACATTCTAAGGCTTTGTACATTCTAAAATTTTGACTTGAATTTTTTTAATTTAGATGATACAGCATATTCCATGGAGCCTAGCAATGTGCTGGATACACATTAGGAACTTAGGAATTACTTACTCAATGAAGGAGAAAGAGAATGAAGAAAAAAGGCATGGAAAGGAAAGGAAAAAGGGGGAAGAGATAAAGGAAAGTTAATTCAGAAATTTAAAAATGCTCCTGGGATATAGAAGAGTAGGTATTCATTACAGTATAAGAATATGTAGAAAGCCAGGATCTGCATAAATTAAGTACCTCCAAAGTGTGTTGTGTAATATGTAAGGCTTTACGAATATTTGCCTACTTATGACTAGAGATGGTTCTAGCTGAGCTTAAGTAAACTGGTAGATAAACATCTCAGTGACTAGACAGAAACTTGGATTCTAAAAGAATGATATTTTATTGTTTGATCTACCGGGAAAACTTACAGGAGAAGATTGGGCACCAAAATTAAACAGATGAGTATAAGAAGGTTGTTAATGCCAAATGGGTTTAAAAAGACAACATTCTAAAAATTGAAGCCCCTGATATTTGGTTGAAAAATATGACTGCCAACCAAATTAAAATTCCTAGAGATTAATTTGAGAGATTTCAACAGCCATCACTTTCAGTCTGCAGAAAGCACTCACCATTAAGTTTAGGCTGTATAAAGAGAAAAATATACATAAAGGCACAATGATTAAGGGGTTGAGACATGAGAGTAGAAGCTGGTGATCTTAAACACTGAAGCTACAAAGCAGATACCATGTGATAATGGGTGTAGCAGAACAAGCTTTTCCCAAAAATACCAGATGCCCATACCTTTTCAGCCAGTCTTCTCTTCTATCAACCTTCCTTCATCTAGAGTTCAGACTGGAAATAGTTTATCAGCCAATCTGTATTAAGTGTTATATTTACCCCCAAGTGTATTTGCATTCTATTTAGGGCTAGTACCTTCTGGCCAAAATAAATGATGTTCTATTGTCAGTGGCAGTTAGACAAGGAGATGTATTTTGGATAGAATGGGGGAGGAAGTATGAAGGAGACAGAAAGGACCTCAATAGTACCTCAAAGCATACAACATAGTTAGTTACCTCCACCATCATTTGCTAAGTAATTCCTACATATCTGATTAGGAAGGGAAAAAAAGATACATATTAAGCTTATATTAAAGCTATCAATTCATTGTACTTTGGAGACATGGCCTAATTTTAAAGGATTAAGGAAAATTTAGGAAGAATAGAGTACAGATACATAGTCCAGAAGAATACATGATGTAAATTAGTTTCTGGAGATAGGCATAGAAAACATAGAATTGAGTCCAAATGTGCCACGAAGTTTGTATAATTCATTTTCTCTTCTTTTTTGTTTTATCATCTATAGTGTTAAAACTGTTTTAAAATGAAAGATCATGTTATTCATGCATATATAAAATGAAAATGGGCTCAGAATTTTAATGAAGGAACCAGTATGAACAACCAGTTGCATCGAGAGCTCAATGTGTTACACATTGTAGTTAGATAAGAAATGCAGAATTTACCAATGCAAAACTAGTAAAATTGACCTATATCCAGAGTGATAATCCATTTTATTCTACTGGATGCATTTCTGTGAGCAGGAATTATTATCAAAGACAAGAGCTAGTTAGGGCACTGTTAGGAAAAACTCAAACCATTTTTCCCCTGCTCTGATACCAACAAAACAATAGTCAACACAGAAGACTTCTATGACCCCAAAGTATTAAGGGATTTCTCCCCACCATCAAGGAAGCAATAATCTCTGTAGCAGACACCAACTGGGTGTCCTCCAATTTAATTTTGACACTATCTACCTGGTGATACTCTCAGATCCCACAGGTTGAGGGCCCAGTCCCCAAGACTGCCTCCTCTCCCCAGCTTCAGACACCAGGTGCAAATCCAGACCTCCAGAACTTCTGACCAACCAGCTTCAAGTAGAGGTTCCCACGAGTCCCACTTTGGGTTTAATTAATTTGCTACAGCGGCTCACAGAACTCAAGGAAACACTTACAGTTTATTATAAAAGATTTTACAAAGAATACAGATGAAGAGATGTATGTGAGTAGGGGCATGGAGCTTTCATGCCCTCCCCAGCCATGCCACTCTCCAGGAACACCCATTTTTTCCAGCTATCTAGCAGCCCTCTAAACTCAGCCCTTTTGGAGTTTTATGGAAGCTTCATTACATAGGCATGACTGATTAAATCACTGGCCATTGGTGATCAACTTAACTTTTAGCCCCCTCCCCAAGGATTTTAGGAGTTTTATGTCAGGAAACAGGATTGAAGAAAAATATATATTTCACAATACCACAGGCACCCACCAAGTTTTTGTCCTTCATAATTTTTCTTTATAAAATATTGGATGATCTCTTAGTCTCCTTCCAACTCTTATATTCCATTAGTTTCCACAATCAATAAAGGGAAAAGCAGAAACAAGAAAAAAGGATTAGAGAGACAATGAATTGAAAAGTGTGAAAAAACCTTACACACTGGTAATCTAGTCTTGTCACCAATAACCTTCCTGTCTCACACTCCAGAATTGTGTGCTTATTATTAATAGATACCATACCAGTTTAAACAGAATGAGTGAAAAACATAAATCACAAAAGACTCTAAATTTATTATACCCATGGATAAATGGCAAAGCCTTCATTGTACATTCCCTGGATGCCAATGAAATACCATGATCTTTGGTTGAAGTAAAATTTGTTCTTGGTTAGACTGACAAGGATAATTAATGCTTCTATAGAAAAACCCTGATCCCAGTTACTTTATGTCACATGAAAGAAAATTCCCCTATCCACTCCTCCCTCATCTGTGGTTAATATTGAGTTATGAATCACACAATGACAGCCCTGCAGACAGGCAAAGAGGGGGCTGAGCTAACCCTGGAACACAAAACACACAGCCAGGACTGCAGGAAATAGCACATTTACCCTCCCAGAGCAGAGCTAAGCAGGACTTCCTTCATAGGTTATGGCTCAAGAGAAGGATACTCAGGGCTCTTCTCAGGCTACTGGTTATATTAGTATCTATGTTATTTAGTCAGGTATACGCTCTCTCCTCCACACACGCACAACTTTTTTCACTCTGTCATCAGGAAAAGTAATTTAGAAGCAAGCCACACCACTAGCACTATGGCTGAAAAGAACAATCATATGGAGCACACACAGGAGTCATTTAAATTAGCATTTTTCAATTTATTAACATTTATTAAACACTTTTTCTTTGTTAATAAATGTCAATTTATTAACATTTATTGAACACTTTGTCAGACACATTACATTCATTATCTTACTTAATCCACCCAACAAGGCCATGAGGTAGGCTCTGATATTATTCCATCTTGTAGGTGAAGATGAACTAAGTAATTGGCCTAAAGTCCCATAGTTAAAAATAGCAAAGTCAGGGCTTGAACCTGGGTCTGGCTGATACCAGACTCCACACTCTTAAGCATTGTGCACATAGCCTCAACTCAACAGTCCTCCCAACTGACCCCTAATTATACTCTCAGGCAGGTAAAGAGTGGTTCTGCTTCCCTCAGAAAGATGAAAGATAGATTTTTTAATACTTTCCCATGCTGAGCATGACCAGACTCTCTCTCTAGGCTGTGGTAAGTTTAGATCCAGAGGACATATGAGTGCAGGGAGAAAACAAAAGACTTCAAGACTGCATAGTAGAGGTGCTTCTGTACCTCTAGCTCACTGCTACTTTGTTTTTTCCTCAATGAGCCCTCCCTAATGAAGGGAGAGAAGCAGGATTTGCTTATTACCAAAGCTTGTTCTGCGCAGTAGGGGTTTCCTTGAACATAATAAGTAAACACAATCCAATCTGAGAGTTCTTTTCAAGACCTCTCAACCCTCATCTATTAGAGTTCCATAAAGTCCATTATTAGAATTTCTGTCTATAAAAATTATTTTCTCAATGACAAGCATTACCAAGAAATGAAGTCAGATCAGAATTGTGAGCAAGATAAATCTCACTAACATCCTTTACTAATTAGTTAAGTTCCTGACCTCCTTTGAACCCACTTCCTCATCTATGAAAGGATAACCCAGTGTTCAAGAACAGTTGGTTGATTAAACTTTCAATTTCCAACGAAAACTCACCCCAAATCACCACAATTTAATTGTGATTTCATTTATAAAATAATCTTTCTTTTCAATAGACCTTGGAAAAATGGTTGTGCTGAAAGGAAGGAAGGAAGGAGAAAAGAAAAGAAAAGGAAGAAGGAAGGAAGGAGAGAGAAAGAAAGAAGAAAGAAAAAGGAGAAAGAAAGAAAGAGAGAAAGAAAGAGAAAAAGAAAGAAAAGAGAAGAAGAAAGAAAGAAAAAGAAAGAAAGAAAGAGAAGAGAAGAGAAGAGAAGAGAAGGAAATCCAAAAACTAAAATACTAAACACTAAAAAGAGCGCAAGTAAAGCACCAAAGATACAGTTTCACTAAATCACAAAATCATCTCAAGATGGGAGGCCTTTTCTTTAAAACCTACATCACAGGTGGCAAAGACAGAAGTGTGGGAAAGGATATTAATACAAAGGATTTGACAATGTGGAAGGACACTAAAGCAATACGTTTATTGCCTGGGCAAAAATCTTTTCTCTGATGGTGCAATATTGCCTTAAGGCTTTATATACATCTTAAACACAATGGACTTTCAGGAGCACACAGAGCCCTAGGGCAACATTATGTTTAAGTAGTCATTACTGTATCTATAAACTATACAAAATGGAGGCACTGCATTCATATTTCATTTGTTTCTCACTTACAGAAGACAACCCCTGCCCCATCAACCAACTAGAAGAAGAACATGGTTGTGAGTCAACAGACTAACCACTAGCTCATAAGATTGTTCAAGGCTAAACAAGGACTATAGGAACAGTTATGTACCATTGACCTTTCCACCCCTCCTTGTCACCAACACCACTCCCACACACACATACTCATGTCCAGTATTTTTTGTTTAACTTAACAAAGGAGCAGAAGATATAATCAAAATATGTGTACAATTGTATACCATTCACTTCTCTATTAATTAAGGCTGGTGTCTTGCATTGTAGGACCCCCAGGGATTCCCCTAAGGCCCAACCTGTCACTAGCTCTTCATCACTTCTCTTCTACTGCTCAGTATCTTTTCTCCCTGATGCCCATATTGGAAATAAAAGTAAAAATAATTATAATGGATGAGTCTATTTTGGTTGTGCTTCAAAGTCTATAGAACAAAGCCCACAGAGAAAGAACATTACTAGGATTATTCCACATTTAACTGAGAGATCTATGGACTCCCAATTGAGAAAAAAATGGGCTAAACATCACAATGAATATTTATTGAGACTCACAGGTATGTTAATATGGGCTTTTGTTATTTTCCTCAGCAGTCACACTTCAGACAGATACAAAGGCATCATTTTTTTTTATTCTTGTGGGAAAAAGATGCAGGAGTAGAAGTCAAAAAGACAAGAATTCTGCTCCAGAATCTGATACATTCTGTTTGAACCTCCTTTGAGTTCTTTTCTCTGAACAAGGTTTATCTGAATGCTTCAAAGCATTATGGTGAGAATCAAGAGAGATCATGTATAGAAAAGTACATTATAATCTAACTATTATATGAATGTTAAACTATACATGAAGCCATTATATCATAAAATAAATACATTCTGGGACTTTAATGAATCAAGGTGAATATCACTATTGCAATTAATTCCTCCTACCTTATAAAATCTACAACAGCATTAAGTAACAGTAACAGAAGTAACGACATAATGAATGTTTAAAGCTTTCACAATCTGTGTGGTCAGCTATGCTCACTTACCAACAGTGTCTCACCACTACCCTTAAATCTCTCAGTACACATGACTCAAATCCATGCTTCAGCAAAAGCACAACAAATATAATTTTTCAGTATTGTTTATTAACATCAGAAACTGTCATGTCAAATCCCCCTGTGTCAAACAGCTAAAGTATGATGGCAGAGAGGGTGTTCCAATGACAGGTATAATTAACACAAAATGCCAAAACTTTTTCCAAATTACTTTTTCCTGGCTTATCAATTTTTATCCATCTCACAAGTGTGGCATAGTATAAGAGTACTTGGAGAACAGGGAATATCTCCTCCCTACATCCAAATTTCCAAAGTGGGAAGGGTAAGTATCCTATTATTGGAAACATGTTAAATCTATTGAAAGTAAATAAAACTATATAAGTTGTGGTTAAATGTATTTAAATGGGGGTATTGGAAATGCAAAATAAAAATAAAATAGATATATTAATTAAAAATTTGAAGAAAGCTAGTGAAAATAGAAAAAAATAAAATGCAAAATTTTTAGTATGTTAATTTAACAACTGACAATAACGCTTTAATCACTGTTTCCACCTCGAAGATATTTCTCATGCTGTCTATATACAATTGTTGATACTTGCCAACATCACATCATTCTGCCTCACTTGTGACATAGACTCATCTTAGGGTAGCTGGAAATTTCACAATAATAACAATTTTTCTGATAACTAGAATCAATATACAGGCATGGATCCATAAGCTATGTCTATAGTATGAGAGTCTTCCCTCAGTTGTATTTGATTGATTCAAGGTGGATACCTATTCCTAAATTCTGTCTCAGAAAAATTTATATTTTTGAACTGAGAGACACAAATTATTTTAAGTCAAGCATTGGTGCTGTGGAAAAATGTTCTATTAACTGAAGTCTCTAGAGTTTCCCCAGAATTTACTCTTCCCAAAGGCTAGTGTTTCAACTCTTCCTGGGAATCTACAAGATAGTCTAGCATATGTCCAATGAGTTCCTTTTTAACTTGTTATTTATGATTGACCTAGCCACTTGCAACCAAAATAATTTTAATATGGAAGTTCTTACACAAGTTTCTTTTTCCTTTGCTCATTGTAGTAGACAGAATTCTAAAATGACCCCCCAAGATTCTACTCCTTAATGTGCACAACCTATATAATTCCTTCCCCTTGAGTGGAGGCAGAACCTGTCAATATAATGGAATATCACTTCTATGATTAGGTTACTAATCAGTTGACTTCAACTTAATAAAAAAGAAGATTGTTTGGGTGGACCTAACTCAATTAAGTGAGCTCCTAAAGATGACTAGATCCTTCTTAAAGTTATAAAGATTTGGAGACCCATGTGACAAGGAACTGTGGGCAGCCCCTATGATCTGAGAGTGGTCCCTGGCTAGTAGCCAGCAGGAGTGTGGGGACCTCAGTCCTAAACTACAAGAACAGAGTTCTGACAACAACTGCCTGAGCTTGATAGAAGACTCCAGGCTCTAGGAAGGAAAGGAATTCAGTTAACACATTGGTTTATACCTTATGAGACCCTGAAAAAAGACCCAGCTAACCTGTGCCTACATTCCTGACTTATGAAAACTATGATAACAAATTTGTGTTGTTTTAAGCCACCCAGTTTGTGGAAGTTTGTTATGCAGGGATGGAAAATTGATAAGAGTTATCTAACATTTAGTCTGAGATTACTTATGGCTTTCCCCCCCCATCTTTGCAATTATTTGCAAACTGTCATAGCTCTTAGTGGTTATTTCACTGGAAAAAAAATCTCTTACTCCCTGCTCCCTATCTTCTTTCCCTTTCTCCCATTTCTCCTATCAACACCTCTGCCCAAACCTGGTTCAGCATTCCTGAGAGTTTGGACAAATAGGCAAGGACAGGAGAACTAACCAACTGTAGTTCAGAACCTCGGACAGCAGCTCTCCCCATACTGCCTACAGATCTCTCCCTCAACACCTGTGCTCTCCACCGTGACTGTCTTGTAAATGGCACCCTTGACCACATGAATTCAATTATTTTGTCTGTCATTCTTCCTGTTTTGTGCTCTATTTCCTGAGTACCTAAAGTCAGTAACCAGTGGAGGAATAAAAATTCTACACAGGTCAATGTTTGCTTCTGTCCCTCATTTATATCCCCTTTCCCCACGAAGTTGTCTATACTATTCCAGACTGCTAATTCCTCTAACATACTATGTTTTACAGTATTTGCATATGCTTCATACAGCTCATATAGATTACCTTAACTCCCCTCTTCCTATCTAATGTTCTTTCTTTCTAACATGATTATGATTAACTCCTTAAGTGAAGGAATTATATTTTGTACATTAATACAGCAGTAAGTATGGATCAATATATTTGTATTGGTTGAAGAGGCCATGCAAAATATTACCAACTTTAGTCTCAAACAAAAATACTTTAAAAATTGATGAGAATGGATTTTCACCCTCTGGTGCATACTACCCATATAAGAATCATCTACCCTTGAATGTGGGCAGAACCTGTGAGTATAATAAAAATTAAAACACCAAACTGATTTTATGGCAAATTCATTTATTAAATTTTATTCTAGACCAGGTCTAAAAAGATAAAGCCTAGATTTGAGGAAATAAGGGGATAAAACTCACGGACATTAACCAGTTCTATGCCCAAGCTTTCTCAAAAATCAAAATGATATGAGAACTATGGAGACAAAGGGTTGTATCAGAGAGAACAAAGCTACCTGAGGACCCTTTCTGTTTCCCAGGGGACAAAGCTCCTGAGGACCCTCCTACATTAGAGTGATGTGTTGGCCAGCAGTCAGCATGGGGAAAGGAACCAACAGATCAAAGTATCCAAAACAAGAGTCTCCAAAGATTTTATCTACTGCCCTATAGGAAGGGCCACATAAGTGCCTAGAAATAACTGATGCTTCCACGTAGGGCAGTAATTATGCTTCTTGGCAAGGAGCATTATACAGACTCATTGCAAGGGTTCTGGGCACAAAAGTCTTGCTTACGTGATTCCTTTATTTCAGATTGTGCAGCTTTAAAAAAAAGTCTAAACCTGCACTGCAGGAACTAGGAATTTTCTATTTCCATCAATTTAGGGGCTTCTGGAGGACAGTGGTGACCACATTCTACCACACATTTAAAGAAGTCAGTTCTTTTGTGACTGTATAGTCTTCTGGGCATTGACCAAAAGAAAATAGAATAGAAAATTGAAAGAAAGTGGTATATGTAAACATGTAATTATAATAAAACATGAGAAAGTGACACAATAAAAATATGAACAAATTGCTTTGGTGGAACAGAAAAAAGGGAACTAACTCTCCCTGGGGAAAGTTTTAAGTTGGAAGATAAATACCAGAACAAATTGGAAAGTCATGCAAATGGAAGTTAAAACATTTAGATCATTGTACAAATAATAGAAAGCAGAAAACAAAAACGAACAGTTTCTGAACTGAGACATTTAATGTGGGGGAAGAACTCAGAGCTCATTAAAAAGACTTCCTGTGCCAAGTAACTCATGAAGAACACTGAGGGTAAAGAGTCATTGTTACTGAGTTTGGAGTCACATAGCATTGCCTCTCTTTCCCCAGATCTTTTTCCATGTTTTATGCTCTATGGGATCAACTTTGAGTGGTGCTTTGTTTACATGTCAGCCTCGGATAGCATTGATCCAAGTGGACACCAACACAGAATTATAGAGGGAGCCACACTGAGTCAGCACTGGGACACAAGGACCAACAAAGGCACAATGGAAGTCATCATGTGCAGGAAGTATATGGGCGTAGGTGTGTGGCAAAAGATATCAACATGGCGTGTCAATGCCTGGGGAGAGTATGGACACAGAGAAGGTGGGTATATGCACAGAGAAGACAGAGGAAAAGGGACCAGTGTGAAAATGAATGGAAGAGAGACAAACTGAAGTGCAGATGCTAAGTTACAGAATACAGAAGGAGAAAGAGAAAGAGAAATAAACAGAATCCAAGAAGTAGATGTTAGCAGAGGCTCAAAAACAGAGAAAGAGTTAAAGATACCAGGCAGAGATTAACAGATTACTCACAATGCCAGCTCAGTAGAGTAGAACTTCACTGTTTGACTTTGAGTTTCACAAGACTGTCCATTCAGCATATTCTATGGAATGCCATGCCCTAGAAATATCTTTTCAGGCCAAGAAAAAACTGCTATCTTTCCTTCTACCTCGCCTTTCCAATGTGAGGTTTCAGCAATACTCCTCTGTATCTTGAAAGTATACACATAATAAGTAACCTATTATGATCACTCCGATATATTTTAAGAATTTCATTATTTTCTGACAAGGAAATTGAGAATTGTAGAGGGAAATATTCAGCCAATTATTTAAAGGCAACATGCCAACTGGGAAGAGAGGCACATTAATTATGCTCCTGTGATCAAGCAGCAATTCCTATTAAAGTAGCCAAGAGCTGGGCAGGCAGTATCTGTGGCTACATTTAGCTAACAGCCCATTTCTACTTTACATTTCCAGCCTAATCTGTAAAGCCAACGAGAAATGTCACAGCAGCAGCAGCAGGACTCCTGAAAGCAGCCACAACATACTGCTGTGGTCAAACCTTAGAGTCCTTTCTGGTCTTTGAAGACCTGCCACCGGGGAGGTGGAGACCAAGCCGCATGCCTTCTTGCTAACAAGAAGAAACTTACTCCAGTATAAAGAGAGAGGGACAACAGAAAAATAACATTTTCCCCTTTTTATTGCCATTTCTGTAGTCACCTTCTCTCCCAAGCCCTTACTGGGAAGGTGTGTCTGCTTTCTCCAAATACTATAAAGTCATAGTCTTCCAATTATATGAACCTATCTACAAGGGCAATTTGGCCTACTTACAGTGAAAGCTCATCAAATAGAAAAGAAAAATATGCCCGTTGACATAAAGAAAAAAATGATATTCCTTCATTTGGTCATTAGATTTATGATAACATATATGCTAATTCTTCTCCTAGATGAGTGGTTTTACTCTGGGTGAGTAAAACAGACCCAGGAGATCTCTGAAAAAATCATATCCCATAGTGAAACTAAAGCTTAGAGCCAAACAAAACCTTAATCTAAAGGAGGTAGGAAGAGAGGCATACATAAGAGAGGAAGCAATAGGAAAAAAGAAAGTAGGGTCCATCCTAGGATACTTCCTGGGTATAAGAGGGGGATTCAGGGCCTTCCTGCAGAGCTCATTATCCTCATCCACCAGAGCAGAGGAAGATCTAAGAGCCAGGCTATGTGGCACCACATCCCTGACTAGTAATTTTCTAGACATTGCTGAAGTTCTTGCAATGGTCAAAACCTCACAACTGTACTAGGCAACCCATTTCAATGCTGGACATCTTCAGTTACCAGAAAAGATGATCACAAGACCTGATTCAGGAAGTTCTGCCTTGTCTCTATCACTCTGCTAATCTTTCTGCAGCAGCAGACCTCACCTGTACTTTATATTCTTCTTCCTTCAGCCCAAGCCCTTTGTATTACTCTTGGTTTGATTTTTTTAAGTGCACTCCTGCTGGACTTTTGCTTTCCTTGACTGTTTTTCCAGGTGCCTGACATTCTTTTTATATTCACTTTTGATGCTCTTCTTGCTGTCTTCAGTGTGGGTCTATTAAAAAACTGAGCTTTTGGGTTCTCCCTGTGCCGCCACTTTAGTTTCTAACTAGATCCCCATTTTCCTTCTTTTCTAATTGTGAATACACAATTGCATTTGGAATTATATTTATTTTTCAAATGTTCCAACTTTCTGAGTCACAGGATAGCATTTTATTAGAGTGTTTATTGTGGAAGCAAGGATAACATTATATCACAGTGAAAAGATACATTATAGATCCTGAGGTGCACAGAGGGCATGGATTGATGGCCAAATGAGTACTACAATAGACATCCCCTTCTAGGTACCCCTTCAGGAGAGTTATTGCATAAAACAGAACAACAGCACCACATGAGAAGCGGATGCTGAGCTACGCCCACTCACTGGCTAAGTGGTTTGTTTCTGCTGACCAGGCTTTCGAGATGAGTGATTCTAATTATTGCTTCAACAAAATCACAAATCTCAATGAGTCATGGATATTTGGGTGGCTTTAGAGTAGTTAAAATCACAGATGTCAAATTCACAAATGTTAAAAGCCAACAGCAGGGATCAAAACACAAATGTTTATAGGAGCCAGGCAGGAAATGAGTAACTCAGGATGGATGCAAGACAATAGAGAGTTGTGAAGACTATGTTTAATTGGGAAGAGATAATAATCACTAGCAGAGCAAACATTGATATAGCACCTATTTTGTACCAAGCATGGTTTGAGGAGATTTAGAGATATTGATTTACTTAATCCACAAAAAAAGCCATACGACGCAGTTCCCTTATTATCCTCTAATTTAAAAGTAGAAAAACTGAAACACAATGAATTAAAATTATGAGCACATCCCCCGTATAAATGGGGCATCTACTACTCAAGTACAACTAATTGTTGTCATTAAGATCAGGGATCCAATGTTGTCAAATCTTCTGATTTTACAGAGAAGCTAGGAATTCAAATTTGTATGTTAAATCTTAGTTTAAGATTATGACTTGTAATCTTTAAATATAGTAGCCATATGTAGTCAAACATTTCCTGCACTAAGCCCAGGACACTAGTTTGTGTTTCTGGTATACAATTCACATTTATAGGCATCTTCCACAAGAATGATATCTCTGCAGTTAACACTTTCTGCATTTCCTTTCTGGAAAACTCAGGAATAACAAGATAAAGGATTCCTTAGGGATAAAAACAACAACAACAACAACAACAACAACAAGTTAATGGAATTTCTGGCCCATAAGTGCTTTGAGTAGATGCACACACCCCACTGTTGCTATGTAAGACCACAGTTTCTGAATTCCAGAATGGCAGAAAAAACTATGTGTAGAGCAGGTAAAAGTAAATCAATAGATTAAAAGCATCTTCAATAACTAAACTTTTCAAATTCCTTTCTGAATCACCTACAACCCAAGTCATTACAACCATCTCTACCTTCTTTCCCTCCTCTGATCAACTCCCAAATAAGTGGTGCTGAAGCCACAGAACTGCGTTTGAGGCTACCTACAGTTCCAGTCCACTCAATTCCCACACACCAAAAAACTCTCCAACTATCCCAGGATTAGAGTTATACTCCAAAAAGCCCCTTCTGGATATCTCTACATTTCCAGAGAAGTGATTATTCCTCTTAGGAAGAGCATACAATGCAAGCACAGAAAAGGTCATAGAGTTCAGATCCTTTGTTTTAAGGTTAAAATAATTAAGGCTTAGGAAGACACAGCAATTTGTGGAAGGGTTTATTCTACTAAGCAATCTGTGAGCCTCATTCCAGTGTTCTATCAGTTGACTAGTTGGTTTACTATTTTGGACACTTCAAAGAGAATTTTAGTGTACCATGAAGGCAAATAAGTGCAAAATCTAAGTAGTTTTTAGTTAATTGATTTAATGCTTTTCCCCAGTAGTGATTTCCCCCTTTTTTTCCTCCTGGCTAACCACTACAAATTATTCAAAGACAAACCATTGCTCCTTCCATGAAGCCTTCCAAGACACTCTTTCTTCACATTATGTTCAACTGAGATGTATTTTCTTTGTGCATTCTACATCTACTTTTATCATCTTTCTCATCATACTGTACTACAATGACCCTCTAGGTGTTGGCCCTGGTCCCCTCAACTCCTGCCTCCTAAAGACAATGAATGGACCTTTTTATTGTAACCTAAGGCCCAGCAAGTTACTGACAGATACATAGCGAGCTGTCATAAAAAGAGTTAGTTTAATGAATAAATGAGTAGATCACTTTCTGTCTCCTTTGGGAGACAGAAGAGACAGCTGATATCTCTACCAAGATGCAGAATATCTGAGACTGAACACTGCCACATAGGAAAGAAAGGACTTCCTAAGTGACCTTATTCTTTGAGGGATATAGAAAATGACTCTCTGTTCCCAGACAATTTCTTTCTATGATGATAGACTCTTAATGAAAGTGCAATTGTTTTACCAAGAATGGCTCATCAAACATCTGCAATACTCATTATTTTTTATAGATAATCTCTTTGGAGGTGAACTCTGGTACAAGGGGCATAAGAGGAAAGAAAAAAAAAAGAATTTCCTGGGTTTGACCCTTGTATAGGGTAGGCCCTTGTACTGGGCTTGCTTGCCTGCTAAGAATTAGCTACTGGGGTGTCAGAAACCTGTAATATGTTTGACTAATAGTGTTTTGACGCATTTTGTGCACACTTTGTTTTCTTATTGCTCTTTTGTTTTTCTCTGGGTTCTTTAGCAAAGTTTATTTTCTAAAATTCATCTGGTCTCAGCTTTATAAAGGCAAAGATAATAATTTCCCTAACACCAGTGTCATAAAGAAAGGGAGAGCAGTAGCACCAACAGAAATAAAAATAAAAGAACCTCAAAGGCCTGTATACCTATCCTTTGAAAACCAAGAAAAGACAACTTAAAGAAGATAGAAATAAGATGTGTCATATACCTCCTGAATATGTTTTGTACTTAGTCCTTTCTTTAACTCTTCATGCTCACAACCTCAATTCAGAAGCTTATCTTTTCCAATTTGAGTCATTTCATTAACTCCTCACTGGTCTCCCAGGCTCCACGTCTCACCTGCATTTTCTAATCCATTCACCATGCTTTGGAATGATCTCGCTGAAAAATTATATTACCGCTGACCAAGTTAAGCTTCAGCACCACTGTCTTACTTAAAATATTTAATGTTAAAACACCAACTCAAACACTATCAAAACAATCTTTTAACATTTTCTATGAGGCCAATATTACCCTGATATCAAAACCAGGCAAAGATATCACAAGAAATGAAAGTACAGACCAATATCCCTCATAAATATAGACGCAAAAATCACCAATAACAAAATATTATTAGCAAACTGAGCCCAACAACATGTAAATAGGATTATACACCACAATATGGGTTTACCCCAGAAGAAAAGTTGCTTCCACATATAAAAAGCAATCAATACAGCACATGAATCAAATAATGGACAAAAACCATGTTATTATCTTGACAGACAATGAAAAAGCATGTGTCAAAATCCAACAACTTTGCATGATAAAAACACTTAAACTAGGAATAGAAGAGAACTTCTTTAACTTGATAAAGGACATCGATGAAACACTCACAGCTAATGTCATACTTGATGGTGAAACATCGAATGTCGGGAGGAGCCAAGATGGCCGAATAGGAACAGCTCCGGTCTACAGCTCCCAGCGTGAGCGACGCAGAAGACGGGTGATTTCTGCATTTCCATCTGAGGTACTGGGTTCATCTCACTAGGGAGTGCCAGACAGTGGGCGCAGGTCAGTGGGTGCAGCGCACCTAGCGGGAGCCGAAGCAGGGCAAGGCATTGCCTCACTCAGGAAGTGCAAGGGGTCAGGGAGTTCCCTTTCCTAGTCAAAGAAAGGGGTGATAGACGGCACCTGGAAAATCCGGTCCCTCCCACCCGAATACTGCGCTTTTCCGACGGGCTTAAAAAAGCGGCGCACCAGGAGATCATATCCTGCACCTGGCTCGGAGGGTCCTACGTCCACGGAGTCTCGCTGATTGCTAGCAGGGCAGTCTGAGATCAAACTGCAAGGCGGCAGCGAGGCTGGGGGAGGGGCGCCCACCATTGCCTAGGCTTGCTTAGGTAAACAAAGCAGCCGGGAAGCTCCAACTGGGTGGAGCCCACCACAGCTCAAGGAGGCCTGCCTGCCTCTGTAGGCTCCACCTCTGGGGGCAGGGCACAGACAAACAAAAAGACAGCAGTAACCTCTGCAGACTTAAATGTCCCTGTCTGACAGCTTTGAAGAGAGCAGTGGTTCTCCCAGCACGCAGCTGGAGATCTGAGAACAGGCAGACTGCCTCCTCAAGTGGGTCCCTGACCCCTGACCCCCGAGCAGCCTAACTTGGAGGCACCCCCCAGTAGGGCAGACTGACACCTCACACGGCCGGGTACTCCTCTGAGACAAAACTTCCAGAGGAACGATCAGACAGCAGCATTCGCGGTTCACGAAAAACCACTGTTCGGCAGACACTGCTGCTGATACCCAGGCAAACAGGGTCTGGAGTGGACCTCTAGCAAACTCCAACAGACCTGCAGCTGAGGGTCCTGTCTGTTACAAGGAAAACTAACAAACAGAAAGGACATCCACACCAAAAACCCATCTGTGCATCACCATCATCAAAGACCAAAAGTAGATAAAACCACAAAGATGAGGAAAAAACAGAGCAGAAAAACTGGAAACTCTAAAAAGCAGAGCACCTCTACTCCTCCAAAGGATCGCAGTTCCTCACCAGCAATGGAACAAAGCTGGACGGAGAATGACTTTGACGAGTTGAGAGAAGAAGGCTTCAGACGATCAAACTACGAGCTACAGGAGGAAATTCAAACCAAAGGCAAAGAAGTTAAAAACTTTGAAAAAAATTTAGACGAATGTATAACTAGAATAACCAATATAGAGAAGTGCTTAAAGGAGCTGATGGATCTGAAAGCCAAGGCTCGAGAACTACGTGAAGAATGCAGAAACCTCAGGAGCTGATGCGATCCACTGGAAGAAAGGGTATCAGTGATGGAAGATGAAATGAATGAAATGAAGCGAGAAGGGAAGTTTAGAGAAAAAAGAATAAAAAGAAATGAACAAAGCCTCCAAGAAATATGGGACTATGTGAAAAGACCAAATCTACGTCTGATTGGTGTACCTGAAAGTGACGGGGAGAATGGAACCAAGTTGGAAAACACTCTGCAGGATATTATCCAGGAGAACTTCCCCAATCTAGCAAGTCAGGCCAACATTCAGATTCAGGAAATACAGAGAACGCCACAAAGATACTCCTCGAGAAGAGCAACTCCAAGACACATAATTGTCAGATTCACCAAAGTTGAAATGAAGGAAAAAATGTTAAGAGCAGCCAGAGAGAAAGGTCGGGTTACCCACAAAGGGAAGCCCATCAGACTAACAGCAGATCTCTTGGCAGAAACTCTACAAGCCAGAAGAGAGTGGGGGCCGATATTCAACATTCTTTAAGAAAAGAATTTTCAACCCAGAATTTCATATCCAGCCAAACTAAGCTTCATAAGTGAAGGAGAAATAAAATACTTTACAGACAAGCAAATGCTGAGAGATTTTGTCACCACCAGGCCTGCCCTAAAAGAGCTCCTGAAGGAAACACTAAACATGGAAAGGAACAACCGGTACCAGCTGCTGCAAAATCATGCCAAAATGTAAAGACCATCAAGACTAGGAAGAAACTGCATCAACTAATGAGCAAAATAACCAGCTAACATCATAATGACAGGTTCAGATTCACACATAACAATATTAACTTTAAATGTAAATGGACTAAATGCTCCAATTAAAAGACACAGACTGGCAAATTGGATAAAGAGTCAAGACCCATCAGTGTGCTGTATTCAGGAAACCCATCTCACATGCAGAGACACACATAGGCTCAAAATAAAAGGATGGAGGAAGATCTACCAAGCAAATGGAAAACAAAAAAAGGCAGGGGTTGCAATCCT
The DNA here is from genome assembly GCF_000001405.40 of Homo sapiens. NCBI lineage: Eukaryota > Metazoa > Chordata > Mammalia > Primates > Hominidae > Homo > Homo sapiens. Next base: position 115,316,129 of record NC_000003.12, on the reverse strand, counting down.
AGTCTCTGATAAAACAGACTTTAAGCCAGCAAAGATCAAAAGAGACAAAGAAGGCCATTACATAATGGTAAAGGGATCAATTCAACAAGAAGAGCTAACTATCCTAAATATATATGCACCTAATACAGGAGCACCCAGATTCATAAAGCAAGTTCTGAGTGACCTACAAAGAGACTTAGACTCCCACACAATAATAATAGGAGACTTTAACACCCCACTGTCAACATTAGACAGATCAACGAGACAGAAAGTCAACAAGGATACCCAGGAATTGAACTCAGCTCTGCACCAAGCAGACCTAATAGACATCTACAGAACTCTCCACCCCAAATCAACAGAATATACATTTTTTTCAGCACCACACCACACCTATTCCAAAATTGACCACATACTTGGAAGTAAAGCTCTCCTCAGCAAATGTAAAAGAACAGAGATTATAACAAACTATCTCTCAGACCACAGTGCAATCAAACTAGAACTCAGGATTAAGAAACTCACTCAAAACCACTCAACTACATGGAAACTGAACAACCTGCTCCTGAATGACTACTGGGTACATAACAAAATGAAGGCAGAAATAAAGATGTTCTTTGAAACCAACGAGAACAAAGACACAACATACCAGAATCTCTGGGACACATTCAAAGCAGTGTGTAGAGGGAAATTTATAGCACTAAATGCCCACAAGAGAAAGCAGGAAAGATCCAAAATTGACACCCTAACATCACAATTAAAAGAACTAGAAAAGCAAGAGCAAACACATTCAAAAGCTAGCAGAAGGCAAGAAATAACTAAAATCAGAACAGAACTGAAGGAAATAGAGACACAAAAAACCCTTCAAAAAATTAATGAATCCAGGAGCTGGTTTTTTGAAAGGATCAACAAAATTGATAGACCACTAGCAAGACTAATAAAGAAAAAAAGAGAGAAGAATCAAATAGATGCAATAAAAAATGATAAAGGGGATATCACCACCGATCCCACAGAACTACAAACTACCATTAGAGAATACTACAAACACCTCTATGCAAATAAACTAGAAAATCTAGTAGAAAATCTAGAAGAAATGGATAAATTCCTCGACACATACACTCTCCCAAGACTAAACCAGGAAGAAGTTGAATCTCTGAATAGACCAATAACAGGAGCTGAAATTGTGGCAATAATCCATAGCTTACCAACCAAAAAGAGTCCAGGACCAGATGGATTCACAGCCGAATTCTACCAGAGGTACAAGGAGGAACTGGTACCATTCCTTCTGAACTATTCCAATCAATAGAAAAAGAGGGAATCCTCCCTAACTCATTTTATGAGGCCAGCATCATCCTGATACCAAAGCCGGGCAGAGACACAAGCAAAAAAGGGAATTTTAGACCAATATCCTTGATGAACACTGATACAAAAATCCTCAATAAAATACTGGAAAACTGAATCCAGCAGCACATCAAAAAGCTTATCCACCATGATCAAGTGGGCTTCATCCCTGGGATGCAAGGCTGGTTCAATATACGCAAATCAATAAATGTAATCCAGCATATAAACAGAACCAAAGACAAAAACCACATGATTATCTCAATAGATGCAGAAAAGGCCTTTGACAAAATTCAACAACCTTTCATGCTAAAAACTCTCAATAAATTAGGTATTGATGGGACATATCTCAAAATAATAAGAGCTATCTATGACAAACCCACAGCCAATATCATATTGAATGGGCAAAAACTGGAAGCATTCCCTTTGAAAACTGGCACAAGACACAGATGCCCTCTCTCACCACTCCTATTCAACATAGTGTTGGAAGTTATGGCCAGGGCAATCAGGAAGGAGAAGGAAATAAAGGGTATTCAATTAGGAAAAGAGGAAGTCAAATTGTCCCTGTTTGCAGACAACATGATTGTATATCTAGAAAACCCCATTGTCTCAGCCCAAAATCTCCTTAAGCTGATAAGCAACTTCAGCAGTCTCAGGATACAAAATCAATGTACAAAAATCACAAGCATTCTTACACACCAATAACAGACAAACAGAGAGCCAAATCATGAGTGAACTCCCATTCACAATTGCTTCAAAGAGAATAAAATACTTAGGAATCCACCTTACAAGGGACGTGAAGGACCTCTTCAAGGAGAACTACAAACCACTGCTCAACGAAATAAAAGAGGATACAAACAAATGGAAGAACATTCCATGCTCATGGGTAGGAAGAATCAATATCGTGAAACTGGCCATACTGCCCAAGGTAATTTATAGATTCAGTGCCATCCCCATCAAGCTACCAATGACTTTCTTCACAGAATTGGAAAAAACTACTTTAAAGTTCATATGGAACCAAAAAAGAGCCTGCATTGCCAAGTCAATCCTAAGCCAAAAGAACAAAGCTGGAGGCATCACGCTACCTGACTTCAAACTATACTACAAGGTTACAGTAACCAAAACAGCATGGTAGTGTTACCAAAACAGAGATATAGATCAGTGGAACAGAACAGAGCCCTCAGAAATAATGCCGCATATCTACAACTATCTGATCTTTGACAAACCTGAGAAAAACAAGCAATGGGGAAAGGATTCCCTATTTAATAAATGGTGCTGGGAAAACTGGCTAGCCATATGGAGAAAGCTGAAACTGGATCCCTTCCTTATGCCTTATACAAAAATCAATTCAAGATGCATTAAAGACTTAAACATTAGACCTAATACCATAAAAACCCTAGAAGAAAACCTAGGCATTACCACTTAGGACATAGGCACGGGCAAGGACTTCATGTGTGAAACACCAAAAGCAATGGCAACAAAAGCCAAAATTGACAAATGGGATCTAATTAAACTAAAGAGCTTCTGCACAGCAAAAGAAACTACCATCAGAGTGAACAGGCAACCTACAAAATGGGAGAAAATTTTCGCCACCTACTCATCTGACAAAGGGCTAATATCCAGAATCTACAATGAACTCCAACAAATTTACAAGAAAAAAAACAAAGAACCCCATCAAAAAGTGGGCAAAGGACATGAACAGACACTTCTCAAAAGAAGACATTTATGCAGCCAAAAAACACATGAAAAAATGCTCACCATCACTGGCCATCAGAGAAATGCAAATCAAAACCACAATGAGATATCATCTCACATCAGTTAGAATGGCAATCATTAAAAAGTCAGGAAACAACAGGTGCTGGAGAGGATGTGGAGAAATAGGAACACTTTTACACTGTTGGTGGGACTGTAAACTAGTTCAACCATTGTGGAAGTCAGTGTGGCGATTCCTCAGGGATCTAGAACTAGAAATACCATTTGACCCAGCCATCCCATTACTGGGTATATACCCAAAGGACTATAAATCATGCTGCTATAAAGACACATGTACACGTATGTTTATTGCAGCACTATTCACAATAGCAAAGACTTGGAACCAACCCAAATGTCCAACAAGGATAGACTGGATTAAGAAAATGTGGCACATATACACCATGGAGTACCATGCAGCCATAAAAAATGATGAGTTCGTGTCCTTTGTAGGGACATGGATGAAATTGGAAATCATCATTCTCAGTAAACTATCGCAAGAACAAAAAACGAAACACCGCATATTCTCACTCATAGGTGGGAATTGAACAATGAGAACACATGGACACAGGAAGGGGAACATCACACTCTGGGGACTGTTGTGGGGTGGAGGGAGGGGGAGGGATAGCATTGGGAGATATACCTAATGCTAGATGACGAGTTAGTGGGTGCAGCACACCAGCATGTCACATGTATACATATGTAACTAACCTGCACATTGTGCACATGTACCCTAAAACTTAAAGTATAATAATAAAATAAAATAAAATAAAAAGACTGAATGTCTTATTCTAATATAAGGAAGACGGGGTTATACACTCTTGCTACTCCTATTCAACACTGATTGGAGATTTTAGCTAGGGAAACTAGGCACGAAAAGGAAGTAAGAGGCATCCAGATTGGAAAGAAAGAAGTTAAACCATGTTTTTAGATGACATGATCTTGCACATAGAACATTCTAAGGAATCTATCAAAAACTATGAAAACTAACAAATGACTTTGGCAGTGTTGTAAGATACAAGACAAATATGAAAAAATTAAGTGTATATTCATACACTAGCAATGAGAAATCTGAAAAAAAATTAAGAGAACCAGTTTTGAAATTGCATCAAAAAATAAAATACTTGGGAATAAATTTAACAAAAGAAGTACAGGACTTCTACACTGAAAACTACAAAACATTGTTGAAAAAATTTAAAGAAAAACTAAATATGTGTATAGATAGCCTATGGATCAAAAGACTTGATATTGTTAAAATGGCAATAAAGTTTCCAAACTGATCCACAGATTCAACATAATACCTATAAAAATTCAGCTGTCTTTTATGCATAAATTGACAAATGGATCCTAAAATTCACACTGAAATGCAAGTAACAATTTTTAAAGTGAACAGTTAGAGAACTCACACTTCCAATTTCAAAACTTACTATAAAAGTATAATAAACAAGACAATGTGCTATTGAAATAATGTAAGATATACAGATCAATGGAATTGAATTCAGATTTCATATTAGAAAGCCTGAATTTATGCCCAATTAATTTTCAACAAGGGTGCAAAGATCATTCAATAGTGGAAGAATAGCCTTCAACAAATAGTATTGGAACAACTGGATATCTAATTGCAAAAGAATGAAGTTGAAACCCTACCTCATTCCATCTACAAAATTAATTCAAAATGAGTGAAAGACTTAAATGTAAAATCTAAAACTACTCTTAGAAGAAAACACAGGAGTAACTCTTTGTGACCTTGGGTCAGGCAATGATTTCATGGATATGACGCTTAAAGTACAAGTGGTTAGAGAAAAAACAGATAAATTGGACTTCATCAGAATTTAAAACTTTTCTGTTTCAAAGGACACCTTCAAGAAAGATCAACTCATGAAATGGGAGAAAATATTTGTAAATTCATACATCTAATAAGGGACTTGTATCCAGAATACATAATTATTCTACAACTCTGTAATTAAAATGACATATAAGCCAGGCATGGTGGCTCACACCTGTAATCCTAGCACTTTGGGAGGTCAAGGTGGGCAGAACACGTGAGCCCAGGAATTCGAGACCATCCTGGGCAATATGGCAAAACTCCATCTCTATAAAAAATACAAAATTAACTGGGTATGTGGTAGCTCACACCTGTAGTCCCAGCTACTCAGTAGACTGAGGTGGGAGGATTGCCTGAGCTCAGGGAGGTCGAGGCTGCAGTGAGCCATGATCGCATCACTGCACTCCAGCCACTGCAGCCTGCGTGACAGAGTGAGACTCTGCCTCAAAAAAAGAAAAAATGACATATAACTCCATTAAAAAATGTGTTATGAACTAAACTGTGTACCCCCCAATTTTATATTCTGAAGCCTTAATGTCTTATGTCGCTTTATTTGGAGATATGTAGTATAATTAGGTAATTAAGGTTAAATGATGTCATAAGGGTGGAGTCCTAATCCAATATGGTTTCCTTACAGGAAGAGTTTTGAGGTGCAGGCATAGAGGCCAAATAAGGGTGTGGTGACCAGCAGTTATCCCCAAGCCAAAGAGAAAGGCCTCAGGAGAAACAAAACCTGCCAACACCTCAATCTTAGACTTTCAGCATCCAGAACGGTGAGAAGATAAATTTGTGTTATTTAAGCCACCCACTCTGTGGTTTTTTATGATATGCCTGGCTGACTAACACAAACGAATTTGAATAAACATACAAATGACATACAAATGACCACTAAGTATGTAAAAATCTCAAGATCAGTAATAATCAGGGGAGCACAAATCATAATCACAATAAAATACCACTTCACACTCACTGGGATGGTTGAAATAAACATAGACACTAACATGTGTTTCTAAAACTATGGAGAAATTGGAACCCTCACATACTGCTGGTGGAAACATAAAATAGTGCAGCCACTTTGGAAAACAGTGTGGCAGTTCCTCAAAAAATTAAACATAAAGTTATCCATAAAACCCAGTAATTCCTCTTCTAGCTATATACCCAAGAGAAATATAAACGTAGGCTCACACAAAACTTGTACACAGATATTCATAGCAGCAGAATTCATAATAGCCAAAAAGCCAAACTCAAATATCCAGCAATTGATAAAATTTAAAAGATGTAGTACATCCATAAAATGTAATATTATTCAGCCATAAAAGAAATGAAGTGCTGATACATGCTACAACATGGATGAACCTTGAAAACATTATGTTGAGTAAAAGAAGCTAGCCACAAAATATAACATATTATGAAATTCCATTTACATAAAACATAGTGAATATGTTCCATAAAGACAGAAGTAGATTGGTGATGGCTAGGGGATGGGTAGGGGTAAATGATGGGCAACTATTAATGGGTACAGAGTGTTTTGGGGGGGAATAGTAAAAATGTTCTGAAATCATATTGTGGTGACCATTGCATAACACTGTGAATATAGTAAAAACCACTGAATGAACACCAAAAGATGAATTATCAATAAATTGCAATAAAGCTATTACTTTTAAAAGATGCTTTGGCATCTCCCTTTTGCATGCAGAGTTAAGTCCAGGCTTCTTACTTGGACCTCTTTAATCTAATTACTTATTTTTCCAACCTTGTTCCCCACCACTTCAATATTCTCATCTATTTTCTTTTAATAGAAAGTACTCCTTTTCTTATCTTCCTGGAAGTTCATGCTCATTCTTTTATACCAATCTCAGGGGTCACTTCCTGATGACTTTCCCAATCAGCATATTTGATTATTCTCCAATTTGTACCCCTGGTGTATATTTTACGTATTTCTGAGCACTTACGTTTTTTCTAAGAATACTAGGAAATATTTCCCGTGGTAGTAAAACAAATATTGGGATTTAAAATATATATATTTATTTAAAGTCCACCATTTAAAAAAATGACATGTTTAAAATGAAATGAAATTCCATGGTGTTTGGCATTTATTGATAGTGGGCTACAAATGATCAGTTCAAGATACAATGGTACCTTACCTCCATAATAAGAACAGGGAGAATGAGCTTTAATGGAGGGATTGGACATAAATTTGTCAGAGACTACTTGATTTTATGAAAACATCATAAACTCCATGGAGAAATTTCATATGCCACTGAGTGGAGAGAATTCTGTATAAGCTAAAAAAGTGTTGGAAAGCTAGGACATAAAAAATTGGCAAATGACATGTATTTTTGAAAGATTTGTTCCATCACTCTCTTTTGGTTCCTGCAGATGCTGATGCAACAACTCCTGATCATATGCTGCTTTGCCATAACCTTAAGTTCAAATAAATGGGTATTTCCATGTTTCCATTTCATACAAAATTTAATGCACTTCTTTAGTGCTGCATTAAGCTTGCTGCATCTTTCAGGAAAAGGGTGTACACTACAAAGCCTACATTTTTGGTATGAGAGTTGATAATGTAAAACTCATTGCTTTTGTGTCACTGCATTTTTATATTTATATGTAATTTTTTCCCAATTTTAGGTAAATGATGAGGGATAACATATTAATACATATTTCAACTGACTTAAATGAAAATCTTTCATGATATAAATAATAAAGTCTTCATGAGTGGTTGGGTATATGGAAAATAAGGTATTGATTACTATAGGAGAAATCAAAATTAAGAATAGTAATAAAATTAATTTTTCTTGTTTTTATTTTAAAATAAGAATTTGACAATTTTTTTATACCGACTATTAAAAAGAATTGATATAAGTAAACTCAATTACTCCTTCTCTTCAAAAGTCATTTTGGCAATGGGAATATAACCAAGCCATGACAGGGACATTGTGAATTCTGTATATTAGGCCCAAAAGCAGGTACAATTTATAAGGTCTGATAATGTCAAGGTAAACACAATGATGATAACATATTTATATTGAACTTGCAAGTTAAGAAGTCATTTTCACATACATTACCTCATTTCATTTTCATAACATCCTCTGGAGTAATGAAGTCAGGTTTTATCCCCATTCTATAGATGAAAAAGCTAAAGCCAGAGAGATTAGATAAATTTTACAAGATTAAAAACTCACAGAACCAGAACTCAAGTTTCCTCACTCTTTTCCTGGAGCTTTTTTTACTTTTACTTTGCCATTGTTAAGCTGCAGAACTGTGTAAAATGGAAGGGATGCCAAACTGCTATGAACATTAGGACTGAAAAAGAAAACCTAGAGATTACATTCAGGTACAGGGTATAGAGTCCCTGTAATTCATTAGGCTCTGTGCTGGGTGCTAGGAAAACCATGAAAATATGTTTTTAGGTTTCCTTATACAACTTAATATATGTTATGACAGAAGTAAGGAAGCCGTGGACTCAATGACAAGTGATATTAACGTATACAGAATATTCAAAGAGTAGTTAAGAAACAAAAGATAAGACAATGAAATATGCATAGAAAGACTATCTTTGTGCGAGACAGAGAGAGAGACAAAGTACCTTACACCTAACCCCTTTGTGGAAGGACAGAATTTCCATTCTTGACCTACCACTACAAAAATAACTATAAACCTTAAACTCTATTGATGTTCCACCTACTAACAATGTATGACTTTGTTTTTCATGATCTACTATTACGCTTGCTTCTTTTTAATTCAAACTCTGCCTTCTTGGACTTTTGAGTTTTATAATATTGCTACATTTTCTGTGACATATTAGAAGCTATTATTTATTTAAACTTACCATTTCAAGTTTAAAAGATACTGTCTTAGCTGCAAGGGTTGTCATAACAAAATACCGCAGACAGGATGGCTTAAACAACAGAAATTAATTTTCTCATAGTTCTGGAGGCTAGAAGTCCATGGTCAAGATGCCAGCAAATTCAGCGTCTGGTGGTGGTGCTTTTCCTGGTTTGAAAAAGCTAACTAGCATTTCTCTTTGTCCTCACATGGCCTTTCCTTGGTTCAGGCATTGAGGGAGAGAGGGAGGGACAGCAGAGTGCATGGGAGAGAACACTCTGGTGTCTCCTCTTATAAGGACACTAATCCTGTCAGATCAGGGCCTCACCCTTATAACCTCTTTTAATCTTAATTATTTCCTTAGAGGCCCCATCTCCAAATACAGCCACCCTGGGAGTTAGGGCTTCAAGATATGGATTTTGGTGGGACACAAACATGCAGCTCATGACACACATTTCCTCTTAAAATATTAAATCTTGGAAAGAAAGTATATATACATCTACTTCTGTTCTTCAAATTTTAAAGCCTTTTATCTTATTTCAGATTTATCATCTTTCCAAGTGGGAGTCCCAAGATTTATCATCATCCCAAGTCCTTTTGATCAATTCAGCATCCCTTCTCTAGACTTACTGAGTTTTTTAAAGTCAACTTCATTAAGATATAATTTGCATATAATAAAATGCATCAATTTTAAGTGTCTAGTCATGAATGTTGCCAAATATAACAACCATCACAATCAAGAACTAGAACATTTCTATGACCCAGAAAATCCCTTGTGCCCTTTAGCATGAATCATCACACTTAGGGTACCAGACAGCCATTGATCTGCTTTCGCTCACTATAAATGAGTTTGCCTACTCTAAGTTATCCCACAAATGAAATAATATAGTATATGCTTTTCTATCCAGCCTCTTTCATACAATGTTTTTGAGATTGACCCTCACTGTACATCAGTAGCTCTATCCACTTCATTACTGCATAGTAGTGTTCCATTGTTTGTGTGCATATGTGTACCATTAACTTATCTATTGACATCTTCATAAATGTTGAATTGTTTCCAGTTTTGTGGCATTACAAATAAAGCTACCCTGTGTATAAATCTGGGTGAATATTAGTATATAAATCTTTGTGTGGACATATGTTTTCATTTTCTCGGGTAAATATCTAGGAGAATTGCTAAGTTGCATTGTAAGTGTATCCATAACTTTATAAGAAACTAGCACATTGTTTTTGCAAGTTGGTTGTAGCATTTTATATTCCCACTAACATGAATTTGAGTTCCAATTGCTACATTCCCCACAGCACTTGTTACTACCACTCTTAAAATTTTTGGCCATGTTAATGTATATGTAGTGGTTTCAATTTGTGTTTCCTGATGGCAAATGATATTAAACATTTCACATATTTATTGGCCATTCACATATCTTCTTCTGTGAAAAATCTGTGGAACTCATTCTTAATATATATTATGCACATTTAATTTACATAAATATTTTCTGCCACTCTGTGGCTTGACTCTTTAATTTTTTATTAAAAGCAGGAATTTTTAAATTTTGGTTATGTCCAATTATCACTCTTTTGGTTCATGCTGTCATACCCTAAGAAGTCTTTGTACATTGTCATGTCATGAAGATTTTCTTTTATATTTTAGTAGTGTTACAGATTTATGTGTTCTAGAAGTTTTTTTTTTTTTTTTTTTTTTTTTTTTTTTTTTTTTTTTTTTTTTTGAGACGGAGTCTCGCTCTGTCGCCCAGGCTGGAGTGCAGTGGCGGGATCTCGGCTCACTGCAAGCTCCGCCTCCCGGGTTCACGCCATTCTCCTGCCTCAGCCTCCCAAGTAGCTAGGACCACAGGCGCCCGCCACTACGCCCGGCTATTTTTTGTAGTTTTTTAGTAGAGACGGGGTTTCACCGTTTTAGCCGGGATGGTCTCGATCTCCTGACCTCGTGATCCGCCCGCCTCGGCCTCCCAAAGTGCTGGGATTACAGGCGTGAGCCACCGCGCCCGGCCGTGTTCTAGAAGTTTTATGGATTTATCTTTATGTTTAGATCTCTGATCAATTTGTACTTATTTTTTGTGTATTGTCTGAGGTGAGAATCAATTTTATTTCCAAATGAATATCCAGTTTTTCCAGCACAATTTGTTTAGAAGTGTCCTTTCTTCAAGTGAATTGCTTCAACATCTTCGTGGCAAATCTACTGAGCATATATATGTGGGTTTATTTCTAGTCTTCTAATCTATATATTCATCTGCATGCAATACCACACAGTGTTGATTACTGTTGCTTGATCTTAAGTTTTTTATTGAAATCAAAAAGTGAAAGCCCTGTCACTTTGTCTCTTCTTTTTAAAAAGACTTTTTCCCAGTTTAATCAGGGTTTTTAAAAAATCATGTCTGCATGTTGAATTTTTTCAGATTATTTTTCTGTAACTATTATAAACATGTGTTTTTCTAATTTATTTAGTTTAAAGGGTGAATTGCATTGATGGATTTTTCAAATGCTAAACAAATTTGCATTCCTGAAATACACTCTCTCTGGTAATAAAGTATATTATACCTGTATATATGACATTTTCTGCATCTGCAATCATGAGAAATATTGTCATGTAATTATTTTCTTATAATATGATTATGGTATCAGGAAAGTGTTCCCTCTTCTATTTTCTGAATTTTTTTTGGAATTGGCATTATTTCTTTCTTAAATTTTTGGTAGAATGTACCAGCGAATCCATTTGGATTTGTGTTTTCTGTATGGGAAGGTTTTTAACTATAAATTCAATTTATTTAAAAGACATATCTTGCTTTAGTTAATTTATTCTTCAGTGAGTTTTCACAGTTTGTATCTTACATGGAATTTGTCTACTTCATCTAAAATGTAGAATTTTTGGCATAAGTTTGTTCATATTATTCCCTTGTTATTGTTTACTCTCTGTAGGAATCCAAGTGATATTCCCTCACTCTTTCTCAATACTGGCGGACTAATTTTGCTTCAGTCTGACTCAAAGTTAATTAATTTTTTTTTTTTTTTTTTTTTTTGAGACGGAGTCTTGCTTTGTCACCCAGGCTGGAGTGCAGTGGCACAATCTCGGCTCGCCGCAAGCTCTGCCTCCCAGGTTCACGCCATTCTCCTGCCTCAGCCTCCCGAGTAGCTGGGACAACAGGCACCTGCCACCACTCCCGGCTAATTTTTTGTATTTTCAGTAGAGATGGGGTTTCACCGTGTTAGCCAGGATGGTATCGATCTTCTAACCTCGTGATCTGCCTGCCTCGGCCTCCCAAAGTGCTGGGATTACCGCGCCTGGCCTCAAAGTTTATCAATTTTTAAACAGTTTCAAGGAGTAAGCTTTTGGTCTCATTGATTTTCAATTGTCTTTCATTTTATTTATTTCTTTACTATTTATTATTCTCTTCCTTCTGCTTGCTTTGGGCTTAATTTGTTCTTTTTCTCATATCTAAAGGTGGAGTTTTAGATGACTGATTTAAAACATTTCTTCTTTTCTAATACAAATATTTCATACTCTAAGTACCTCAGTAAACTCTCTTTACTTGCCTTTCACACAATTTTTTGTTGAGAGACAGTCTCTCTTTGTCACCCAGGCTGGAATGCAGTGGTGTGATCACTGCTCACTGCAATCTCCAACTCCTGGGCTCAAGCAGTCCTCCACCTTAGCCTCCCAAGTAGCCAGAGCTACTGGTATACACCATCACTCCTGGCTAATTTTTTTTTTTTTAAGAGATAGGGTCTCCCACTCCTGGGCTCAAGCAATCCTCCACCTCAGCCTCCCAAGTAGCCAGAATTACTGGTGTACACCACTACTCCTGGTTAATTTTTCTTTTTTTTAGAGATGGGGTCTTGCTATGTTGCCCAGATTCTAGATCTCGTGATCCTTTTACCTCAGCCTCCCAAAGTTCTGGGATTAGAGGAGCCAGCCACCATGCCCCATCCCTTCCACACATTTCTATTTGCTGTTTTGATTTTTATTCCATTAAAATTAGTTTCTAATTCACCTTAAGGTTTATTGTATAACCCACAGATTATTTAGAAAACGATTGCTTAATTTCCGAATATTTGAGAATTTTCTAGGTACCTTCCTGTTGTTGAATGTCGTGGTCCAGAAATATGTCTTGTATAATGTGAAGCCTTTTAAATTTGTTCAGATTTGTTCTATGGCCTCAAATATGATTTATCTTGGCAACTGTTCCAGGTGCACATGAAAACATTGTGATTCTGCTATTGTTATTCCATAAATGTCATTTATTTCAAATTGGTTGACAGTGTTGTTCTGGTCTTTCACATCCTCATTGATTTTCTGTCTACATGCTCTATCATTGTGAATTTGTACATTTCTTCTTTCAGTTCTATCAGTTTTCCCCTGAAGTATTTTGAAGCATGGTTGTTTATACATACACATTTAGAATCGTTTTTACGAATTAATTACTTTATTATTGTGGAGTGCCCATTTTTATCCCTGGTGATATGTCTTGTTCCAAAGTGCACTTTGTTTTTTATTAATATAGCCACTCCACCCTCTTTTCATTAGGGTTTCCATGGTATATATTTTTTCATCCTTTTACTTTTAACCTAATCATGGCTGTATATTTAAAGCAGGTTCTTTGTATACAACCTATAATAATGTCTTGCTTTTTTATTGGAGTTTTTAAACCATTTTCGTTTAATGTAATGATTGATATGTTGTATTTGAATCTATAATCTTTCTGTTTTCCACTTGTTCCATCTACTCTTCCTTTCTTTATTCCTCTTTCATTACCTTCTTTTGGATCAATTATGTATTCTTTTTATAGCATATTATCTCCTCTATTGACTTATCTTTTGACCAACCTGCAGAAATATGATGGACACCCAACCAAAAATTGCTTCAGATGTCGAGACTAACAGTGGCCCACAGACACCAAAAGGTAAGAAAAGATTATTATTCATATTTAAGGCTATCTGCAGAGAGCAGGGAAGCCCCCCAGAAAGTCTGAAAATGGCATTAAAGAGCAGAGAAAGGAGATTAGCTTGGAGTTTTTGTGGTGGTTAGATGGTGGTGTTGGGGTAATGGTTCCTGCACAGTGGGCAGGGCTTGTGTGGTTTGAACTTCGCAAAGTGCCAAAGGAAGGAGCACCTAGAATTTCTTATTAGCTTGCCCAAAAGTGGGCAGAAGAGGAAGATAAGGGAATGAGGCTTAAAATCTGTCAACAAACATTTTTAAATGGAGTTAGATGCTTTATTTCAGCTTAACTTCTCTGTACTTTTTGTGGTTGCTCTAAGATTTACATAACACATCTTTCATTTATCATAATCTACTTTCAAATACTATGATAATATTTCATGTATAGAATAAGAAACTTAAAGCAATATACCTCCATTTCCTCTCTTCTAGTCTTTGTATTATTGCTGTCATTCAATTCATTTCTACATGATAGAAGCCTCAGAATACATTGTTACTATTTTTATTTAGACATTTATCTTTTAAAGTTCTTATAAACTAAGGAACATTTTCTTTTATTTATTATCAGTTTTACAATTTTCAGGGCTCTTCTATTTTTGTACAGATTCAGATTTCCATCTGGTATCATACTCTTTCTGTATAAAGAAATTTCTCTAATATTTCTTGGTGCACAGTTCTGCTGGCAATAAATTTTCACTTTTTTTTGTTTTTACTCTAAACATATTTTTATTTAACATCATTTTTTAAACATGTATTCTCTGGGGCCAGGCACAGTGACTCACGCCTGTAATCCCAACACTTTGAGAGGCCAAGGTAGGAGGAGCCTGGGCAACATGGCAAGACACTGCCTCTATGAAAAATTTGAAGATTAGCCAGGCACAGTGGCACACACCTGTAGTCCCAGCTACTGATGTGGTTGAGGTGGGAGGATCGCTGAAGCCCAGGCTGCAGTGAGCAGTGATCACGCCACTGCATTCAAGCTCGGGCAACAGAGTGAAACCTCAACTCAAAAAAAAAAATTTTTTTTTTCCTCTGGATATAGAATTCTATTGATCAGTTTTTCCTTTTGGTACTTCTATTATGCCTCTCCATTGTCTTTTGGCTTGCATATTTGTTAGGAGAAGTGTGTTGAAATTCTTATTTTTGTTCCTCTAAATGCACTGTTAGTGGCTTCTCTGCCTGTCTTTAAGATTTCTCTTTATGTTTCATTCTCATTATTTTTACTGTGATGAGTCTAGGTGTAGGGGTGTAGGTGTGTGTGTGTGTGTGTGTGTGTGGGGGAGAGAGAGCGAGAGATTTGTTGTTGTATTTATCCTCATTGGTATTCACTGAGCCCCTTCATCTGTAATATATTGCCTTTCATTATTTTGGGAAAACTCTCAGTCATTATTATTTCTCCTTCTTTACTCTTTCTCTCCTCTCTGTGGAAATCCAATCACATGAACATTACACCATTAGATATTATCCAATTCTTGGATAATCTATTCTTTCTTTTCACATTTTTTTCTGTTTATGCTTCACTTCAGATAATTTTAGTTGTCCTATTTTTAAGTTTACCAATTACCTTATCTTCTGTGTCAACTCTTTTGATAAGCTTCTGTAATAAAGAAGGTTGGGCCAGCAGCAGTGGCTCACACCTGTAATCCCAGCACTTTGGGAGGCTGAGGCAGGTGGATTGCTTGAGCTCACGAGCGCAAGACCAGCCTGGGCAAAAAATTTAATAATTAATCAGGCATAGTGGTATTTGCCTGTAGACCTAGATACTCAGGAGGCTGAGGTAGGAGGATTATCTGAGCCTGGGAGGTCGAGGCTGCAATGAGCCATGATCACATCACCGTACTCCAGCATGTTGACAGAGAGAGACCCCCATCTCAACAACAAAAACAAAACAACATACTCTATCTTTTTTGATGTTTGATTGTTGACAACTTTTGAGCTTCATACCTTCCTTTTCATTCTTCCCCACAGCTGTGCAGGCTGAGAGGAAAACACAAGTGCTCTTTCCTTTGGTGCTGATGGGAGGTTCATATACAACACACAAGCCACAGCCCAAGGGCAGAAACCATCACGTTGCTCCTGCCACTTATCCAACATAAAATAAACTTATTGTTACAAAGTAAAAACTACCATAAAATAAAATCCACCATGAAAACTTACCATAAATCTTTCTCATTATGTAAGTAATAAACATTTCATGCACCCTTTGTATGTGCATGGTATCACCAGTCAGGGCATCTGAACAAAATTTTGGATAAGGATCTATGGGCTTCTAATACTAATCCTTTTTATCTGATTTTTTTTATTTTGAGGATTTTATTTAACTCCTTTTTGTACTTTCTGTCTCTGCTGAAATTCCCCATCACGCGTGTTGCTTACCTTTTCTACTATATCTTTTAATATATTAGTTATAGTTATTTAAAAGTTGCTGTATACTAACTGCAACATCAGGGCCATCTCTGAGTCTGGTTCTGTTGATTGCTTTATGTACTGACAATTTTGTTTATTTCGTAATTTGAATGGCGTCCCTCACATGTAGAAGAAAAACAGGCTGCGCAAAGTAGTATTTAACCTGGAAATGGGCATGTCTTTTTTTTGTCAGGCATTT
Source organism: Homo sapiens (assembly GCF_000001405.40). Taxonomy (NCBI): domain Eukaryota; kingdom Metazoa; phylum Chordata; class Mammalia; order Primates; family Hominidae; genus Homo; species Homo sapiens. Next base: position 115,299,857 of record NC_000003.12, on the reverse strand, counting down.
AGTCTGGGGTTAATCAGGCACTGGGCTGAATTTTCAATTCTTTGTCATTGTTGGAGACACCTTCAGTAAAACACAGACTTCAAATTCCTCCAACAGAGAGTGATGTTACTTAGTGCTTAATGTGGGATCTAAGGTGCTCAAGGGTTTTTCTCAGTGTTCCTGCTCCATATCAGCTTTTGGTAGTCCCAGTTCACCTGAACAACACAGGGGTCTCTTTCAAGGCCCTGGCTTCAACCCCAGAATTAGAAACCTATTGCTTATTACTCAGTATTGGACTTGTATTAAAGGCAGGATTTTTTTCTCCATTACCAGAGTCCAGACTATGTCTTGGGCAGGCTTTGTTTGCCTGGGCCTATGATGTCAAACTTTCTGGGCTATCTTCATGCAAACTCTAATTTGTATCTTTAAGAGTGTTTTCTATTGCTCCCCCTGTGATATCAGTGTAGAATCATGTGGCTAGGAACTTTTGTTCCTATGCCTCCTTCACAAGTGGTGTTTCTTTATCTGAGTCCAGAGTGAAAGAGTTTTCTACTCTCCCCCAGAGCAGGCAGTCTTGTCCTTTACACTCCCCACGAGAAACAGTGCATCTTTACCTCGTCTCTTGGAGAAAGGCGGTTTTCTGCTCCTCACCAAGCAGCCTTTGCTTCATAAAAGAGAAAGGTCCAGGCAAATGGGTGGGTTTTATATATAAAGGATCTCTCTCTGCTCACCTGCCTTGCTCCCAGTGTTTTTCATGAGAATCCAGTGCAGACCCATGGGAAAGAGCTTGTAAATGTGTACAGACTTCTCTTGTATCTGTGGCTTCCAGTTAATCTAAATTATCATTCTAGCCCAGATTTGACCTTTAGTATTTTTTTTTTTATTTCAGCATCTTTTTTCTAAACGATTTGTGTGTCCTTTTTTCCCCCAATTTTCTGTTTGATTACAGTGTGAGGGCAAGTCTGAAATCAGTTTCTCTGGCGTGGCACAGACAGGTGTTTCTTCAATTTGCTATTATTTTTAAATGTACATAGAGTAATGTGGCATTGACTGATTAATATGGTGAGATGGAACTTCCTTATTAAAAGTCATTCTTTTCTAGATTATATCCAGAACACTTTTGAAATCTTTGCCAGATTTAGAAAATCATGAAAATTTCTTCAAGAAACTGTTTGTAGTTCGTATTTTACTTTTTAAAGCTAGAATTTATTTCAAATTCTTCATGAAATGGAATGATCCGAAAGGGGCTAAACTGTAACTCTCTTACAGTGGGTAAGGAGAAAAAAAACCTTCAAAAATCACTTGTAAAGTCTCCCTTTGAAGGATAAAGCATTTTTGACTCTCTGACAATGGCCACCTTCAGAACCATTGTTATGTTTTGAATGTTTTTCCTCTCCAAAACTCAGGTTGAAACTTAATCTTCAACATGGCAGTAGTGAGATGTAGGGCCTTTAAGAGATGACAAAGTGGTGTGAGGGCTCTGCCCTCATGAACGAATTAATCAATTCATGGATTAATGGGTTAATGAATTAATGGGTTACCATGGAGTGGGCTGGTAGCTTTATAAAACGTGGAAGATAGACCTGAGCTAGCATGCTCAACCCTCTCACCATGTGATGCCCTATACCACTTCAAGACTCCGCAGAGTTCCTCCCAGCAAGAAGGCCCTCACCAAATGCAGCCACTCAACCTTGGACTTCTCAGCCTACATAACTATAAGAAATACATTTGTTTTCTTTACAAATTATCAGTTTCAGGCATTTTATTATAAACAACAGCAAAAGGACTAAGACAACCATGGACTCATTAAGAATAGCCTTGCTGAGGAGGGTTAAATAACCCCGCTATTTAATGGAAAATTGATATAAAATCACTTAATTTGAAAGATTTAGAAAGAAAAGCATTCTGATCCACTGGTAAGTAACAGAAAGGGAATGCCAGCACCAGGCAATCCCTGGAATATAACTTTAAACTGAGCGCTAAGGCTGAAGCCTCAGAGCCTCAAGCATGGGACTCCCTACTCTGAGCATTGGATAAGCATAGCCAGACAGCCTTCATCTGTGCTCCATTTTGCAGCAAGAACCCACAATAGTCATAAATTAACCAGACCCCAATTCTCTTTCCACAGGAGAATGCTAGGCAAATCCCTCTGTAGGACTGTGTAACTAGATTATAACAGTAAGTCTTGTGATTCTTCAGGAAGTCTTGATTTGCTGCTATAACAGAAGTAGAGGCTCTAGTGGTTAATTCAAAATATAAAATTATATGACCATATTTGTGCACCACAACTACAGCACACATCATATTACCCATAGACTTGAGTAGTCTTAGTGAGGATGTCATAAGGAAAGAGTTTCTCTAGTGTATTTTTATCTACTTAAAAAAAATCACCTGACCACAGTGGCTCATGCCTATAATCCCAGCACTTTGGGAGGCCAAGGCAGGATGATTGCTTAAAGCCAGGAGTTTGAGACACGCCTGGGCTACATGGCAAGCTAATACAAAAAAATTAGCTACGCATGGTGGTGCAGGCCTGTAGTCCCAGCTATGGGGGGCTGAGGCAGGAGGATCTCTTGAGGTCAAGAGTTCAAGGCTGCAGTGAGTTGTGTTCATGCCACGGCACTCCAGCCTCGGTGACAGAGTGAGACCTTGCCTCAAAAAACAAAAACAAAAAATCATTCAGTTAACACAACAAATTCTGTACTATCTTTAGTAGTTCACTACAGAAAGTTATCTTATAAGAGTTAGCTTTTGGAAATATCTAACTTTCTAAAGTAAAAAATGTATAATTACATGCAGTACCATGATTCTTATCATGGTATTCTATTTTTTAATTTCTGTGATTATTTTAGCAATGGGTCTGTCTGTACTCCCTGTTGATTTTTTCTTTAAAAACGCTTCTAAAACTTAATGCTCAGATCCCTGTCAACTTTAGTGAGAAAAAGCTACGTAGCGTGGATAGATTTTCTTGCATTTCACTTGTGTGTAAATGACTTCATTGAGCATCACAGTTTTTAAAGGATGAATGGAAAAAGGAATTCAATGATATTTTGCATAATCTTAATTTGGCAAAAGAGTGTTGCAAAAATGGCACAGAACAGTAATACTGTTTTAAAATAAGACTCTGATCAATAAAATTAGCATCAGTATATTAGATACTCAGAAGAAAAATGTAAATCAGATTTCCAACATTTGCCCTGTTTCAACTCTGTGCTTATTATTTTCAAATGTTTGTCTCCTGTCTCGATATCGTCTCTGAGTTTCCAATTTATATGTTCATATGCCTACTTGGTATGAGTACTTAGGTATCTAACAGAGACCCTAAATTTCATGTGTCCAAAACAAAACTCTCAGTTTCTACTCCTGCTCACACTAACTCAATTGGTTTTTCCAACAGTCTCCTCCATGGCCCCTACTTGCCCAAGCTAAAAACCCAAGAGTCATCTCTCAACTTTGTAGTGGACACCATTTGACATGAAACTATTCTCTGCATCATGTTTGGCACTCGGTTGCCTCATTTGTTAACCCTAAAAATGTTCAAATCCAATTTGAATTCTTTATTGAAGGGTAACAACAGAGTGAGTCCTCTTCTAATAATGAGGAGATGATTTCCCATTTTCAAGACCACAGTCAGGTTTAAAGGCTCTTGTCCCCCATTAATTCTATCAAACTCCCTTAGCTAAGTCAAGGCATTGCTTTAGTAGCACCAACTTGGTAGCTTAAACAATAGAAATTTACTATTTCACAATTGTGTAGTCCAGAAGTCCAAAATAAGTTTTACTGGGCTAAAATCAACATGTCAGCAAGGCCACCCTCTCTTCAGATGCTCTAGCGGGAAACCTGTTCCTTGCCTCCTCCAGCTTCTGGGAATTGCAGGTGTTCTTTGGCCAGTAAATGCTTCACATTTGGAGTGAATGCTTCACTGTAGTCTCTGCCTCTGTTGTTACCGTTGCTTTCCCCTCATCTGTCTGTGTCAAATCTCCCTCTGGATGAAAGAGTTTCTTTATGCCCTTTTATAAGGATACTTGTGATTGCATCTAGGGCCCACTCAGATAATCCAAAACAATCTCTGCATCTCAAAATCCTTACTTTAATCACACCCACAAAACTCCTTTTTGCCACATAAGATAACACTTATCTGTTCCAGGTATTAGGATGTGGACATCTTCTGGAAGAGGGCATTATTCAGCCTACCAAAATCATACAGTACGTATTTCAGACAATGACTTTAAACGTATCACTGATTGGATGAAGAGACAGAGGATCTGATTACAAATTCAACTCCAGTCATTTATTTGCACATCTAGAAGTTGAACTGATGCCATCTTCTCCTAAATAGTAAATAAGAATAAAATCCTTACAATTTTTTTCCCAACCTGTCATCACCATTTATTATTACCTACAAGACAGTTACAAATAATTAGTGCTTATATTAACACCTACAAATAATATATTCTTTCTGGATTATTCCAAGACTTGTCAGCTGCTTGTCACTGAAGACATGCATTTGACAGTTTCACCCAATTAGTTAAAAATCATATTTGTCTTTTCAAAGGAATGTCTCACAGTTAATCTTTTTTGTTGATTTTCTACTGTTTTTAGAGAGGAGAATTGTACTCCAGATATGGTTTCTTATACCACCTTTCTTTTATGATATTCAGGGAACCATAGTGATTTATTTTTATTTCTAGTCATTTTGTGACCAGATTTTTCAGATGTCCATATTTGAAAGACAACAGTTGAAAAGAGGCTCTTTTTAAGACCTGATCATTAAGTTTAAGGTCATGGATTGAGAAAGTTCAGTTTAGTGAAAAGATCCCAAAGTTTGTAATCATAGAATCAGGGTTTCTGTTCTGACTCTGCCATTCCCTCAGCTCAAGGCCTTTATCTGCAAAATGGGAGTTGTTATAATAAAACCCACAAAACAAGTTGTTAATACAATTAAAGTAAATAAGTATATTTCTGGAACTGTAAAATACAATTCAAGTTATAATTATGGTCATCTGAGATGCTCCTCATAGATTTTTTTGAAATAGGGTGTTATTTCAAATGTCTCTGTTTATTAATTTATACTTAATCATTCATTTAACATCTACAGAGTAGCTACTATATGTCAGATGCTTTTCTTTGTGCTAGGGTAACACAGTAATGAATAAAGCAACTAAGTCATTGCCTTAATGGCACCTGTGTTCTAGTAGAGACCATTAAATGCTAAAGCCCTATCTTTAGAGGCTATTGCTAAGAAACTTACCCTTTCAGATGTCTGTTCTGTTCTGGCTTATGGGGAAGTCCTACATGCACTCATTTTTTGATTCACTCAACAAATCATTGTGCATCTACAATGTGTCAGGATTGTTATAAATGCATTTATCAAAATGACAGTCCCTTAAATGGTTTAATCCAGTAGGTGAAACAATAAACTGGCAATGATACCAGAAAGGGAACAGAAAGAGTACAGCATTCTATAGGAGCTCCTCAAGACAGCATCCAGCCCAAGGCAGGAAGTCTTGTCTTCTCAGAGTTAATAACATCTAAGCTGAGTCTTAACAACTAACAAGATTTGTGAGGGAGCGGTCAGAGACATTATGGCAGATAACTATCAAGATCAGCAGTTAATGTGGGCTTCGGGGCAGTCCCAGGTGAGAACATTGTGGCTTGTGTCTATTCAATTGCAGGGCATTCAAATAATATCCTCCACAAATTTTGAAAGGATTCTCTTGCCCATCCTCCCCAATAATAAAGTACAGTTGCCCCCTCAGTATCCATGGGGTTCCACGATCCCTGCAAATACCAAATCTGTGGATGCTCATCTTATATCAAATATATTTGCGTATAATCTATGCACATTTTCCCATATACTTTAAATTATCTCTAGATTACTTATAACACCTAATACAATGCCTACACATCACTTCATTTGCTTGGATTCAAAGTAGTTCTTCGTGCAAATTCAAATTTTGTTTTTTGGAAATTTGTGGATTTTTAAAAAATATTTTTGATACCCAGTTGGTTGAATCCACAGATGCAGAACCCACATATACAGAGGGCTGACTGTGCTTAGTGATCTCATTTTTACATTCCTTATTATCAGTATTTGATCACTGTTTGTTGACATGCTAAGGAAATGCCCTCTTTATATTCTAATTGGAGAACTGAATGGGGAGTAAAAAAAATTCCCAATTGGCTAGGTTGGAAGGGCCTTTTTGAAACTAACTTTGCTTGGTAAGATCAGGCAAGTTTTTCACTACAGAACTGGCTTTGACATTTGTCTTGATACATGCTTCTAAGTAACTGGCCTATAGTTTCTTATAATTCCCTTGACTAATAATAGAAACCTAACTAGGGCAGAGCTAAGAATGCTGATGGAGACTAAATAGATTCAGCTGTGAGTTTTGGCAGCAGTAGGGACTAGGCCTCAAACTGGCCAGTTCTGGCACTATTGACTGATCAGGTATTTTTTATTTCCAATTTAGCCACTTCACCCTATTACTTGGAAAGCTGCTGACTGGGCTTGTATCGTTGGTGCTATTAATTGAGCTGAATATTTATTTGGGTAAAATATTAATACTATTTTTGTATCTTTGCCCCAAACTTATTTTTGAATACTTTGAAAAAACCATTGGATGATTCTTCAACCTAAATTAGACATAACCTTTCATGCTGCAAAAAGCCAGATATTGTTGTAAAATGGTCTGTACAGTGACTAAATTTCTATATAACCAAAGCTTATTTTGCATTATGTCTGGGTTTTAGGTTATATGGTGGTCTTCCAAATTAAATTTTTTTTATGATGGTGTGTGGTTCTATCACCCTTTCATGAGCAGTTTATGTTGTATTGAGAATTCTCGAGACTGTGGTGTTGGTAGAAATCTGACAGTTTTATTCCCTTGCTCACAAAGAGGGCATTATCTCCTTTTTTATGGGAACATTGGTGGTGATTACCCACTGGATTGCTGTCTGAATGTAAAACATGCCTTTATTATGACTTCTGGCTTTTGTGAAGGTGTCATCTTTTGATTCAGACTCGAAGGGCTGGACCAAGGTAGTTAAACTTGACAATGAATTTTTGAATAAATTACTAACCCCATAAAGTATTCAATGATGGAGGTGGTTCTATGACAGGATACCCCCCTTTTCTTCTCTGTGGAGATGACTGTTATCCCTTCATTTGAAGTATTAAAAATGGCCTTGGTTGTTTGGGTGATTCATCATGAAAAGAATTGGTTCTTAGTGTTACTTCCATTACCTCTCCTCTATCATCCATAGGCTCGACACCTCACATTTTACTGGTATAATTTTCCCCATCCAGACTTGAAATCACTCTGATTAGGTTTCTTTTTCAACTGAGTGCCTTATTTTCCCAAGGGGATTTAAAATTTTCCTCCTATTGACATAGTGCACCAAGAACGATGGTGCCAAAGCACAGGGCTCTTCACACAATTTTTTTTAATGCAGAACATATTTGTACTAGGGAGACAGCTACAAAAGCCTATAGGTAGTTCTAGCATTTGGAGGAAACAAAGCCTTTGGCAAAAAACCATCTGATGAGATGCCAACACTGAAAAGCTGTATTTCCACCAAGTAAAATTTAGCATAGTGCCAGTAATAAGGGCACTGAAGCAAGAATCAGCTATGCCATGGTAGAACAAAATGGAACAAGAGCAACGTAAGATATGTAGAGGTGGGTTTAAGATAGAGGACAGTTCTTTTAGGCCCACTAGTTAATGGTTATCACCTGTTCCCCTCTGAGGAGAAAGTGGAAATTTATATCAGCTCTTATCATATGTCCTTTAGTTTTTTGTATATGGGTATGTTCATTTCCATTTGATGCTGTCATAAATTACCACAAACTGGGTTGCTTGAAACAACATAACTTTGTTATCGAACAGCTCTGGAGATTGAAAGTCCATGGCTTTGTTCCTTCTAGAAGCTGTGGGAAGGACTCCCCTTCCTTTTCAATTGCAGCTTCTGGAGGCTGCCCACATTCCCCCATCCTCTGTTTCACTCTCCACATCTTCCTGTCTGATTATGACTCTCCTGGGTCCCTCTTTTAAGAATGCTTGGGATTACACTGGGTACACCCAGATAATGCAGGATAATTTCCCCATCTCAAGGTGCTTAACATAATCACATCTGCAAAGTGCTTTTTCCACGTAAGGTAACAAACTCACAGGTTCCAAGGATTCAGATGTAGATATCTTTGAGGGGCCATTATTCAGCCTAACATGAGGGTAAACTCTCAGCAGTTCTTTTCACAGATTGAGTGTTAGGAATAGTCCACAAATCCTTCAGGTTATCTTTATAGTTTAGTGTGTCTCTACCTGACTCAGATTCATCTGTGGCACCTGGGAGTCAAATCTGAGTAAGCAACATCCTACACAAAATTGTCTAAGTCGGATTTCGTTTTATATATAACCCATGTGTGCTACATAGTACGCAATATATTCCTTCATTCAAGTCACTAGTATAAATTTTGAACTGGATAATGTCAAAGACAGAGCCATTTCCTAGTAAAATGAAGACTTCCCTCCTTAAATATTGAAGAGCAACTGTTAGACTACAAGTTATTAATTCACTTACTAATCTATGAAGTGTTTTACCATTTTACTCTAAATAACAACAAAAAATTATCAAACCCTTCACTGAAATCAAGAAGTGCTAAAGCAATTACTCTTTCCTGAATTACCACCAATCACTATTTTAAAGTGATATGGCTTCACTAGTTCTTCATGAATGTATATTGATTGCTAGTGATCATCGCATTCTTTTCCAAAGGTTCACAAGCCATCTATTTAAAAAATCCAATCCCAAATGCTGATAAGAATTAAAATTAAGTTGTTTAGTTCATATTTTCTGGCATTACCATCATCTCCCTTAAAGGACTGAAATATCATCTGTAAGTCTTATGTTTTCCTGCACCATTCTTAGAAGCCATAAACCTACAATTTCTTCTTATTCTACATAGTTAAAATAATCATTTTTGTCATCCTTTTTTCTCTCTCTCTATAGCTCACCTCATTTGCCTCACTTGAGCTTTAATCTTCTTGGTGTTTTTCTCACATTCCTGTCATATTTTTATACTTTTCTTTCATTATATGTCTCTCTTTATATCTTTTGTAAAAGTCTTTTATGAAACAACTTAGAATGAAATACCTATGCAACCACATTATTTTCCTTAGATGCCTTTCTTTTGCCCTCCTCATTGAACTATTCAAAATGTTTGTACAGTCAGAATTATACTTATAGAACTTTCCACCCTTCATCATCTATTTCCCTTCTAGAGTCTCAAGGAAACTTTTTAGCAATTGGCTGGCAAAGTCTATGGCACATGAATAAACAAACCAGCATTCCCTTTCTTTATATTAGGCATTTACTGTTTCCTTAATAATCAGTTTTTCCTTCTTAGTTAAAATCAAGTCCAGGATGGTATTTGCCTAAGTTGACTGTCTTACTTTCATAATAAAATAGTCTCCTTGTCAAAAGTTTATCAGATCCCCTCTTTTTAGCCAAATTAGACTTCCAACAGATTTCAAAAAAGCTGAAGTTTCCTGCAACACAAATATCTATCTTTATAATCTGCCATAGAGAAGCATATTTTGTCTGTTCAAGAAGATATCACACAATATCATTTCAACCTAACTCTCTTTCTATATCATCCAACTGCCTTCTGCCATGCTTAGAACCTCAAGTTCATAAATTTGTATACAGTTGATATATTTTTTCTGGGAGGAGCCACTCACCAACTCTTCTTTTTAATCTATTTCTAGTTGCCATATTCCTATCAAAAATCTAAACTCACAATGTACAGTAATGCCTAAAATTGTGTTAACTCGTTGACAACATTTTGGGTTCAATTTATTGACCATTTTCTGTGGGCTAATTATGCATCAGTGTGAGGCCTAAGTATCTTTCAAGATTGGTGTCACGTTATTTTCATTTGATAATTCCTGCTCACAATAATTATTTTTTTTTTTTAAAGAGGGGAGGGCCTGGCATGGTGACTCATTCCTTTAATACCAGTGATACCAATGCTATGGGAGGCTGAAATGAGGGGACTGCTTGAGGCCTGGGGTTGAGACAAGCCTGATCAACATAGTGAGACCCTGTTCCTACAGAAAAGAAAAATTAGCCAGGTGTGATGGCATGCACATGTAGTCCTAGCTACTTGGGAGGCTAAGGTAAGAGTATCACTTGAGCCCAGTAGTTGGAAGTTGCAGTGAGTTGTGATCACATCACTGCACTCCAGCCTGAGTGACAAAATTTTTAAAAAGTTACCACTGCATACAGCCGATGTTAAATAGAAACTACATCCCCAAAGACTACCAATAAAAACTAAATATATTTTGACACACCAGCACAGAATATTGTGACTGTATAAAATAAAAAAATAAAAAGTATGTGGATAGTGTTGATACATGGAAATAACTACAGCCCAGCATATGGGGAAATGTTACAAGAAAGAAGCAAACCAACACATTGATTCCAACTATGTGAAAATGAATACATTTAAATTAACAGCCATTAGAAGATCATTTGGAGACAGTAAATAGTTGTATCTTCAATAGCAGTTTGAGGTATCAAGAAATCAAGATTTTAAAACTGCAAATAAGTAACCAAGTAGTCCATATTTTATTTATATATGTACACAAAGACAACTTCATCCAATTGAAGTCTACTTCAGTGTCGTCATTAGCTCAGCCAGATGTAATAGCTGAATCCCTGAGACTCAAGTAAAGCAGACTGAGATCAAAGGAAACGAAAAAGATAATTCATGTGCTGTTTTTAGTCTCTTCAATGTATATCCAGAAAGATCAAATATTTTAATTGGGGGTTTTATGAGCTCCTAGTTTTCTCAAATTGCAACTAAAACTAATCTTCATCAAAATCATCTAGCATTTTTGTTAAACATACATTTTTCTTGTCCTTACCAAGGCCTATTCCAATTACAAGAACTAAAGCCTGAAGCCTGACACTCTACCTTTGTTGATGAGCACCTCAGCTGATTCATAGGAATTCTAAATTTTAAGAACTATAGCTGGCTGGGCATAGTGACTCACAACTGTAATCCCAACACTTTAGGAGACTGAGGTGGGCAGATCACCCAAGGTCAGGAGTTCGAGACCAGCCTGGCCAACATGGTGAAACCCAGTCTCCACTAAAAATACAAAAATTAGCCAGGTGTTGTGGTGCACCCCTATAGACCTAGCTACTCAGGAGGCTGAGGCAGGAGAATCACTTGAACCTGGGAGGCGGAGGTTGCAGTGAGCCAAGATGGCACCATTGCACTCCAGCCTGGGCAACAGAGCAAGACTCCATCTCAGAAAAAAAAAAAAAAAGAAGAACTATAGAATTCTTATAGAAGACTTTAAGAGATCTATGAATCCCCAAATCCTGAATTTATGAGAGTTTTTCTGGGAAAAGCATTCATGGCTATCATGAGATTCTTCATGTGTTCATAACTCCCAAAAAGTCAATGGAACCAGAAATTTTAAATGTCTCTCCCATCAACATACTTTCCCACCATTGATGTAGACAATACAGTAAGTTTTGAATCATCCAGCATGCTTTGGTTTATTTGGTTAAAAAATTAACCCCTCTTCTTAACTTTTCTTGAACAGTTAGCTAGCTTTTTAATAGCTAGCATTCAACGTAAACTTAGCAAACAATTATTTTTTAATTTTTGGCTTAAATAAGATTTATTCATGGAATAAACTATCTGAAAGACCTAATTGCCACACCAGTTGATCAAATTCACAATTTTATTTGACATTAGCAGGCCGGGGATTTTTCTATAATGTAAGCCCTGGTGTTTAATAACGTAAGATGTGAGTTGTGTCTATAGTCTTTACAGCAGATCTAAAAATGTTTCCTTGATAGGTATCTTTGAATATAAAAGTCACCCAGAAAAATCAGCCATACTCTATACAGAAATTAGGCAGTAACTTTTGTCACTGAGGACATCAGAAGAGTTTGTATCTTAAGAATGGCAATTCTTAGATAGCAGATGTCTTTGGTACAACCATATCTATGGCAAAGGAAACAATCAAGTTCTATTCTAAGCTACATTGAGACCGTGGACTTTAAACTTGATAGTTGTGCTGTAATGGGAGTAACTCTGCAGCTGGGTGAGAGGACATATTTTGCATTTGAAAACTGGAGAACAGATGGTGATAGACTGAAAAAATTGAACCACAATCTTTTACAGTTCTTACCAATAAGTGGTAGTTTATTTTCCCCCACCCCCTGGATCTTAGTAGTCTAATAATTTTCTTTGACTGACAGAATGTAGCCAATTCTGGAGTCTGGGCCACAGCTTCCAGATTCATCACCTCTTGGAACACTACTGCTTCCATGTAAAAAAGCAGCTAAACTACTGAATGAGAGGTAACATGGAGAGAGAAAGAGAGACCAGGTCAACAGCCAGTATTAAGGCCCAAGACACGTGAATAAGGCCATCTTAGACTCTCTATCCATGACTAAGAGGGAGCAGGACTACAACCACATGAATGACCTCTGGCAAGACCAATAGAAGAATTACTCAGTTAATGCAGCCAACTCAGAAAATCACGAGAAATACTAAATTATTACCACTGTAAGACACTAAATGTTGGAGTGTTTTATTACATAGCAATAATTAATGCATGTTGAAACTTGGCCAGAGATTTTATAGAAGTAGGAATAAAGACATAGAAATCACTAGACTATATTTTGTAGATAATATCTTATTGTGGTGGACAAGAAGATGTGCTACCTAGACCTCCTTCAAGGAATGACTTGCTGCCCAGCTATGGAGAATGCAGTTAACACACAGCCTCAACTGTTAGCTCCTTTAGGTTTCATATCTCAGGTGCTAATAATTGCCTCTCCCAAGATCGTGCCACATTTAGTGACTAAGTGAGATGGGGATAGAGAGTCCCAGCAATTTCAATCCAAATGGTGACATGCTTATGTGCAATTCTTGCTCAAGAGCTCTCCACTAGGTTGGTCAAGCCTTCTTAATAAATTAATAGGAATGGTTGTGCTAGGGACAGTTTCCTTAGGGTTGTAGATTACGATAGCAAGCATTAGCCCATGTAAATAAGCTGTGCTAGGCAACCTTCTAGGTTCATTCTGATGAAGATTCCCATCATTATGTTTCCTGCAGACTGCTACTGTCAGTTATGGGGAAGTAATGAGCTATGTCTGTTATTATTAGTCAGTGACTCTACCATGTTCCTGCTGGTCAAGCAAAGTCTGTTCTCACCACTTACCTGGCCTCCCTGGACTTTTTAACTTCTTATAAAAGTAAATGATAGACATGATAACAAATCAGACCCTGTCTTGACACTTTCATTGATTTGTTTTAAAAACTAGATTAGTTCATCTTATTATTATAATAATATTAAACTACATACCCAATGTTTTTCAAATAATGTAATGTTCACAATGACTCATCAAGATGAATATATTATCCCAGGTTAAAAAAAAACCGAAGCTTAGTTACACAAGGTCATATAGGTAGTAAATGGATGATTTAATCCTAAATCTTGATGACTCTTAAGCTCATGTTTTTTCTGCAGGTTCACCGTCTCTTATGGAGCTAAGCATTGACTGAAATAGAAGGGAATAAAACACAACTGTTTGAAGGGTCACGGTCTAAATTCCTACCATGTATAATTTTCTTTGACACAACTAAATAAGAAAGAGAGAGACAGAAAGAGAGTATGCCAGAAATTAAAGGAAAAAAAGAAATAATTAAAATAATCAACTCCATGGAGGAAGAAGAGCAGAGTGGTGACCACATAAAAGGCTGGATAGAAGCCCATGAAGTCATAACATTCAAAGAGAATGAACATGAGGGTCTCAATACTCTGACATGTAAGAATTTACCTCCACCTCCTGAAACTTGAAAGGGGTTAATTTTAAGACAAATAAGAAGTATGATTTTACACAGTATTGAGTGGATTTAAAGAACTCATTATCCCACAGAGATAGTACTAGCTAAAAACACAAAGGGTTATAAGAAATTTGTAAATTATTCCATCAGCAGCAGACCCTTAATGGTTTGGCGAGAAAACCAAGAAAATTTAGGATTGGGGTGGAAAGAATAACCCATGATGCTGAGATCCCAAAGCCCTTCTGTGGTCCTCTGCCAGGCGCAGAGTTCTAGGTGGGCTGGCTCTCACCCTACCCTAGTTTAACACTTCTTATATGCATTTGCTTGCTTCTGGGAGAAAGAAGATGCTGCACTGGCAAAATCTGTCTGGACAAGTCTTTGGATTCAATTTCCCAAAACTGAACATAATCCACCTTATTTCTCCCTTAAAGACAAAGCTTGTGTCTTTGTCTTGAGGTCACCTGAATAGTGTGGAGTGGGGTAGTGGTGTGCCAGGGGCTGCTAAGCCCCTTGTCTCCTAGAGCAGATTCGCTGTAAACCCAAACATGCCTCTTACTTGGGCCCAACCCCCAGATTTCTTGAGTACAAACCTCATCTCTGCCCCTGAATTGTGCCTGTGGTAAAGGGGGTTAAATTTTTCATTCTCACTCTATCATTGGTAGTTCAATAGATTTTTACTCTCTCTTCATCTCCTGCCCATTCCCTCTAGGGCTAAAGGCTTGAAGTTTAAGTCTCTCTTGAAGAAACGGCCATGCTTCATTTAATCCTGCTGCAGCCAGAGTGCTGTGGATGTCATGCTTCTGATGAGACATTAAATCAAGGTAAACATTAATCCCCCAGGCTGGAGCATCTATGAAGAGAAGAAAAATGTGGCTTCACCTCACAGGAAACACTGCAGCCAATCTAGGCCCTCTATGTTGCCTCCAGACCTCACACACTTGGAGTTAATTAGAAAATTCTCCCTCTGGAATATATTATAAGCTGTGTTTACTTTGGTGGAGAAAATATTCTCACAAATCTTGCCTGAATACAAATGCTTCTGAGGAGTAAAAAATAAGAAAACATAAATAAATTTGTGCATCAAAGCAAAGCACTTCTGCTTTCAACAAAGGCCAATATAATCTATATTTCTACATGACCTAGGTGCAATACATTAAGATGCAGACTATATGAGCAATAATGTAATCCAGTTAAATCACCCCAAAAGAGCAAAGTGATTTGAGAAAAGATCAAGAAGGTGCCAGCTCTGTATCCCCATTTCAGACTATCTGCCCCTAAAAGTTTTCTTTTTTTTTCATTTTTCAGACTTCAATCTAATTCACTTGGAATTCTGATGTTAGGTAAGCATATAATTTCATTTTCTTTTAAACTAATTTTACCAACAAAATTTATTGCATAATTCTTTTTTTTTAACACATATATAAAACATATATGCTTACCTGCATCTAGGCTATTCTTGTTGATCCCTGCATCAGGACCACACTGATTTGATTATTGTTGGTTACTTTATATTTTAATATCTTATAGGACCAGTCTCTTTATTCCTATTAGTTTTTAAAACATTCACGTTATTCTTTCCCATATATTATTCCAGTTACAAATTCACTTTGTTAAGGTCAAGCAAATAAATCACAATGAGGTTTCCACTGAAATTAAATTAACTTGGGGAGGAATTGACATACCCTTTAGAAATACATCTACACTAGACAGTCCTTTCTTAACATGTTTCTCATTCAACATATGTGAAGGACTCCATCTATATAAGTCAAAACTCACTGGTTACCAGGAACAGAAATTCAATTTAAATGATCTTTAAAAGGGGGAAGCACTGTGTACAAGAATTAACTCCAAATTGATCATAATTCTACATGTGAAATCTAAAACTATAAAGAAAAAAAAATTAATTCTATGTCCTTGAATTTAGCAAAGATTTTTTAGATAGGACACAAAAACCAAAACCTATAAAATAAGATAAATAGGACTTCAAAATTAAAAACTTCTGCTCTTTGAAAGACACTGCTAAGAGAATGAAAAGACAAGTCATAGACTGAGAGCAAATATTTGCAAAACATAAAATTTATAAAAGACTTGTGTCCAGAATATGTAAAGTATTCTCACAATGTAATAATGGGAAAAAAAACACAATAAAAAAGGAGCAAAAGATTTGATCAGACACATCAGTAAAGATATGTGGATGGCAAATAAGCATATGAAAAGACGTGTAACATCATTTTTCATTGAAACCAGAATAAGATATCACTGCACACCTATTGAATTATTCATTTAAAAAAAAAAAAAACCCATGAAACCACCAAATACTGGTGAGAAAGATGAGCAATGGGAATTTTTGCTGGCAGAAATGCAAAATGGTACAGCCACTTTGGGATACAGTTTGGAAGTTTCTTATAACATTAAAAGTATATTTACTGTATAACCCAGCAATCCTACTCTTAGATATTTACCCAAGGGAAATGGAAATATGACCACACAAAAATCTGTATGCAATTATTTATCGTGGTTTTTTTCATAATTACCAAAATCTGGAAACAATCCAAATGCCCATGAACTGGTGAATGCATAAACACACTGTGGTATAGCCACACAATGAAATATGACTTAGCAATAAAAAGGAACAAAATACTGATACTAGTAACAACATGGATAGATCTCAAATGCATTATGCTGAGTGAAAGAAGTGATATACTCAAAAGGGTATATCCTTTTGTTTCCATTTACATGACATTCAGTAAAAGGCAAAATTATAGGAACAGAAAAACAGATTAGTGTTTGCTAGTGGATAGAGCAGGAGAAGGGGATAAATAACAGAGGGGCGTGAGGGAACTTTCTGGGGTGATAGAAGTATCCCATGTCTTGATTGAGGTAGTAGTTATGTAAACTTTATGCACTGATCAAAATTCACAGGACTAGTCACCTTAATGGAGTAAATTTTACTGCGTGTAAATAGATCTCAAAAAAAAAAAAACCCATCCTACAAGTGGGAGAGGTATATATTGGCTCATCTGTTTGAAAAGTTTGGGTGTTTTCTGGTTTTAGACACATCTGAGTCCAAGTGCGTAAACATGTTCTTAGTCACGTGTTCTACTCTTGCCCTTTTTTCTTTCATGTTGGCTTATTCTTTCCAAGTAATGGAGTCCATCACTCTCTTCCTCCTTGCAATGATCTTTACAGCTCATAAACTCAGAAAAAGATCTTCTCTTTCTTCATGCAACAATAGCAATTTCCCCCAAAGGGTACTGATAAACCCTGCTTAGATCTCATACCTCCCTCTACACAATCAGTATCTGGGCCCTGGAGAAAGAGATACTCTGATTGGCCATCTTGAGTCTTTTGCCCACACCAGTGGCAGGAGGGACGGCCACATCAGAATCACTTGGTGCAGTAGAGAAGCAAATTCTAAAAGGAAGGAGAGCCAAGCAGACAAAATAACAGATGTCTTGACATCCTCATTCTTGATTACTGCATATCATGGTCTGTCTGCTGCTCTTGTTGCTCAACAATATCCAGCCAGGGCTCTTCCTTCAAGCTGTGTTCCAAGGAATCTTTACAACATGTTTTCCAGATTTCCATCTTGCACTTTTATGCTTTCATTTAAATATAGCAGCTTCTATGGATACTTCTCTTAACCTCCTGTTTTTCCACAGGAGCCCAACCCAGTGTGTTTGGGTTGAATCAACTCTTCCATGCTGAGAGATTGGAATGCATTTGACTCTTCAGTGGATGATTTCATCTGCCACTTTGGTGATATTAGTCCTAGGAAGTAACACTGCTGCCCACATTTGCCTGGTTCTCAGTTAACTCCCTTAGCAGGTGCCCTGACACAGCGAGAGGACAGGACAAACAAGTGAGCTGGACGGACTTGAATTATTAACCTCTACTTACTAGCCTAACTCATGTACAGTGCTGTTATAGCTCTCATTGAATTGCAGAGACTGATCACACTGTCTGAATTTTTTAGTCCCCTCAGGAAGCAAATACTTGTATTTTTTAGACAAATCCTAAGAACCTATCTAGTCAACGGTTTAATTTTACAAATAAAATAACAGAAGCCCTGAGAGCTTTTGGCCCAAGAACTGAAACTAAAACCTTAGCCTCTTATCTACTTACTGGTGCCCTTGACACTATTTTCTGATGCTTCTCTTTTTCTCAGATTTCCTTCTGGTTAGTGATTTGTCTATAAATATTTCTACCACTAATGAATATAAGTGTTTTCAAAATGCAAGTAAGTCAAGGTCACCATCTATTTGGTAGTAGATTGATGTCAGAGATGATATAGAGCTTAGTGAGGTTTGGATTCAGAAAGGTTCAAATTTGAGTCCTGGTTTCAAAAGTATTAGCTGGGTGACCTTGGCAACTTATTCAGAGTTTCCTCACCTATAAAATGTGGATAATAATAGTATCTCTTTCAGAGGGATATTGTGCAGAATAAATCAGATTTTGAAAACATTTAGCAAAATAGCTAGTAGTCTTGTCTTAGCTGTTTTATTAGGTTGCCTCTTTGGTCTATACTTTTGCAGTAGTCAAAAGAAAGGGTTTAGGAAAGGAAACCAGAACAGAGAACTTTGCAAACAGAAGAACCAGTAGTACTGAAAGTGGGATTTCATTTAATGCTGCTTAAGAAAATATTGTTTTTTTATTAAAATACCCCATATCACTGTGAAGGACTTTGGAACAGGGAAAGGAGGATGGTAGTTTCAGGATAAGAAAAGCAACCTTTGAGATTTTGCAAGCTAATGTTGAAATTTGCATCAGTATCTTGATCTCTTAAAACCCTGTGTGGAAAGGAGGTCAAATTAGGTTTGGGGCAGGAAAAGGATAGGGTAGAACAGGAAAGACTCATCAAAATGAGACTGCAGTAGAAAAAATAGAGATGTTCTTAGATAAGGTAAGAAAAAGCAATTGTGAAAGCATCCTGGGTTCAGGCAGGGAAAGGATCAAGTTTAGGAGATCAGCTGGACAGTTGATATAGTTCAAGACAGTGGAGGGTCCAGTGGCAAGAACAAGTAGTAAGAATCAGGAAATACTTTAAGAATCTGAATCCCACTCTAAGGAGATGGGACAATAAGACACTGGATCATAAATGGGAATTACTGGCACGGGGCTTAGCTTCTAAGAAATGAACTCATATTGCCACTGAGGCAAGGATTTCACACATTTCCTGTATAGGACTAGGACTGAAGCCAGAGTACTGCAAAGTACACAGCAGGACCGCATGGGGAGATTTTAGGCCAGAATGGGTAGTGAGGAAACAGCACCCTGTTTGTGAAGGAAGTTCTTCACAGTCTTTACAGGCTTTCACAAGAAACAGACATTTAAAAAAAAAACAGGGAAACATGAGTGCAGAATTTACAGAGATATTTTGGTACATGTGCCCAGAGGCATCTAAAAATACGGCCTTGGTTTTCAAAATTAAGAAAATAAACAGAACACATTAAAGATAAAGACAGTATCATACAAAAACCTAGCTGACATATTTGTAATTTTTTTTCAAGATTACTCTAAGGCCCCTTAGTTGCAGGTTTTGTCAAATAGGAAGTATATTTTCAAGTAACTTCAGTTACTCTATGGAATTTAGAGCCAGAAAGTTCTACAGTCAAATACTGTGGGAATTTAAAATTTGTAAGGATGAAAAAGTCTTCTGAAAGGGATGTCTTGGTTTCTTGATAAAGCAGAGCATCCATGTGGGCGGCAGGGAGTAGGGAGTGGGTAGAAATATGTGGACAATGTTTTGGTGTGGGAACAACTAAAGGAAAGTTGAGGCACCAAGTTTAATCAGTAAGGCCAATCAGTAGTTGTAGAAATCATCTAGTGGTTTCCTAAATGTGATTTATACAGATCCCCAAAACTCTGGAGTCCAAGAAAGCTTAGTCAGAAGCCTCTATATTCATTTCAACCAAAGTGACTCTGCATTTCTTCTCTCTTTTTTTTTTTTAAATTTAGCACCATTTATTGAGCAATCTCAGCTGTTGCTGTAGCTGCTGTGTGTCAGCCTGTTCTTAAAACATAAAATGCTCTTTTAATTATCTTGTCCAGGATAGAAGGATCTTCCAGGTAGCATACCAACAGAACAAGAGACTCTAATGACACCAGCTTCAAGGATAGTGCCATCCAGAGATGGAGAGGGTCATGGCACATTCAACCGCAGCTTCCAGAGGTTTTGATAAAGGAGCCTTTGGGAGCCCAGGCTGCCTGGCGTTTTGATGCTGTCGGTGTGAGTTTTGTATTTCATAATGGTGTTGGGAGATAGGTTAAGCACTCGCCAAAGTGTATCCCAGATTCACGTTGTGGTTGCTTGGTCACTGGCAGTCTTTTCCATATTGAAATAATGTCCTCTTGACAGTGAAGAGAGACCACAGCCCCACAGATCTCCTCCCCAACCATGAACTTTTCCCCCAACATGGCCAAAATGAGATTCTCCCAGCAATGGGAGATCAAGCCCTTCCGCAGCCAAATAATCCTCTTGTCACCATTTTTATTTGCATTATCCTCCCACATGGGTTTAATTCCTTTTTGAAGAGATCGAAGTCACTGTGGCCTGTCAGATCCTTTGGACATACCATGTGGCTATAAAACCTCCAGAACTGCTCCACAGAGGCAAAGGTGCCAATCTGTTTGATATTCTGTTCATAACTCTGTGAGCTGGTGGGACAGACAGGGGTTCTCCTGGAGTACCAGAAAGTGTAGTTGTACTGCAGGGGATGCTCTGCCTGTCCAGGGACAACAGCCTTCCTCTTGTTACTGCTCTTATTCTTGTCCCATTGTGTTTTTTCTTTCTCAGTATCTTTCTGTGTGCTGCTTTCTTCATTCTGATCATGGTCCCTATTGTTGTCATCTTTCAAAGCATCAAATTTGTTGTTCATCCTCTTGCCACTACTGCGGCCACTGCCTCATTTCTGCTTTTCCTATGGGCTATAAATTGAGATTCCATAGAACCTTCTGTTTGAGACAAAGGACTCCAATATTTATGTCAGAAAAACTGAAAAGGATATTGAAATGGACAAAAATAGATTACCTGCCATTCTGTAAAGCACTTCTTTCCATTTATTTCATTCAGAGAAGCCTGCACCTTTTATTGTCTTTAAGGTGTTTTACAACTCTGTAAGTAATGCAAATGACTCTTGTCCATAGAAAAGCAAATGATTTTTATTTCTGGTGAAATTTTGCCTAATGATATTGACCAGTTTTGCATGTGTTTGTAAACTTACTTCTTATTACCCACATGTGTGGTGTTTAAATCATTTTGGGAACTAGTTGTCACATCTTACTGGTTTTCTCATTTATTAATTAAATAAAAGCCTTTACCAAAAGAATGAAACCGGACACTTATCTCTTGCTATATACAAAAATCAAATCAGAATGTTATAGAGACTTAAATCTAAGACCTCAGACTACTAAACTACTAAAAGTAAACACTGGGGAAACTCTCTAGGACATTGGAGTGGGCAAAAATTTCTTGAGTAATACCCTACGATCACAGGCAACCAATGCAAAAGTGGACAAATGAGATCACATCAAGTTAAAAGCTTCTGCACAGCAAAGGAAACAATCAAGATGAAGAGACAACCCACAGAATGGGGGAAATGGAAGTGAAGAGAAAACCCACAGAATGGGAGAAAATATTTGCAAACTACCCATCTGACAAGGGATTAACAGCCAGAATATAGAAGGACCTCAAACAACTCTATAGGAAAAACAACTAATAATCTGATTTAAAGGGGGCAAAAGATTTGAATAGATATTTGTCAAAAGAAGACAAACAAATGGCCAACAGGTACATGAAGAGGTGCTCCATATCAATGTTCATCAGAGAAATGCAAATTAAAACTTCAATGAGGTATCATCTCACTCAAGTTAAAATGGTTTTTATCCAAAAGTCAGGCAATAACAAATGCTGGCGAGGATGTGGAGAAAAGTGAACCCTTGCATATTGTTGGTAGGAATATAAATTAATACACCCACTATTGAGAATAGTTTGGAGGTTCTACAGAAAACTAAAAATAGAACTACTATAAGACCCAGCAATCTCACTCCTAGGTATGCACCCAAAAGAAAGAAAATCAGTATATCAAAGAGATATCTGCACTCCCACATTTATTGAAGGGCTATTCACAATAGCCAAGATTTAGAAGCAATCTAAGTGTCTATCAACAGATGAATGTCTAAAGAAAATGTGGTACATATGCACAATGGAGTACTATTTAGCCATCAAAAAGAATGAGATCCTGTCATTTGCAACAACATGGATGAAACTGCAGGTCACTATGTTAAGTGAAATAAAGCAGGCATAGAAAGACAAACATTGCATGTTCTCATTTATTTGTGGGAGCTAAAAGTTAAAATAATTGAACTCATGGAGATAACAGGTAGAAAGACGGTTACCAGAGGCTGGGAAGGGTAGTGGGGGTGGGGAGGCAGTGGAGATGGTTAATG
This sequence comes from Homo sapiens, assembly GCF_000001405.40. Lineage (NCBI taxonomy): Eukaryota > Metazoa > Chordata > Mammalia > Primates > Hominidae > Homo > Homo sapiens. The sequence continues at coordinate 115,277,554 of NC_000003.12, read as the reverse complement.
GGTACAAAAAAAATAGAAAGAGTGAATAAGACCTAGTATTTGCTAGCACAACAGGATGACTGTAGTCAAAAATAATTTAATTGTCCATTTAAAAATAATTACAAGAGTATAACTGGATTATTTATAACACAAAAGATAAATGCTTGAGAGGATGAATACCCCATTTACCCTGATGTGATTATTATGTATTGCATGCCTGTATCAAAATACCTTATGTACCCCATAAATATATACAACTACTATGTACCTACAAAAATTAAAAATTAAAGGCTGCCTCACAGCCCTTAGAAAGAACCAACCCTGCTGACTCTCTGATCTTGAATATCTATAGCCTTCAGAACTATGAGACAATAAATTTCTGCTGTTTATACCTCCCAGTTTGTGGTACTTTGTTACAGCAGCCTTAGGAAACAAATATAATTCTGAGGCAGTTGCAGTTGTCCTCAAGGAGATGGGCCCATGTCTGTTTATCAGGTAAGATGGCTCTCTCTGCTAAGAGCCTAAATATTGAAGAGAATTAGGGGTTACAGGGCCAACATGGAACCAGCAGCTAGACAGCGATGGCCAATTAGTGTTAATTCAATGGAAAAGAAAGGAAGAAAATCACATATTTTATTATGTATATCCAAAGCACATTAAAATAATGAGAGGGTTACCAACTGCTTCTAGGGTTCAGAATTATTATTTCTGACAGTGGGAAGTCATTCAAGGTGGAATATGAGATAAGCCCTAAAAGTCAGGCTTATCCAGCATCCTGGTTCTCTTTAAGTCTAAAATGCTGTCAATACTGTGAGTTCCTAAAGTTTGAATCGTAATTCTCTGGGTACAAGAAAACAAAATTAAAAAGCATGTTATTTTTTTTAACTGTTCACTCTGAAAATGTGATCAAGTTTAGCTAAGTTTTCATGGGTAATGAATGAAGAGTTACCATGTTTGCTCTCACAGAACCAATGTCCTTTACACACCCATGTATGAGTCCTCCTCACACACCTTTCAAACAGGGAGAAGTGACAATGGAATTATTGAGATTGTAGATTTTTTAAAAAATCAAATGTGTATAAAAGTCCATGACATACAAAGAGCATACGATGATTGCTAAAGCTAGAAAATATTAAAAATAAGAAAGGAAGACTTCAGATTGAAGCAATTTAAAATGTATTCAACCATCAAAAGTGTATGTATCAAGAAAGTACAAGAACCCTTTTATACATGTGAATAAAATGAATTGAGAAATGTCACATCAGATTGTTAGCCAGATTGACTACACTGAACTACTATATTGTTATGTGAAAACTTCACACCATCCCTCTGGTCATCCCAGAATCTTGCTTTCCCATAGCAGTTCTCTACTATCAATAAGATGTGGCTACAACTGCCTTACATCAACCATGGTTAGCAGCACTGTAGAAGGCAGCCATAAGGAGCATGCTATTCTGCCTTGTAAGTGAATATGATGTAACTTTCTTGACTGTCCATTGCCATAACTGTGATTGCCAAATCTGTGTCACAATTCCAACACGTGACATTCTTTTTTCCTTAAAAAAAAAAAAAGACACTCTAATGTTAACATCCTTTATCCATAGCTGAATAAATAATTAGGGTAGATATGTCTTTTGAAGGCAGTGGGACAAGTTTCTTCTTGGTGTCTTTAAACATTCATAGTCCTACTCCCATCTTTAAAAAAATAATCAAACATATTTACTTGCCCATTTCTACCTCCTTTATCTTCCCTTATTCTTACTGCTCAGTTAATAATGTTGCCAAAAGAGCCTGAGACTGGGAATCAAAAACTCTGGATATAAGTCCAGACTCTTAAATTTTCTTGCTTTATGGAAGGAAAGTCTATGAAAATTTTTTAACATTTTAGCATTCTTGCCTATGAAATGGAATGATTATCATCAACCCTGACTACCATACAAAGTTATTATGATAGGAGATTGCCAGAAAAATGCCTGATTGGACTTCAGTTAGAAAAACAAATGTATGATTGAGACATTAAATGTTTTACAATCCTGCCTGAGAGGAGTCTGTGAACAGGAGATAGGTGAACTGAACCTAGTCTAAAAGGATCAGAAGCAGTCCAGGTAAGATGATAGTGAGCAGAAAGTGCTGTCAGATTTTGAAATGTTAACATTTATGAGAATAAGACTGTAAGAATAAGATTATCTGAGGATAGTTTGAGGAGGATGCCATTTGCTCAAAACAAGTAAAAGCTTTTGCTCGTGCCCCTGTCCCTTTCTAAATCCCCAATTCTCTCCTATTGAGCCAAACTCTGTAGCTCTCTCTGATACTTCCAGATAACAATGATCTCACCTTTTTCCGACTGCCCAGAGCACAAACAATCTGTGTCATTTTTATAGGTCCTTAACAGGTAATCGCATACTGTCTTGATTTCTATGCATTTGTATGTGTTAACATTCAATGGCTTCTTAGTTAAGGGTGATTTATTCAAATCCATAGGGCTGGGCACAGTGTTAGACATGTTAAGCGTTATTTCATCCATCTGCCTTTGCATCTTATCCTACAGTGCTTTCAGATTTATGCTCTTTCCTAAAGGTAGTCTTGCATTTTCTAAGAAAAGTCAATTTTCAGCCAGGCACGGTGGCTCACACCTGTAATCCCAGCACTTTGGGAGGCCAAGGTGGGCAGATGCCAAGGTCAGGAGTTCGAGACCAGCCTGACCAACATGATGAAACATCATCTCTACTGAAAATACAAAAATTAGCCAGGTATGGTGGCATGCGCCTGTTATCCCAGCTACTCAGGAGGCTGAGGCAGGAGAATCGCTTGAACCCAGGAGGTAGAGGTTGCAGTGAACTGAGATCATGCCATTGCACTCCAGCCTGGGCAACAGAGCGAGACTCTGTCTCAAAAAAAAACAAAAAAAGTCTATTTTCTAAAATTTTCTTCTGAATGTTACTAAATTATTTTCAAAGTTATGCCTGCCTTTTCTTTTAAGACTTCAAAATACTGTTATTTCCTTTGTGCTGAATATTCCTCCAGAGTCACCATGTTGCCTCCCACTCCCTGTACTTAAGCACTGGCTAAATCCTCTTCTCAGATATACAACTGATTTGGGTTGATGTCTGCAACTGTTTTACTTGGATTTCTATGAACTTCTACTGTGCTAAAATGGCCCATTCCCGGCTTTCTGACACTCTGTACAGAGTTCATATACACTATAGCCAGCACTCTACTCATATTGCCTCTTTTCTCAACCATATTTCACTTGTAGAGACTACACTTAAACTTCCCCTTCCCACGTCCTCATTACTTCCACCTTCTTGTCTTGTGTTACAAGTTTTTAACCAGGTATAATAAGTAGGAGCTGAACAACGAGAACACATGGACACAGGGAGAGAAACAACACACACTGGGGCCTGTTGCGGGGTGGGGTGGGGGAGGGAGAGCATTAGGAAAAATAGCTCATGCATGCTGGGCTTAATACCTAGGTGATGGGTTGATAGGCGCAGGAAACTACCATGGCACACGTTTACCTCTTTAACAAACCTGCACATCCTGCACATGTACCCCAGAACTTAAAAATAAAAATTAGAAAATAAGACAGAAGTCTTCACAACAATGTGAATACACTTAACACTACTAAAATGTACACTTAAAAATGTTTGAGATGGTAAATTTATGTTATGTGTTTTAAACGACAATTTAAAAAAAAGATTTTTCAAAAAGAAACTGGTATTGTTTGGGAAAAAGGAAAGAGAAAAGAGGAGAAGACATAATGAGGGCTACCATGAAAAAGCAACAGATAGATGTTGGGGTCGCCCAATTTTTTATCTAAAACAGAGCTAGCTTTTGTGAATCAAGGGACAGACCATGAGAGTTGAAAGTAAAGAAAAGAAAAATCTTCCTGGCCGGGTGCGGTGGCTCGCGCCTGTAGTCCCAGCTACTCGGGAGGCTGAGGCAGGAGAATGGCGTGAACCCGGGAAGCGGAGCTTGCAGTGAGCCGAGATTGCGCCACTGCAGTCCGCAGTCCGGCCTGGGCGACAGAGCGAGACTCCGTCTCAAAAAAAAAAAAAAAGAAAGAAAACAAAAATAAGGGGCAGTTGAGAGTGAACTAAATATGAGAGAAGCCAATCTTAGAGTTTAGCCAGTGTTGCTATCCCATCACTTTGAACTACTGTTTCAGCAGCGAGGACATTCTCAGAGACTTGTTCTAATCTGCTAACTACAGAAAGGGCTACACAAAGGGATTGCATTTAAATTCAATTCCAGCGGTTTCACACACCTGAATGAAAGTTTAAGGGTTCTGAGAATGTCAGATCCTGGATAGTTCACACTGGAAAGCGGGAATAGTCCCTGACATAAGAAAATTGCATCAATTTATCCATTTTTCAGGAACACAGATCTGCTTAACACACTTGTCTTTAAGTGCAAAAGAATGTAGTAAAGGCCTTAAAACAATGCCAAGTTATATGAATGGTCTTCGGGACAAATAAACACTACTATCCATTACCTGATAAATTGATTCATTGGGGATTTCCTGCATGCCAATCATTACTTTAAGAACTGGGGCCAGGCATGGTGGCTCACACCTGTAATCCCAGCATTTTGGGAGGCCGAGGCGGGCAGATCACGAGGTCAGGAGATTGAGACCATCCTGGCTGACGTGATGAAACCCCATCTCTACTAAAAATACAAAAATTTAGCCGGGCATGGTGGCGGGCGCCTGTAGTCCCAGCTACTCGGGAGGCTGAGGCAGGAGAATGGCGTGAACCCAGGAGGCGGAGCTTGCAGTGAGCAGAGATCACGCCACTGCACTCCAGCCTGGGTGACGGAGCGAGACTCCGTCTCAAAAAAAAAAGAACTGGGTATATATGTAAAGTGGTATACAAGCATTCAGTCTAGACGACCAAACCCCAACCATTCCAAAAGGACCTTCAAAATGCTTTGTCAGCCATGTGCCTTGTCCTTATAGGGATGCATTAAAGCTAAAACTGTCTACCTCTCCATGATTTGGGCCTATTCAGTCTTTGACCTTTAATTTTTTTGTATTGGCAGTGACATTAAGGATTCTTCAAGATATTCACTTGAGACTACCTGTGTTATTAGAAACCATTACAGTCAGAAAATTAGAATTCATTAACAGGAAGATAATGTGCTTGCTACTATGATATATGGGACTATATTTATCCTGCACAGTGTAACATATCTGTTTCATCAGTGCAGGAACAGGATGATCTTTCATCTGGATGAAATAGCCTTGAAAGCTTCGTCACCGCAGTGCAGCAAGAAGCTACTAAAATGGTTCTTCCTAGCCTCTTTCTGCTGATTAAAAAAAAAAAAAGACCGCACCACCACCCAAGGGCTTCAATGCAGTTGCTATGGCAACACTATATCTGAGTCAGAACTATTAACAATCACCATGGCAACAAGTGTCTCACTTGCCATTTCCAGAAATTCATTGCGTTTGGACTAGAATCATCACACCATGAAAAAAGAGGTGGAGTTTTCCTCTCACTAGGAAACAGAAATACTTTCTCCAAATTACTTATCCCAAAAATGTTCTAAATAAAATAAAATTAAAGGACTTATAAAGGAATCATGCTGTCATAAACTGATTATCCTTTTTTCTGAAATATTAAGTTTGATGAAAAAATGACAAAATGTTAATTGATATGGTAGATTTATTTTTTCCCAATATGATAAAATATTTGGTATGAATAACATTATCTCCTATTTTATAAATTCCAATAACTGTATGTTTTATCTCTCTTGCCTGGCCCTTTTTTTCTCTGCTTAATTTTCCTTCTTTCACTCTGTCAGACACCCTCCTGAATATTTAGCAGAATAGAATTCTTTAGAGATTTGCGAATCACACTTGTCAAGTTAGAGGCAACGGAAAGCATCACACATATTTCTGGAATTGTACTAATAATGGGGTGTGTGGCACTCTGTGGGAAGTAGTCATGGTGGAGCTTGAGGGCCCATTTTATTTCCCTTCTTACTTAAACACAAGATGGTAGAAATGGACAGTGTCCAGATTTTCATCCAGATTGTGACCTCCCCAAAGGACTGTACACTAAAGCAGAATTAAGACACCGCACCGCCAGTCTCTAAGACCTACTGGCTCATCTTTGCTGTTGTGTCATCCTCCCTCCCTAGACATCCCAAGGCACCTCTGCACCCCCTGATTCTAGCGCCCTCATCATACTGTGTCATGTCACACAATGACATTTTCTTGGGATTTTTCTCCTGGATCAGAGTTTCTAGGGCCAAGTAAGTTTGCCTGATAGCTTTCAAAATAGGTTCTCACATGCATTAATAAAAAGGTGCAAAAAGAAAACAAACCTTCATGGAACAAAAGCCAAGTTAAATCAAACTACAGATTTATCTCTTTCTTTTCTAAGTATCTTGCTTAGAGAAAACCAGGATTCTGTGTTCTTAAATGTCCTTTCTTCCGTCAGAGCTCACCCCTAGCAGCACGAAGGCAGGCTCCAGAACAAGCAAACTTCAGTGCAGGGAACACCACTTCAGCAGTGATGGGAGAAGGGAAATGGAAATGACCTTTCTTTTTCACTGTGAACCTAGGTAATTGGGCTCTTCCTGCCCAGTGTTTGTTTCAAATAGAAGTAGGTGATGGGGAGAAGTGGACACAATTTATGTGTCTCACTGATCCAATGTAAAAAGGAATCCTTATGGAAAGGCTCTCCAACTTGCTGTTGAGAGGTAAAAATGATTCCAATGTCAGGATGATATTATACAGAGATCTGAGGACTCTCCTGCAGGCCAGGGCCAACCGTAATTCAGAAAAAAAACAAAAAAATGGGAAGGGTCTCATTTTATAAAGAATCCAAGTCCGAGTCTCCCACAGTGCTGCCCTGTCCCTGAACTACCCAAGAAAATGGGAACTAAATTTTCTCCAGAAGCTGGCAGTGACATTGGAATGCTCACTTTTACAAAGTTTTCTCTGAAATTCTATAATTTATCTACAGGCTGCTTACTTGTTGACTTTTCAGTAAATATTTTTCCATGTCTTGAATGAAATCAAACTGATGGATTTCATTTTTCCAGAGGTCCCTCTTGGGGGAAAAAAGACTGGGGTCTTCATGACATGATGTGGATAGTCCAGGTAAAGTGTACACCTACTTAGTAATCTATGTAAAGCACTTCAGCTGAGACCCTCATGCTCTGATGGGCATTTGCCATGGCAATTTGTGTACCAAACTGTAAGTAAATAGCAGCAGCACTAGGTCTGGATTCCAATCCTTCTTCCTCCCTTTACTAGCTGTGAGACAATAAGTAAGTGACTTGATCACACTGTACCACAGTTTTTCATCTGTGAGATAGCACTAACAATAATACTTAGTCCATAGACTTATTTTGATGATTACATCAACTAGTATATATGAAGCACCTATTCAAAAAACTATTATTACATTACTCAAAAAACACTATAATTACATTACTGTTGGATTCAATTTGGCTATATACTTCTTACTTGCTACTCAGAGAGATATAAAATATTTTTTGTCTTAAAGATTGCTTATAATTTTACACATTCATCTCTTCACTCATTCAGCAAACATTTATCTCTGAAAAGCAGAGACAAGATGTAGTCCTTGCCTCGTAGCAGTTATAATTTACTATTGTTAAAAGGACTAGCAGGGAAGGGAAAGCATTGCAAATGATATTTCAGTTTCAGAACCAAACAAGAGATTTTTCCCAAATGGGTGCAGTGACCAGGCATTTATTTTCTAGTGTGATCGGCTCTCCTTCTCTAACACCACTTTTAATAGGTAAATATACCCACAGGCTTTTGTACTCCATTTGTGAAGCAATAGTATAGATTGTCCCAATACTGCCATTAAAATTGCCTAGTATAAAGTGTGTGCTACTCTTGACTATAAAAATAAAAGTTCCCTAAAGACTGGAACTTGGCAAACATTGTTTGATTAAGTTGGGCTATTTTTATTTTATGCTCAGAGGAAGGCAACATGCCCTAGTGAATCAAGCTGTTTTGAAGTTCGATGAGACTTCCTATTCCAACTCTGACTTTAAGAGACATATGTGGAAGGTTACTTTGTTTCTCCCCATTGGAAAACAAAGGATAACCTAAAACTTAAAGTATAATAAAAAAAAAACAAATTGAAATTTCACAAACACCTGTCCTAACTCTATAACAAAATGCTGAATTCAGATTTTTTGTACATATAATATAAATAAAAATACATTACATGGTTAAAAAAAAAAGAAAACAAAGGAGAATAGTTTGTCTCCTACATTTTATTACAATGAAGGTAGTAAAAGGTTTAAATGTTATCATAAACCCTACTTTTTTTGTTTTTTGTGTTTATTTTATTTTTTATTTCCAACTTTTATTTTAAGTGCATGTGCAGGATGTGCAGGTTTGTTACACAGAAAAACATGTTATGATGGTATGCTGCACAGGTCATCCCATCACCCAGGTATTAAGCCCAGCATCCATTAGCTATTCTTCCTGATCCTCTCCTTCCTCCCACACCCCACCCTCTGACAGTTCCCAATGTGTTGTTCCCCCTCGTGTGTCCATGTGTTCGCATCATTTAGCTCCCACTTTTAAGTGAGAACATGCAGTGTTTGGTTTGCTGTTCCTGCATTAGTTTGCTGAGGATAATGGCCTCCAGCTCCATCCATGTCCCCGCAAAGAACATGATCTTATTCCTTTTTATGGCTGCATAATATTCCATGGTGTATATGTACCACATTTTCTTTATCCAGTCTGTCACTGATGGGCATTTAGTTTGATTACATGTCTTTGCTATTGTGAATAGTGCTGCAATGAACATACATGTACAAGTGTCTTTATAATAGAATGATTTATATTTCTTTGCATATATACCCAGTAATGGGATTTCTGGGTCAAATGGTATTTCTGTCTCTAGGTTTTTGAGAAATCACCACACTGTCTTCCACAATGATTGAACTAATATATACTTCCACCAACAGGGTGAAGGCATTCTTTTTTCTCTGCAACCTTGCCAGCATCTGGAATTTTTTGACTTTTTAATAATTGCCATTCTGACTGGTGTGACATGGTATCTCATACTGGTTTTATTTCTCTAATGATCAGTAATGTTGAGCTTTTTTCATATATATCTTGGCCATATGTATGTCTTCTTTTGAGAAATGTCTGTTCATGTCCTTTGTCCACTTTTTAATGTTTTTTTCTTGTAAATTTATTTAAGTTCCTTATAGATATTGGATATTAGACCTTTGTCAGATGCATAGATTGCAGAAATTTTCTCCCATTCTATATGTTGTCTGTTTACTCTGTTGATAGTTTCTTTTGCTATGCAGAAGCTTTTTAGTTTAATTAGATCCCATTTGTCAATTTTTACTTTTGTTGCAATTACTTTCAGCATCTTCGTCATGAAATCTTTGCCATGCCTATGTCCTGAATGGTATTGCCTAGATTTTCTTCCAGTGTTTTTATAGTTTTGGGTTTTAAATTTAAGTCTTTGATCTAGCTTGAGTTGGTTTTTGTATACAGTGTCAGGAAGGGGTCCAGTTTCAGTTTTCCGTACATGGCTAGCCAGTTCTCCCAGCACCATTTATTAAATAGGGAATCCTTACCCCATTGCTTTTGTCAGGTTTGTTGAAAATCAGATGGTTGTAGGTGTGCAGTCTTATTTCTGGGTTCTCTATTCTGAATCCTAATTCTTTCTCATGCTGTCTCAGAATGTTAACTTGGAAAAATACCACTTTTACTGCTTTCTTATTCCACAGAATAAGAGCAAGCAAATATAATTAATTTAGCTGATTTAGCCACATGCAAATAGACCTAATAAATATCAGGGATTAGACTTATCGGCAAACGGCCCTTCTAAAAGGATCAGACATGCTTGGCCACAAGAAAGAATAAGTGAATAGAGAGGAATGCTCATCTCCTGGGCTCCAGTTCAAACATTTTGTTTTATTATTTGTACATCACTATCAATTTTTCACAAATTTCCTCCTCACAGCAATTTACAACTTTAGGAAGGAAATTGCTTTGTGATACACTTGACTTCCATTGCTGCTTTCAGGGAAACTAATGGAAAACAGCACACAGATGTTTATCTTCTCTTTGTCACTCCCCTACACACACACACACACACACACACACACACACACACACACACACACACCCCTACCTATGGCTAAAGTCAGCCCTAGTCCTCTTTGGCAGAGGCCATCCTGGATAAAATCAGCTAGACCACTGGCCTTAAGAAGCAGTGACACCATCTAGGTCTAGCCTGAGCTGTGAAATCAGCTGCTTACTGAAGGTGAACAGTAATTCTCAAAGAAAAGAATTCTATTTTTCTCTACAAAGTCTTCCCATCCATCTTCTTTTCTTTTTTGTTTTTTAAGAGGGTGTCTTGCTCTGTTGCTCAGGCAAGGGTGCAGTGGCACAATCTTGGCTCACTACAGCCTCAACTTCCTGTGCTCAAGTGATCTTCCCACCTCAGCCTCCCAAGTAGCTGGGAGATAGCACTGTGAGCTATCCACAAGCATGTTCTACCATACCAGGATAAATTTTTTTAAATTTTTTTTGTAGAGATGGGTCTTGCTATGTTGCCCAGGCTGGTACTGAACTCCTAGGCTCAAGTGACCTTCCCACCTTGGCCTCCGAATGTGCTGGATTACAGGCATGAGCCACCACATCCAGCCCCTATCGTCTTTCTCAGAACTTTCTAGTTTGTCTGGCGACTTCTTCAAAGAAGTTATGTGCTCTCTGTGGGCAGAAACAGTACCTTATGTTTGACTCCCTGCAGCAGCTAAGACAAAAAATTTGTAAATCCTAGTTAAGAAATATTTTTATATTAGAGTTCTGTAGAGACAAAAAAATTAAAAAACACAATTACTTTTGCACTAGCCTAACTCCCTGGTTGCTGCTTGGATACTGACAAGGAAAACCATTCTCCCTGGGCACAGTAGGTGCAGTTTTCTTTGCAAACTTCCCTGATTATAGATTACATTTTGGGTATGCATTGAATCAAGATTTCATTAGTAATTTTTTATCTTATGTATTGGGCCTTGTTTAGGCCAAAAAGTATGGATGGCTCAACTCCATCCTAATTAATCAAACAGTGAGAAGATGAAGCAGAGAAAGATCTAGAAACATGGGCAGAAACCACTATTTTGAGATCTTAAGATTTTCCTTATGATTTACACAGTCTGAATATTATAATTCTATATTCCAATTGACCTTCTTACTACCAAAGATCTACCCCAAACATGGTGGTTTCTCTGACCCTCTGCTCTGGTGAGAAGTAGTTATTTGCAGCATTTTAAGTAGAATTTAAAAACTATATTAATTAAGGTTCTTTGGTTGCTAGCAACAGAAGCAAGCCTACTTAATTTGAGCAAGAATTGTATTATTAGGAAGCTATGGGACAATGTACATGATCATAAAGAAGACTGAAGAAACCATCAAGAGCCAGGTACCTTCCAAAGTCTCAGCAGTATCTCCGTGGACATCCTCTCCTAGAATGATTGGACTCAGCCTTTTGTTTTGTTTTCTAGGAGAGCAATTAGCTAAGTTTAGGGCACATGCTCACTGCTTGCCTGTCATGGAGCTGTAAGAAAGAGAATCTGACAGAAAGAACCTCAGGGAAGCCCATACTTCCAAAGAGACGAGACAGGTACCTGAATTTGCCAATACCAACACTGTACTCAATGCAAGGAGAAGATCCACTCCCTCCTACCCCCAAAATAGCAAAAAGTTTCAAGAAATTTGGAAAAGGATATTGAGTGCCTACAAAAAATAAATATTTACTACCACCATCATTTTCTTTTACCTTCTGCTATAGAGGCATTATTGATTTAGTCTCTCCAAGTCTGTTAGCCCTTAATTTTAAAAGTGGGGAAATTATGTGTGTCTGTTGTTTAGAACCTTGCTAATAAACTAATCCCATCAGTTAGCCTAATTTTCCCAGGATATTGCACTCATAAAGGTTTCTAAAATAAAATTTCTGCCTATTCTTCTCTGTCTCTATTTAGCACAGCATGTAATCCAGGTGCTCAGTTTAGCAACATTTTGCAACATTGATACTATCCCCATCTGATTTGCTGAGAAGATGAATATAAACAAAATGACACTGGTGGCTTTTCATATTTTTCCAGCTTAACAAAGGAAGAAGGATTCTGTAAAATTAACATACAGCTGGATTGGAATAAGCAGCTAAAGCAACTGGCTGTGCAAGGTTTATAATGTCTGAACTCCCACCAAGCTGCTATCATCTCTCCATATGTCTCCTGGTCATTGGGAGCCAAGTTTAGGATTTATAAAAAATCAGGGCAATGCCTTTTCTGGTCATGGTACCTGTAAGTGAGCAAATGATTAAGATGACCTACTACTTACTAAATCAGCATGTTTAGTAGCTGTCATCCAAAAGCATGCCAGAGAGCCAAGACAGTATTTGCGTTCATACAAGGCCTTAAAAGAAAGATTCTGCATGTCCATATTCTGCTATTCCTCTCCAATATTTACACATTATACTATGACAACAAAATGTATATTTACTCTGATTACTAGGTCATTTTCACTTCCCAGCTATTTGGCTGATAATTGCTATTCACTGTGTTCCTAAATGCTAAATGACGAACACGCCGGTGCTGATGGAAGTTGTATGTGCCATTCTAGAGCCGTGCCAGGAAGAGAAGCTGGGCATAGGGTGCCAACTGCAAAGCCTTACATTTTACTGACCAAAGCATAGGCCCTCATTTATCCATTCAACATTTCCAAAGTTGTAGCTGCAGTTATATATTTAAATCATTGAAATAATAATTTTGTGATTTATTATGCTGTTGGTTAGCCAACAAAGTCCAAAAGATACCGAATTATCTAAGTTTTAATTGCTTTCCTACAATGAATATGCAATCCTGATCATTGCCCACTCCTTTTTCTTGGTTGTAAATTTATAGGCCGAAAATTTGGTTATCATTCATGTTGGTTTTAAATTACTTCAGATGTCTGTACCAGCTATAGGAACACACTGCTACCCTTTAAGATACGGCATTTCCTGCCTAGTAAAAACCCTTTGAAAAACTATGCCTCCTAAACTCCAATTTTAGGTGCATCCTATCTGCAACTTTCCAGGCCTAAGCAAAAAAAAAAAAAAAAAAAAATGAGGGAGATAAAAGCTGAGGATATCATGCTTGGCTTTGTTTCCTGAGGTTTGAGGTGAAGATCAGAAAGAGCGCTGGCATTACCTAATGAGTTTCATCCGTTCTGGTTTCAGGAGAATATAAGTTCAGACGTAGATTTGCAGAGTCATGTGGAATAAAGAAGTCAGAGACTAAGGAGTTGAAGCAGAGAGATGAAATCAGGTTCCTCTGTTAATAAAGCTCTATGCTCACTTGTTTTGCTGTAGCCTTACTTTCCATTCAGAGTGTTTTACCGACAAGAGGACCAGCACATAAAGGCAGGCAGGAGAGAGGGGACCACAGCCAGGCTTGATGTTCTGAAAGTTTGCTCAAGGTAGGCTACAGAATGAATAATTAGACCCAGTGCTTGTCCCAGGGGTTTACAATTTAAATTAGGCAATCATTGCTGGGAGTTAATTACAGGTGTCTCATCAAAACCTACAGTGAAGTTTGGGAGTTTCTGATTATGGCCGTAGAGATACCTTAGAAGCAAGGAAAATATAAAATGTTTTAAAGACACAGAAGAAATGAGAGACAGTAAACAATTGTTTTAAAAGAGTGACGAATTCAAGAATAAGTATTATGTTACCCATATATTTTGAAAAGTTAAAAAACAAGGAATGCCACTACTAGTGACAACAACAACAAAAGCTATTGTACAGCACTATCTTTTACAACTTCCTCATTTTGCCCATGCTTTCCACTTTCGAGTTAATTCTTTCAACAGGATTGTCTTATTTTGACATACAGATTATAATTACAAGATAGCATCCACCACCATTCACTCTGTTTTGGACTCCAAATATTTCTGGTGGGTTTGAGTTTAACCCTTTGTTCACCTTTGTTGTTATTGGTCTGTCAGTTTAAAACATCATGGAAAGATAACTGGCCTTTAGTAAGAACATATGATTTCCATTCTTTTCTTACAAACTAAGCAAGACATTAACCCCCTCGGGCCTTAGCATCCTCATTTGTAGGACAACATCCACCATATCTAGTTTAGGATTATTTCAGGAATCAAAAGAGATGAAAATAAAATATACTTTTGCAAAGCATAGGCTCAGTGGGAGTTGATACTTTTTAATATATTTTTCTGATTTTAGACAATTTGGACTGACAGCCGTAACTCATGGCTAAAAAGCCCAATTCCTCATTTCTGTGTAGCTGTTTACTTGAGACAACTTCCCTCCACTAAGGTGCCAGCACCTCCCACATTCCTCTCTTGATTTCTGATTCCCTAAATCTAGAAAATACATGGGAAATGGCTGAGTATATTCCCAGCATATACTGCTACCAAGATTCTTTCTTCCTTCCTTTAAGGATTACATCTTCCAAGATGGAATGTGCCACATTAGTCTACATACACAAATACTTCCTATTCTGATGTTTCATTGATTTCTGGATGCTATCTCAGAATGGCTGTGGAAGGACTGCTGGGAAATTGTGACATCAATCAAAACACCACAAAAAGCAGCATGCCATCATGGATACAATACCTTCGATGTATGGCAGGCACAGATTCTGGTAATTGGTGGGTATTTTACTTCGGGACTTCTCTTGTCTGGTTCAGCCATCATGTTGGTTGGTTGGTTGGCTGGTTTTTCTCAATCTGGTTCCATCTGCATTATAAGTCCTAGATAGTATTCCCAGACATAAGCATTAAAAAGTTTATTAGTCTCAGTGTGTGTTTGAGCTGTGTCTTCATCCTTTCCTGTGCACTCAGTATTTTATCATCAAATTAGGAGATGTGATATTTTAATTAATAAGCAAAAGTCTTGCATATTGACCAAGAAGGGTATTTTATCTATTGATTTTCATCCTAACATAATTGGATCTGTAATGCCACAGCCTCTTTGTCCATGAACATCCTACATGATACCTGGACAGTATAGCTAAAGACACTCTTGGAGTGGTAGATAAAAGAGTAGAGCAAACATGGGATTCTTAGCAACTGCCCAAAAACCCCTAATGCAGCACCCTGTGCTAAACTCCTGGCTCATATTCTAGAATGAGCCAGTCAGAGACTGTAATACCTGTCTCTGTTTTCCACATGTATCTCATCTACCAGATTTTCTGGTCTGAAAGAGGAATTTTAGAATAATAAAAGCAGTGAATGGTGAAAGGTCTGATAATTATGCAGAAGACAGGATGGATGGTGGCAGAGAGCCAGCACAGGATGAGCCCTTGTGAGCACTTCTATCTTTCCCTGAGTAGTGGAAAGAGTTCAATCGCATTCATCAAAGATTAAAGTGCTTTGAGCTGCCCCTCCAGAGCACTTGGAAAGAGTCGTTGCCTTCTTCTCTCTCATCTAGAAACAGATTAAGTTTTTCCATCTTTTCCATCCATCTATTAATCGTCTACATCTGGTACAGTTTTTACAACTTTTCACCAGTGCTTCCTCTTTAAAAAGCATTGGTCATTCTGAGACAACCATTTTTCTTTCTCTGAGGAAGCTTTGGGACGCTTTAGGGTGAGAAAGAGGAGAGGATAGAGTCCATCTGTGAAAAATGTGAAGATAAGTTTTGTTTTCAGAATCCCTGGTTTCCTGTTCATATATCTGTATAAATGGTTCTGAAAATTAAATAGAATGAGTTGTGGGAGCAAATCTGAGTCATTCAACCCTAAGAGAAAGTGTGAGTCTGGATCAAGTTCAACTCAATTCAACAAGTATTGATTGACTGTCCATGATGTGCTATCACAGGGTTAGCAGGCTGAAAAGCAGAAACCCTACAGAGAGGAAACTGATTAAGGCTCTTTTGTCTGTTGTACTTGGTGTTATCTGTTATACCTGAATCTTGACTAACAACTTAACTCATGAATTAGAGGAAGTTTTTTGTGAGTTTCACTTTACAGTATCCATTCCTCCTATCCTTTCTAATAGGATACTGCTTTTCCTCAAAAACATCCCCTCACTTTCCTTCCATGACATCCAGATAAAATGGATTCCATCTCCAGTAACAAAGGAAGGTGTGTACCCAGGCTAAGGTGATCAATGTAACATCCTCCTCTGGGTACAATGAATGGTTCCAGGAAGAGCACATAATGATATTAGAGCTGATCTAAGCTAATCCTGAGAATATATTCCAGAGTCACCACAAGAGAGACACGCACTCTATGCTAGAGTTTCTGAAAGCATAGATTAAGGGCCTGAAGCTGCTGGCAACCATATTGCCACTAAAAGAAAGCCTCCCTGAGAAAAGACTTAATGCAGAGACAAGCAAAGCCAAGCACTAAAAGACAAAATTGTAAAGACAGTTTTAGCCCCAACTTTTCTTTCTTTTCTTTTTTTTTTTGGAAAGCAGAAAGAGGCTTTTTAAATTTATTTATTTATTTGTTTATTTAATGTTACTTTAAGTTCCGGGATACATATGCAGAATGTGCAAGTTGGTTACATAGGTATATGTGTGCCATGGTGTTTTGTTGCATCTATTGACCCATCCTCTAAGATCCCTCCGCTCACCAGCCCACCTCCAACAGGCCCTGGAATGTGTTACTCCCCTCCCTGTGTCCATGTGTTCTCATTGTTCAACTCCCAATTATGAGTGAGAACATGCAGTATTTGGTTTTCTGTTCCTGTGTTAGTTTGTTGAGGATGATGGCTTCTAGCTTCATCTATGTCCCTGGAAAGGACATGATCTCATTTCTTTTTATGGCTGTGTAGCATTCCATGGTACCTATGTACCACATTTTCTTTATCCAGTCCATCATTGATGGGCATTTGGGTTGGTTTCATGACTTTGCTATTATAAATAGTGCTGCAATAAACATATGTATGCATGTGTCTTTATAATAGAATGATTTATATTCATTTGGGTATATACCCAGTAATGGAATTGCTGGATCAAATGGTATTTCTTGTTCTAGATCCTTGAGGATGCCATACTGTCTTCCACAATGGTTGAATTAATTTACATTCCCACCAACAGTGTAAAAGCATTCATATTTCTCCACAGCCTTGCTAGCATCTATTGTTTCTTAACTGTTTAATAATTGCCATTCTGACTGGCATGAGATGGTATCTCATTGTGGTTTTGATTTGCATTTCTCTAATGATCAGTGATGTTGAGCTTTTTTTCATATGTTTGTTGGCCATGTGTATGTTTTCTTTTGATAAGTGTCTGTTCATATCCTTCACCCACTTTTTGATGGGGTTGTTTTTTTCTTGTAAATTTGTTTAAGGTCCTTGTAAATTCTGGATATCAGAGCTTTGTCAGATGGGTAGATTGCAAAAAGTTCCTCCCATCCTGTAGGTTGCCTGTTCACTCTGATGACAGTTTCTTTTGCTGTGCAGAAGCTCTTTAGTTTAATTAGATCCCATTTCTCAATTTTGTCTATTGTTGCAATTACTTTTGGCATTTTCTTCACGAAGTCTTTGCCCATGCCTATGTCTAGAATGGTATTGCCTAGGTTTTCTTCTAGGGTTTTTATGGTTTTAGGTTTTACATTTAAGTTTTTATTCCATCTTGAGTTATTTTTGCATAAGATGTAAGGAAAGTGTCCAGTTTCAGTTTTCTGCATGTTGCTAGTCAGTTTTCCCAGCACCATTTGTTAAATAGGAGATCCATTCCCCATTGCTTGTTTTTGTGAGGTCTGTCAAATGTCAGATGGTTGTGGATGTGTGGTGTTATTTCTGAGATCTCTGTTCTGTTCCATTGGTCTATATGTCTGTTTTGGTACCAGTAACATACTGCTTTTGGTACTGTAGCCTTGTAGTATAGTTTGAAGTCAGGTAGCATGATGCCTCCAGTTTTGTTCTTTTTGCTTAGGATTGTCTTGGCTATACAGGGTCTTCTTTTATTCTATATGAAATTTAAAGTAGTTTTTTTCTAATTCTGTGAAGAACATCGTGGTAACTTGATGGGAATAGCATTGAATCTATAAATTATTTTGGGCAGTATGGCCATTTTCACTATATTGATTCTTCGTACCCATGAGGATAGAATGTTTTTCCATTTGTTTGTGTCCTCTCTTATTTCCTTGAGCAGTGATTTGTAATTCTCCTTGAAGAGGTCCTTCACATCCCTTGTTAGCTGTATTTCTAGGTATTTTATTCTCTTTGTAGCAATTGTGAATGGGAGTTCATTCACGATTTGGCTCTCTGCTTGTCTATTGTTGGTGTAAAGGAATGCTTGTGATTTTTGCACATATTTGGTTTTGTATCCT
Organism: Homo sapiens; assembly: GCF_000001405.40. Taxonomy (NCBI): domain Eukaryota; kingdom Metazoa; phylum Chordata; class Mammalia; order Primates; family Hominidae; genus Homo; species Homo sapiens. The sequence goes on along the minus strand of NC_000003.12, from coordinate 115,259,263 downwards.
GAGACTTTGCTGAAGTTGCTTATCAGCTTAAGATGTTTTGGGGCTGAGATGATGGAATTTTCTAAATATAAAATCATGTCGTCGGCAAACAGAGACAATTTAACTTCCTCTTTCCCTATTTGAATACCCTTTATTTCTTTTTCAGGCCTGATTGCCTTGGCCAGAACTTCCAATACTATGTTGAATAGGAGTGGTGAAAGGGCATTCTTGTCTTGTACTGGTTTCCTAAGGGAATGCTTCTGGCTTTTGCCCATTCAATATGATATTGGCTATGGGTTTGTCATAAATAGCTCCTACTATTTTGAGATATGTTCCACCAATACCTAGTTTATTGAGAGGGTTTATTTTTTGTTTGTTTTTTGAGATGGAGTATGATTCTGTGGCCCAGGCTGGAGTACAGTGGTGCAATCTCAGCTCACTGCAGCCTCCACCTCCTGGGTTCAAGGAATTCTCCTGCCTCAGCTCCGGAGTAGCTGGGGTTACAGGCATGTACCATCACACCCAGCTAATTTTTGTATTTTTAGTAGAGGCAATGTTTCACCACATTGACCAGGCTGGTGTCAAAATCCTGACCTCAAGTGATCCACCAGCCTCGGCCTCCCAAAGTGCTGGAATTACAGGTGTGAGCCACCACGCCTGCCCAGTTGAGGGTTTTTAACATGAAGGGATGTTACATTTTTATCAAAGGCCTTTTCTGCATCTATTGAGATAATCATGTGGTTTTTGTCTTTGGTTCTGTTTATGTGATGGATTACATTTATTGATTTGCAAATGTTGAACCAGCCTTGCATCACCGGGATGAAGCCGACTCGATCGCGCTGGGTAAGTTTTTTGATGTGCTGCTGGATTCGGTTTGCCAGTATTTTATTGAGGATTTTCCCATTGATGTTCATCAGGGATATTGGTCTGAATATTTATTTTTTTATTATGTCTCTGCCCGGTTTTGGTATCAGGATAATGCCGGCCTCATAAAATGAGCTAGAGAGGAGACCCTCTTTTTCATTTGTTTGGAATAGTTTCAGAGGAAGGAACTCCTCTTTGTACTTCTGTAGAATTTGGCTGTGGATCCGTCTGGTCCTGGGTTTTTTTTTATTGGTAGGTTATTAATTACTGCCTCAATTTCAGAACTTGTTATTGGTCTATTCAGGGATTCAACTTCTTCCAGGTTTAGTCTTGGGAGGATGAATGTGTCCAGGAATTTATCCATTTCTTCTAGATTTTCTAGTTTATTTGCATAAAGGTATTTATGGAATTCTCTGATGGTAGTTTGTATTTCATTGGGGTCAGTGGTGATATCCCATTTATCATTTTTTATTGCATCTATTTGAGTCTTCTCTCTTTTCTCCTTTATTAGTCTAGCTAGTAGTCTATGTATTTTGTTAAGTTTTTGAAAAAAAAAACAGCTCTTGGATTCACTGATTTTTTTTGGAGGGGTTTTCGTGTCTCTACCTCCTTCAATTCTGCTCTGATCTTAGTTATTTCTTGCCTTCTGCTAGTTTTTGGATTAGTTTGCTCTTGCCTCTCTAGCTCTTTTAATTGTGATGTTAGGGTGTCGATTTGAGATCTTTCTAGCTTTCTGGTGTGGGCTTTTAGTGCTATAAATTTCCCTCTTAACATTGCTTTAGCTGTGTCCCAGAGATTCTGGTACATTTTGTCTTTGTCCTCACTGGTTTCAAAGAACTTCTTGATTTCTGCCTTAATTTCATTATTTACCTCGGAGTCATTCAGGAGCAGGTTGTTCAATTTTCATGTAATTGTGTGGTTTTGAGTGAGTTTCTTAATCCTGAGTTCTAATTTGATTGCACTGTAGTCTAAGAGATTGTTTGTTATGATTTCAGTTTTTTTGCATTTGCTGAGGAGTGTTTTACTTCCAATTATGTGGTCAATTTTAGAATAAATGCCATGTGGCACTGAGAAGAATGTATATTCTGTTGATTTGGGGTGGAGAGTTCTGTAGATTTCCATTTTGTCCATTTGATCCGGAGCTGAGTTCAAGTCCTGAATATCCTTGTTAATTTTCTGTCTTGTTGATTTGTCTAATATTGACAGTGGGGTGTTAAAGTCTCCCTGTAGGTCTCTAAGAACTTGTTTTATGAATCTGGGTGCTCCTGTATTGGGTGCATATATATTTAGAATGGTTAGTTCTTTTTGTTGCATTGATGCCTTTACCATTATGTAATGCCCTTCTTCGTCTTTATGATCTCCGTTGGTTTTAAGTCTGTTTTGTCAGAGACTAGGATTGCAACTCTTGCTTTTTTTTTTCTTTCCATTTGCTTGGTAAATATTTTATTTTGAGCCTATGTGTGTCTTTGCAGGTGATATGGGTCTCCTGAATACAACCCACTGATGGGTCTTGACTCTGCCCAATTTGCCAGTCTGTGTCTTTTAATTGAGACATTTAGTTCATTTACATTTAAGGTTAGTATTGTTATGTGTGACTTTGATCCTGTCATCATGATGGTAGCTGGTTATTTTGCATACTAGTTGATGCAGTTTCTTCATAGTGTCATTTGGTCTTTATATTTTGGTGCATTTTCGCAATGGCTGGTACCGGTATTTTTGTTTTGTTTTTCTATATTTAGTGCTTCTTTCAGGAGCTCTTACAAGGCAGGCCTGGTGATAACAAAATCCCTCAGCATTTGCTTGTCTGGAAATAATTTTATTTCTCCTTTGCTAATGAAGCTTAGTTTAGCTGGATATGAAATCCTGAGTTGAAAATTCTTTTCTTTAAGAATGCTGAATATTGGCCCCCAATCTCTTCTGGCTTGTAGATTTTCTGCTGAGAGGTCCTCTGTTAGTCTGATGGGCTTCCCTTTGTAGGTGACCTGGCATTTCTCTCTGGCTGCCCTTAACATTTTTTCCTTCATTTGGACCTTGGAGAATCTGATGATTACGTGTCTTGGGGTCGATCTTCTTGCGGAGTATCTTAGTGGTGTTCTCTGTATTGGTGTTCTCTGTATTTCCTGAATTTGCACGTTGGCCTGTCTTGATAGGTTGGGGAAGTTCTCTTGGATAATATCCTGAAGTGTGGTTTTCAGCTTGTTTCTATTCTCCCTGTCTCCCTCAGTTACTCCAGTCAATCATAGGTTCAGTCTTTTTATGAAGCCTCCCATATTTCTTGGAGGCTTTGTTCGTTCCTTTTCATTCCTTTGTCTCTAATCTTGTCTGCATGCCTTACTTCAGCAAGGTGGTCTTCAAACTCTGATATCCTTTCTCCTGCTTGGTCTACTTGGCTGTTGATACTTGTGTATGCTTCACAAAGTTTTTGTATTGTGTTTTTCAGCTCCATCAGTTTATTTATGTTCCTCTCTAAGCTGGTTATTCCAGTTAGCAGCTTCTCTAACCTTTTATCAAGGTTCTTAGCTTCTTCGCATTGGGTTAGAACATGCTCCTTTAGCGCAGCAGAGTTTTTTATTACCCATTTTCCGAAGACTACTTCTGTCAGTTCGTCCATCTCATCCTCCGTCCAGTTCTGCACCCTTGCTGGAGAGGCCTTGCAATCATTTGGAGGAGAAGAGGCATTCTGGCCTTTTGGGTTTTCCGCATTTTTTCGTTGATTCTTTCTCATCTTTGTGAGTTTGTCTAGTTTCGATCTTTGAGGCTGCTGACCCTTGGGTGGAGTTTTTGGGGGGATTTTTTGTTGTTGTTGATACTGTTGTTGTTGTTGCTTTCTGTTTGTTTGTTTTCTTGTTTTTCTTTCAATGGTCAGATCCCTCTTCTGCAGGGCTGTTGAGGTTTGCTGGGGGTTCACTTCAGGCCTTATTCATCTGGTTCGCTCCTGCGCCTGGAGATGTCAGTCAAGGAGGCTGGAGAACGGCAAAGATGGGTGGCGTGCTCCTTCTTCTCGGATCTCTGACCTGGAGGGGCACCAACCTGATGCCAGTATAATCGCTCCTGTATAGGGTGTCTGACAACCCCTGTGGGAGAGTCTCACCCAGTTGGGTGGCACGGGGAACAGGACCTGTTTAAGGAAGTACTTTGACTGTCCCTTGGTGGAGGGGGTGTGCTTCACTGCGGCGAAACCCACTCATCTGGTCCGCCCTGATTCCTCAGAACTGCCAAGAGGAAAGGCTGAGTCTGCTTGTCTGCAGATACTATGGCTACTCCTCCCCCTAGGGGCTCTGGCCCGGGGAGATCTGTGTCCTGTCCCTGAGCCTCTGGCTGGAGTTGCTGGAGTTCCTGCAGGGAAGCCCCGCCCAGTGAGGAAGGATGTGTCAGGGTCACGCCTGAAGAGGCACTCTGCCGCTCTGCCTCAGTCTGCCACAGCCAGTGTGTTGGGCTGTGGGGGACACCTCCTGGGGACCAAGCCGTCCAGCCTCCCTGGCTCCAGCAGGGGAAAAGCGCAGCCTGGAGCTATAGAGATGGATGCCGCCCCTCCCTGCCTCAAATCCCCCTGCGTGTTAGGCAGTTATGAGTCCCAGTGCTGGCTGCGGCCCCTCCCACAAGGAGCTGAAAGAGCTTAGACAGCAGTCAGCTGCAGCTGTGGTGTTGGTCGACCCTCCCCCTGGGAGCTCCGCCGACTTAGGCAGATTCTAGCTGAGAGGCTGTTGAGAATCTGCACGGCTCTGGGGTTGGGACCCCAGGCCCCGGTGGCATGGGTTCGCGAGTGGGATCTTTCGCTCTGTGGATTGCACCCTTCCGTGGAAAAAGCACGGTTTCCCCAGCTGGGTAGCACGCCTACCTTGGCTGGGGGGTGGGGACTCCTCTGCCCCGTGTGGCTCTCAGGAGAGCCGCCACACCATATTGCTCTTCCTTTCTCTCCATGGATCACGTCACCCGCCTAGTCAGTTCTGATGAGAGAACCTGGATACCTTGTTGCAGGTGAAGGATTCAGATGCTAATTATGGTTCTTTTCGATGGGCTCCACTGACCACCGCTGTTTCTAGTTGGCCATCTTGGCCCCACTCCTCCAGATCCAGCTTTTCCTGAAGTCATTTCCCTTGGAATTCCCAGTTAGTTGAGCCAGTAAATTCCCCGTTTTTCTTAACCCGACTGGAATTGAATTTATTGTCACTTGCAACTCAAAGATTCCTGGAAAACTTATCCTATTTGGTGAATCATCCCAAAGGATACTAACTTTCCTTTTTAACCTTAATTAACTGACAGAAAGTGTAATAATTCAGAAATCACATTTATGACTTTTACATGTGATTTTACGAGCATAAAATTTATCTCAATATGCTTTACTATTGGGAAGAAACCCACAAGTAGATAATGTGTGGATTCATTTGTTAATTTAGAGTGAAAGGAATACTATGTGTAAAACTGTTGATAACAATTCATGGGGAATAAGAATGAACATTAAGGTATGTTTATTAATTAGCACATTCGCCAATGGTTTTTTTCAACCCCTTTTACCTGACATCTCCTTAGAATACAAGCACATGTGAATACTCACCTCTCCCCCAGGTGTACGCAGTAAGGGATTAATCAGAATCCAAAAGAGATCAGTAATTCTACTTATCTGGCCTAAAAGATCCTGGGATACTATCAATCTCCTTTTGTAGTAGCATAAAGCCCACCATCTCAGTAAATCTACTGTTCATTACAGAGTGTTTTCTATGTGCCAGCCACCATGCTGAGAGCTTGATATGCCAAACATTTCATCGAAACCTCACAAGACCCTTTTATGAATCTTATTTATTACAGGTTAGGCAACTGAGCTTCCTGCAAATTAAGCATTTCGCTAAGGTCAGCTAGAAATGGAGACCTGGATTTTTAATCATGCCCATATGATTTCAAAATCTGTGACCTCAGCCACTACATTATTTTTCAGTTCATCATTTTCTCACAATCCCATCCTTTGTCCACCATCATGATTACCAATTGAGCTCAACAGACTTTGGAGCCAACTAACTCAATTCAATTTCCTGAGGTTCTAGCCCTGTTCTTCCCCACACTGCCCTCTTTCCTCACCTCAGCGCCAGGATTCCCCAACTCCCCAGGTCTCCAGGATTCATCTCAGGAAGGAACTACCCAGGGAGATTAAGCCTCAGTGCGGGAAAAGGAAAAGAGAGCATACAAGGAATCCTCAAGTTCTTTTCAACTGGTATGTCCTAAAATACATTCTTTAAACCATCTTCCTCTTTAAACCAACTTCTCCTCCAAAACAGGTAGCAAATCTCAAGTTACTGGGACAGCTTCCTCAAATGTGATATCCAATGAATTGCTAACTTCTTCAGATTCCTCCTTCAAGATTATTCCTTTCTAATTCTACTTATAATATTTATTGTATTACCTTCTCTCCTTATTGTAAGTTCTTCCTACCCTGTTTCTCTGTCTCTGATTTCTCACTTTCTGTTTCCTCTTGAAGAGTAAACTAAAAGCTCCTTTTTATCACATTACTTACCAACTCAAAAATTTTATCTGCTCCCATTATTTGCTGAGTAGGCTCAAAAATTTTAACATAGCTTCTAAGGACTTGCATGAACTGGTCTCTGCCTACATTTCCCTCCCTTTATCCTTCCACTTTCTACATGTGCTATTCTAAAGTATCCTGGTTGCTGGCCCCTGAACTCAGCTTGCTTTCTCAACTTCATGATCCTGTTCACATGTTTCCTCAGTGTGAGATATGTTTTCACTTGTCTTTGCCCACAGTGATCCTATTTTATTCTTAGAGACCCAGATCACATTCCATTTGTTCTGAAACCCCAAGAAGAAATTGCTCCTCTTCCTCTGAAGACCTGAGGAGCTTACTGACATCACTATATCCTTGATATTTATCCTATATTGCCTTGTACTGCAGCTATGGGAGTGGGTGTTTCATTCCTTTCACCAGGTATTACATTTTAAAGAGCAGGACTTATAACTTACACATCTTTACGCCCCACCACAACACCTGGCCTAGTGCATTGGCTATAAGTGATACTGACAGATGTACTAACTGAGCAAATGAAATATATAAATAGGTAAAAATGCTATGGTAGTCAGCATCTAAGATGGCCCCAAGGATTCTAGCCTCCTGATATTCATGTTTTTGTATAGTCTCCTTCCACACTGAATAACCAATAAAATATTGCAAAAATGATAGAATGTGACTTCCAAGGTGAAGTCATTAAAGTTACTGTGGCATTCCCATCTTATGGAGTGGTTCACATGGTGGGAAACTGAGGCCTCCCACTAACAGCCAGCACCAACTTGGTTACCTGAGGGAGTCGTCGCAGAAGTGGATCCTTCAGTCTCAGGCAAATCTTCAGATGGCTGCAACAACAGGTGACATCTTTACTACAGTCTTTTGAGAGACCCTGAGCCAGAATCACTCAGCTACAAGTTGCCAGAGATAATGTATGTCTGTTATTATTTTAAGAATCTAAATTTTAGAGTAATTTGTTACACAGCAGTCAACAATTAATACAGAAGCCCATTGTAATAGCTATAACCACAAGCATTAAAAAGTTCAAAAAACTTCCACTGGGTTTGAGGGAAAAAAATAAAAATGAGACATTATAAAGAGATAAAACACTTCAAAAAATTGAATGCCTGAGTTGTGCATGTAAGGTATTTCTGTTGCTAGAAGACTATGAAAGATTGTTTTCAGTCTCCAGGTCTCTGTGCATGTTTCTGATGTGTGAGTCATAATCTCTAGGTATGTTTGTAATCTTAATGATCAAGCATACAATAAGTATTAATAACTATCATTTCCTTAGCATTCCTATGTGCTAGAAACTGTTCTAAGACCTTTCCAACAACCCTACAATACTGGTACTCCTATTATTCCCATCTTGCAGAAAAGGTTACTGAGGCCTACAGCAATTAATTAACTTGCTCAAGGTTTCAGAGGTGGTAGTTGGTGGACTGATTTTGCATGCACACAGCCTGGATTTACAGCCCACACTCTGAATCACTATGCTACATGAAACATCAGGCTTCCTTTAAGAATTGACATTATATCCAACATTTCACAGAAATCATTTTAAGTATTAAAAATTAAGTTTATTTAAAATCAGTGAGTATAACTAATTCATAGATTGGCCCCAGCAACACTCACTTGGTTAAAAGATGTTCTTACCTTGCTTCTTTTGATAGTTAAAACCGTGAAGTAAAGCTGAAAGCTGAGAAGCTATCTTATTCTGTACACTGTCAAGAGACGCTCTTAAACTCTTGAGTATTTTTGCCTCCAGCCTAGTGGGATTTGAAACATCTTTTTGACTCAAGTTGGGTGCATCAGACAGTGATGTATGAATCCAGACTGCAATTGTTGATTTTTCAAGTATGATAAAATCCATTTTACTTTTTGTTGAAGTCTAGAAGGAACATGGCAAATAAAAAGAAAAGTATAAGAGATATTTTCATTCAGACTGTTTTCAAGAGATGCTGTTCAAAATCTTGAGGAAGATATGAAAACCTATAAGACCCTATCCCCAAGAGAGTATATTTCCCTCCCCTTCCCTCCATCCGTACTCTCCTAAGTTAACTAGTTTATGTCTCTTTCCGTATTTTTCCCTATGTCCATATAAATATTTGCAAACAGAAGTACTACATATATATATATATATACACACACATACACAAAGTGTTTTGTGGTGACTGTCATTACTTGTTTTATAAAAATGAGATCTCAAACACTACCTATTACCTTTCAACTGAATATTAATCCTTACTAATATATTTTATAGACATTCCATTAGATCAATAGATAAAAGAGTTAACTCAGTCCTGATAAAAACTGCATAATGGTACACAGCTAGACGTTAGTTTATTCTACCATTATTCTATTAATGATCATTCAACTTTTCTGCAGAAACTTTTGCCACTACAGAAAGCACCAGAGTTAAACATACATATAAGCTACATTCTACTTTTCTTTCTGCAGGATGAATCTCCCTAATAGAGTCATTGGGTCATGGATATATGTTTTTAAATTGTAACAGAAATTAATAGATTATTTTTTATAGCAAGGTTATAATACTTCACATTGTCAGATACCACAGCAATCCATGAGGATGTCAGCTTCCTTACATCCTTGCTAGGACTAGATCTTCAATTCTGTAGTTTTTGCTACTCTGATGAATAGAAAATTATATCTTCTTGTTTTAATTTTATTTTCCTATTAATATGGTAAAGCATTTTTGTACATGTTTACAGACCACTTAGATTTTTATCTTCTCATAATTACTTAATAATATCATTGCTCCATTTTACTTTCTTATAGGCCTTTTTCTTATCAATATATAGAATGAAATTGAATTAGCATTTTGTCTGTCATTTGGGCTGCAAATAATTATGTCCAGTTAATCCTTTGGTTTTTATTTAGCTTATGTTGTCTATCTAATACCAGCCAAACACTTTTATTTTTATGAGTCAAATGTATCCATTTTTTTCACTTATGGTTTCTGAGTTTGATTTCTGAGAGAAGGTCCTGCAAACTCAAGATTATACAATAGTTTTCTAAATATTTCACCATTTTGCCTGGGTCACATTCCTTGTTTTTCAGTATGATGGAGAGAAATATTGTTCTACCATATTTTGGAATCCAGCGCTGGGGATAAGGAGTTTCATGCTAGTTTTACTTTTCTTTACAAATAAATTAGAGGTGTGTTCGTTTGTGTGTGTGGAGGGGATTGTTTTGTTTTTTAACTATACTGCCTGAAAATGTGAAAATTTTTCTCTTTATCTTTGTAATTCAATAATTCCACCAATGTATATCTAGGTTTATATCTATTTTCATTAATCCTACCTGGGCTTCAATGCCTTTTAAATTTATAGACTTTATTTTAAAAATCTATTAATTTTAAAATTTTCAATTCTCCTTCATAGGTTTGTTTTCCTTCTCCTTCCCATTGGTTACGTGTTGACTTTCTGGCTGTTTACTCCACGTTTCTGAGCTTTGCATTCATGATTTCTCTCTGTGTTTTCACTCTGTTGAGAGAGATGTCCTTCACTGCCTCTTCCAAGTCACAAATTCACTTTTAATAAGTAACTATTTGCTTTTCTTGTCAACAATTTTTAAAATATTTTAATTTCATAAAGCATTGTTTGTAGTCTTGTCACATCTCTTAGAGTTTTATTATCTTTGTTTTCTTTTTTTTTTAATACTTTAAGTTCTAGGGTACATGTGCACAATGTGCAGGTTTGTTATATATGTATGCATGTGCCATGTTGGTGTGCTGCACCCATTAACTCGTCATTTACATTAGGTATATCTCCTAATGCTATCCCTCCCCCCTCCCCCTCCCCCCTCCCCCCACCCCACAACAGGCCCTGGTGCGTGATGTTCCCCTTCCTGTGTCCAAGTGTTCTCATTGTTCAATTCCCACCTATGAATGAGAACATGCGGTGTTTGTTTTTTTGTCTCTGCGATAGTTTGCTGAGAATGATGGTTTCCAGCTTCACATCTTTGTTTTCAAAAGCATCTGTGAACTCTTCCATCCACTTCAGTGAAAGTCATCTGTCACAGAGCTTACCTAGGAATCTTTCTGTGAGTGCCTTCTAGTGAAGATCATTTTTGTTTTTCCCTGCTAATGGTTTCATGCCTCTTTAGCAGCCACACAGATCTAGCTGTCCATGTGTCTTAACCAGAGACAGACCACCAAGTGGGGGCTTGATTTAGATTTGGAGGCAAACAAACACCACTCATTACAGAATCCTTTTAGAAGTAACCTCTTCTGGCTCATTTTGTTTCCAAAAAGAAGGATATTACAAATAATTTTAAGGTTTAAAGGCAATTTATTATTATTTCAATGTGGTTTGGGGACTCACAAGTTCTAAAATGATATAAATGTTGATAAGAGAGTTACATTTAGTATCTAGCTATTAGTCAGTAGAAGGTAGTAAGACTAGTTGAGTCACTGTGGCTCATGTACACAATGAATTAATGTCACTAGCTCCGGATATTGCTCAAACTGACCCTTTTCACTTATAAAATACTTCTAACCAAATGAGAAAAAAGTTAAAAGCAACCTGATGACATTTTAAAAAAAGGAAAAGGAATTATCAAATTTTATCTTCACGGTGTGTTTTTAGAGAAGAATTTTATTTCTTTTTTAAAGTGCCCTCTAACCCTGTCTTTACTAAAATACAAAAAATTAGCTGGGCATGGTGACATGCACCTGTAGTCCCAGCTACTCAGGAGGCTGAGGAAGAGGAATTGCTTGAACCCGGGAGGCGGAGGTTGCAGTGAGCCGAGATCACGCCACTACACTCCAGCCTGGGTGACGGAATAAGACTCCATCTCAAAAGATAAATAAATGAATAAAAATAAATAAATAAATTGCCCTCTAATAGCCAATGAAGGATTGGTATTCAAAAGAAAAGGAAACAATGAAGAAAAGTATCTCAACCTGGAAAAATTTGCCAGTCCCTGCCATACAGGAAATTGTAGCCTGGCATTGGTCTGTGTGATCATTCCAGTTCCAAATTGGAGCATTAGGCTGCATTGTGCATTATCTCCCAGTATGCTAAGAAACCAATTATGGTAAATAATATTGCCTTAAGGGATTTTTCAGAGCCCCTGAAAAAAGATCAATGCAATAACCTAGGACCTTAAATGTCAATATTTAGTTGTAGGAAGCAAACAATGTTCAAAAACATAGTTTTATTTAATATTATTTTTCAAAACATATTAAACAATTAACATTTTACAACAATTTTTTGTGATCCTTTGGTGTACAGCAAAAGGATAAGCAGCAGGATGAAGAATACAGCAGGATAAGCAATAAAATAAAAATACCAAATATTTGCTAAAATAATACTTTAAGAAAAACATAAGGCTCTTATCATATCAATCCAAATAGACTTATTTAACCGACAACCTTTAATATAACTATCAATCAGATGGGTTGGATATTCAGTTCTTCCATTTCCCACACACTGCAAAAAGCTACACATTTCTCTGACTTGCATAAATAATAAATTGTCCTTTGTACAGAGATGAACCTTTATTGTTCGATCCCTCAATCAAAATGGAAAACCATATCCCCAGGCAAGAAAGAGGTGCACTTCAGGAGATATGGGATTTAAAACAAAATTAATGTTGCAAAATAAGAAAGACAAGATTGAAATATATATCAGGACAATAATATCTAAATAATATTAGCAAGGGATCCTGTTTAAAAAAAAAAAGAAGCTATTTAAAGCTTATGTGCAGAACTCACCACAGGCAGCATTTCCTCAAAGAAAGGGGAAAAGCTTGATCTAGGCAGGGCACTAACCCTAATGGTGAAAGCTCTGGACTCTGTTTCTTATTATGCCACTGAAATTGCTGTGAAGATCTGAGCCACACACTGTGTCTGTTGTTGGGTCCTAAATATTTTTCATTCAAGCCTTCTCAATATTCATCCACAGAATCTATGTCATAATGAGCCCAGAAGCATAAACACTTCAATAGCAGAGTTACCAATAGAGGATATCCAACAAATAGAGCCTATTTCTTAAATTTTCATTACGCCAAGAACAACAGAAGATTTCTGGAAAGCATGAGGTAACTATTGGCCTATTTAAGAAGCTTCTTTGTTGATGGAAACATGGATAGTCCTTCTCTGCCTGTCTTCTTAATTGCCTGCTTTCCTCTGCAGCCTTAAATAGGAAATGGGCTGAAAAAATTGGCAAATAAGAGGACACACACAGCTTCATTTCCAAGAGTTGAACATTTTGGAAGCGATTAGGAAAGGCCTTCAGGTTTTCTCTTGGACAGGTATTGTTCCAGGATTTTGAAGATATAAGATACAACTCAAATATCCACACCCTCATCCATTTTACTTTGGCATCGAGGCAAAGGTCTTATGACATTGCATTTCCTCTAATTCTCAATGGTGTGTGAGGCCAAAGCTGTAATATCCAAGCCCAGGTTTCAGCTGGAAGGTGAAAATGAAGTGAGTGAGCTTTTTAGCTTCTTTGGTTTTAGGCCATTCAGTATACTTTGTTGAAGTGAAGGACTTCTCTTAAATTTATAAGACAATGTATATCCAGCCAAATCTGTCTTTGGAGTTTGTGTTCAAAGCTCCAGCAATAACAATATGTTACTTATCCTTGATTTGTCTCCTCTGTGGAAAAGTTTTTGGAGACTTTCTAGATGAGAATGGCAAGTAAAGATCTGGATATAGAAAATCTTGGTCTCTTGTCCAAATACTATCATAATGCTGGTCTTAGTAGCATAAAGGCATAGCCACTTGCTTATCACTTTGGTCTGACTCCGCTGCCACAAAAAGTACAAACTACACTGTCAACAGTTGAGCAATATAAATCCTCTATGAGTTGTGGGTTGAGTCTACTATTGTCTTTGCAGTGAAACTAGTGGGCATGTATTAAATAGTTTCTACCTGGATGGAGAATCACTCTGTCTCTGCACCTTTTGCAGAGTGGGTAGACTTCCAGGGGTGATGTTTTTCGGCTAAGTCAACGAGACTTAAAACCATGAAACCTTAAAAAACCATGCCAGCATTCAGTTTAGAAAAGGGCCAGGCTCAAGAGGTCAACATTAGTGTCAATATCAGAATTCACTCCTCACAAGTTCTGGAGATCCAATGACCTCTACCAACCTAAGCTGATTCCAATATGACTTGTAAGATCTAGTTAGAACAAGGATTTTCAGATCCTTAAAGTAATGTGAACTCCTTAAGGCAACCTCCAACCTTTCTTTATCTTTTGAGGATGAGTGACTCATGTACAACTTGAGCCAGGAGAATCTGCTGGATTAGTTGTGGGTTCTATGTGCATTACTCATACCCGGCCCTGCCAACTACCACCACCAACTCTGTGGACCATGTCTTATGTCTGGAGCCATGAAACTTTATCTTCTGGGGGTTAGTGAAGCCTCTGTAATTTTTGCATCACAGTATATGTTTAACTAAAACCACGGTGGAAAATCCTGCACCTTTTTAAGTTGTACAGAATATATGATAGCCTTCTTTTTTATTTATTTATTATTATTATTGTTATTTATTTATTTATTTACTTACTTATTTTTGAGACAGAGTTCCGCTCTTGTTGCTCAGTCTGGAGTGCAGTGGCGTGATCTTGGCTCATTGCAACCTCCACTTCCCAGGTTCAAGCCATTCTCCTGCCTCAGCCTCCCAAGTAGCTGGGATTACAGGAGACTGCCACCACGCCTGGCTAATTTTTTATATTTTTAGTAGAGATGGGGTTTCATCAGTTAGCCAGGCTGGTCACAAACTCCTGACCTCAGGTGATCCAGCCACCTCGGCCTCCCAAAGTGCTGGGATTACAGGCGTGAGCCACCATGCCCTACCATATGATAGCCTCCTTGACAACAGTAGGACCTCCTAAGAAAATGGTCACATTAGCTAACAATGTCCCCACAATCAACTTAACCTTTTCCAGAAAATCATATAATTTTCTAACAAATAGAAAATTTCTCATACCACTTTCTGCACCTGTTAATTTTTTTTTTTTAATTTTAGATGCAGTGGATACATGTGCAGGCTTCTTATATGGGTATATTTTGTGATGCTGAAGTTTGGGCTTCTATTGATCCCATCAGCCAAATAATGAACATAGTGTCCAATAGGTGCTTTTTAAACCACTGCATCTCCCCCCTTTTGTAGTCCCCACTGTCTATGATTCCCATCTTTATGCCCATGTGTACCTACTATTTAGCTTCCACTTATACAATAGAGCATGCAGTATTTGGCTTTCTGTTTCTGCATTAATTCGCTTAGGATAACAACCTCCAGCTGCACCCATGTTGCTGCAAAGAACCCAATTTCATTATTTTTCATGGCTGCATAATATTCTTTGGTATACATGTACCATATTTTATTTTCCCAATCCACTTTTGATGGGCATCTAGGTTGTTTACGTTTGCTTTTTACAACAGCAATAGTCTTTGCTATTGTAAAACGTTTGCTTTTTACATTTGCTTTTTATAATAGCAAAGACTACTGCTATTGTAAAAAGTGATGCAATAAACATACAAGTGCAGATGTCTTTTTGGTAGAATGATTTCTTTTCCTTTGGGTATATACCCAGTAATGGGACAACTGGGTGGAATAGTAATCCTATTCTTAGTTCTTTGAGAAATCTCCAAACTGCTTTCCACAGTGGCTTAACTAATTCACCCTCTCACCAAGAGAGTATGAGTCCCATTTTCTCCATAACCTCACCAATGTTTGTTATTTTTAACTTCTTAATAACAGCCATTCTGACTCCACTAGTTTGTTGTTTTTTTTTTTTTTTTTTTTTTTTTTGAGATGGAGTCTGGCTTTGTCGCCCAGGTTGGAGTGCAGTGGCGTGATCTTGGCTCACTGCAAGCTCCGCCTCCCAGATTCACGCCATTCTCCTGCCTCAGCCTCCCGAGTAGCTGGGACTACAGGCGCCTGCCACCACGCCCAACTAATTTTTTGTATTTTTTTTTAGTAGAGACGGGGTTTCACCATGTTAGCCAGGATGGTCTCGATCTCCTGACCTCGTGATCCACCCTCCTCGGCCTCCCAGAGTGCTGGGATTACAGGCATGGGTCACCGCGCCCAGCCTCCCCTAGTTAGTCTTAAATGCAGATTATATCCCCAAATTTCCATCACTGAACGTCCAATGTTTTTACAACTCCAATCTAAAAGTTGCTGGAGGGAAGCCATCATCCCCTCCACCAAGTAGAATTTCTAGGAAAGTCAACTCCAACTTTCCCTCAAGTTAATAATTAGAGGACTAACATGCCCTTTCTCCCTTATGGCAATTTGCTATGGTCTCCAAGTACAAGTTTTCTTCAGCCCAGTCTGGTAGTTCTTCATCCTGCTCCCAAAAACTTGGATATTATGGCTTCTTTTACTTTCTTGCTTCCTAGGAGACTCCAAAAAGAAGCTCCTAGCATTATTAATTCTTCAGATTCTAAGGGTGGAGATCAATGTTTGCAAGACTTTGCTACATTGCACATTTCTTTCCATTAGCCACCCACAATAACAGTCCCAAAGTCTCCTTTTTCCTCATTACTCGGCTTCCAAGTCTATTGGCCAGCCCTGTCATTATTTTCTGGCCAAAGCTTGGGCTTTCTTAGCCTCTCTTGAAGATATGCATATCCCTGCTAAGCCTTCTAAGGAAGCTTTAGGGTCACAATGTTACAATCATTCTCTTGGGCATCACCAGGAGAAACAATTGCTCCTGGCATTACATATTCTCACTTCCCCATATGGGTGCTCCTCCTCTGAATACTGACACAGGTATAAACCTATTACTTTCCTTTCAGTTAGAGTGCTTCTTTTAGACTACAAAGGTGCCTTTCAGGGCACTGTAGTAGAGTCCTTTGCTATTTCTCAGCAACTTCCCAGCCCAGATCTTCTAGGGGCTTTGCAGCAAGGCCTTGTGGCAAACTTAGTTGTCCCAATACCTGCTCTCCCTTTCCCTTTCTTCCATAGCAGTGGTTTAATCTGAGTACATGGCTACCTAATTTTTATTTTTGATTTTTAGGAAGAGGATCTCACTCTCTCACCAAGGCTGGAGTGCCATGGTGTGTTCATAGCTCATGGCAGCCTTGAACTCCTGGACTTAAGTGATCCTCTTGCCTCAGTCTCCCAAAGCTCTGGGGTTATAGATATAAGCCACCATGCCTGACCCCTGGCTACCTAATTAAAGACCTTCTTAAGACTCGATTCCAGCTGAATGGGTTAATGTTACTGACAAGTGCAATGTGAAAGAAAGTAATATGTGTCACTTTCAGGACTTTTTTTAAAAAACAATTAAATATGCAATGCCCTGATTTCTTTTCTCCTTACCATTTGCTATCTGAAAGATGGAGAGAAATAAAACTGCTCTCTTGGACTGAGAGATGGGAGCTCCAGATTGAGGTTGGCAGAGCCACCCTACCACTCTGGACTGTTACATGAGAGAGAAATAAGCTCTGTTTTGTTTAAACCACTGCATTTTAAGCTTTATTAGTGACAGCAGTTTTAGTCTGTATCACAGCTAGTTCACCTCTCATTTATCATATATATATATATAAATATATTTTTTTCCTGAAATCTCATAGGTTGTAGTTTTCCAAGATAAATAAGGAAATTCAACTCTAATAATAATTCTTGATAATATAATTCTATCATAAAGCCTCTAGAAGGAGACTAATAATAGCTTTATAACCCTCTGTGGTCAACAGAGACACAGCCAACGCTGCTTTTAACTATTTTTATCTCTATTCTGCATTTCAAACTCAAGAAGTTTTTAAGAACCCCATATTCTTATTTTACATCTGATCTAATTTAATATCTGTTCTGTGGCAGCAGCACTATCCAGGAGTTTTCTTCACTAGATGTGATTATCTGAAGAAAAATAACTATGGCTCCCATTAAAAGAAATGTAGGCATGACTCCCAATCATACATTCCCCAAACAAAATATGAGAAGAAGAATTTTCCAAACAGTTATGAAAATTTTCCCCACAGAGCTTCTAAATTGTTCCTTTGCATCTCAGGCTGGGTAGTCAGGTTGACCCCCAAAGGGAGACAGCTGCAGTGTTGTTCTGTCCACTGGTGATAAGGGATGATATTTTCCCTCTATGGGTTAATAAAACAGTGTTAACCACATACTCTCAACTGAAGTAATAATCTATCTCAAGAAAAATGAGTTCATGGCTCTTTATCCTTTCTACTTTCTTCCTAGAGAGTCCTATAGCAGCACATCATGTCAAATAAGTCATCTCAAAAGGGACCAATAACAACTTTTGGGCAGGTCCTTCTGGAAGTGAAAGAAGAAAATATGAGGGGACTTTTATAGCAGTCATGATCCAGGGACTATTATGACGGCAACTCCTCAGGTACATATACATATTCCCCTAAAATATTCTAGAGGACTCTAAGAGCCAGTTTGAGAATCACTAGTCTAGGGTCTACAGATTATCACTTTCATCAACATCATCATCATCACCATTATCGTCAATCGAACATTACCGTTAAACATTGTGTGAATCTCAAACTGTCTGTATTAGGAATTGTGATTGGAGACAGAGAGAAAGAATAATCCCTTACCAAGTAATTTCAAAGCAGAGAAAATGAAATGAAAATTTGTTCTACATATCTCAACATCTGTCTTCAAAATTTAAGATGCCTTCTAGGAACATGCTAATATCCTTTCATCTCTCTTATCAACTTACTTATTATCTCATAGCAAGAACTTGGAGTTCTTTATGTCATTGCACATATAATTCTATAGAAGTCACTCCTCTCTTTTCATGTTCTTCCCTCCTATTGCCTCCAACACCATCTGTATTGTACAAGTAGTATCCTATAGATTGAGCTGAAACACACCTTTCTGTTTCTGTGCTGTTCAAGCTATACCAATAAAAACCAATACACATAGATTCCAATATGCTTCACAATCTATCATACATATGCCATTTTACTAAACACACAGAGTAAATGGAAGTATAAGTGGTACTTTTTAGCACTGAGTACAGGGTAACAACAATTTTTGTCCTTTTGTTCCTTGTGTTATGGCTGACACAAGACATA
This sequence comes from Homo sapiens, assembly GCF_000001405.40. Taxonomy (NCBI): domain Eukaryota; kingdom Metazoa; phylum Chordata; class Mammalia; order Primates; family Hominidae; genus Homo; species Homo sapiens. The sequence goes on along the minus strand of NC_000003.12, from coordinate 115,240,875 downwards.
GATAAATTAGTACTTCTCAGAGTGATAAGACACGTTAGGGTCATTTTGGAGAGAATACAACCATGTCAGTTCACTGTACCTCTTTCATTGCTATTAAACACTAAGCCTTTGGAAGCAGAAGGGTTTAGTTTTGTTTTGTTTACTGTTTTGATGTACACTCCTTTCTGATTTAATTGCCCTAGCCTAATCATTCTAATAAGATGTTCCAATGGATAAGAGACTTGTGAAACCAGTAACTTCACTAACACCACAATTGTTATTGTATCCAGTCTTATTACCATTTTCCCTTAAAGTCAACTGATACATAATCAACTCCATAAAATACATGAGAATCTATATATTAACGCTCATTCTTACAAACGTACAGTCTTTTTGTATTATTCACCCAAGGAGCAATTATTGAGCATTTATCATGCACCCCTTCTCTCGTACCAAGCAATATACTCTGCTAGAATACAGAAATGCTGTATATATTTGGTAATACCAAAGCAGTCTCATCAGACCTCTCTCAGGATCTTTTGTTCAGCTCCTTTTCAATTCAGTTGCATCTGAACAGTTCACTAGATGATACCTGAAGAGAAAATAAAAACATAAAATTTATTTGTTTGAATTGTTCTCATAGTTGGGTTTATGTAACATAAAAAGTAATGATCCTAAATAATGTGTATTTTAATACACTATGATGTTGAAAGGCTCGATTCTATGCTGAGACACATAGGACTAGAATATAAAGTGTTTCCGGTAGAAAAATGAAGAGAGAGACAGAACATTGTTTTGCTGCTTTTAAATAAGCCACGCAAATAGCTCAGTCTAAAGGCTGTGTGTGTGTCAGTGTGAGATAATCCTGCCCTCTCCCTTCCTCTCTCCCACTTCTCCAGGGAAATGAGTCACACCTGCTCACTGCCCTTGATATGATGTTTGATATTCTGAATTCCCATCAGCCCTGCACAGCTAGGATGATGTCAGCACAGTTGACATTGTTAGATCCGTGCTCTGCGTACATCAACTCCCTGTCGCTCAGGCGTCAGCTGAATGTGGTGAAGGGGAGGAGGCATCATCATCTTAGCAACCAAGCCCACGTATCCAGGATCCAGAAATGGCATCTGGCACTTTGCTTTGGGGATTTCCAGCACTTCCCAGAATTTCAGCCAGATTAGAACACTTGCTCTGAATTAAAAAGAAATTACTCATCCTCTTCCCATCAGGATGTGTGTGCTTTTACAAAATTTTATATCAAAATGTTTGTCACCAAAGTATGTTTTACTGAAGTCCTCATCCCATTTTTCCTCAATTCCTCTGGGATATCCTTTATTGACTTTTAGAAATAATCTTGCTTCTATTTAAAAACAGAAAAGGTTAAATGAGACCCTTTTGTCATCCTTCCACCTCAAGTCAAAAATATATATAATGTGAACAATCAAGTTGTATGGAAAGTAGATAATTATGCTGATAATAATAATCTTCTAAGATGACTCCAGATAAAGTATGGCAGTATTTCTAGGTCTTGTTTTCAAATTATACCCATTTAACAAAAAATACAATAACACAATGAACTCAGACAGTTGCAATTCACATAGACATTTAATCATCTATTGATTATCTGGGAAAAAGGAAAGAGGGAGAACTTAGGGAAAAAACCTAAAAGGGTATTTGAAAGTGTTAGAGTAGAAGAACTATGGTAGTACCATGCCACCATGCCACAGCTGTCAGAAACCCCAACAATGGAGACTTAATGTCTACTTTTCCAGAGCAGTTTCTCCAAGTTATTGTGGGTATCTTGGCTGCTTCATATAAATGGTCCCAGTTGCTTTACAGCTATCTTATTGCTCCACTTACTTATTCCCAGAAACATTTCTGAGTACAATTCCTGTCTCCATAACACACGGAGTGAGGTGGGAGATTTAGGTATGTGCTGTGGTCAGAATATGTCCTCCAAAATTCTTGTGTTGGAAGTTTAATTTCCAATGCAACAGTGTTGGGAAGTTGGCCTTTTGGGAGGTGTTTAGGTGGTGAGGGCTTCTCCATCATGAATAGATTAAAGCCCTTATAAAAGAGACTTCAGAAGGTGTTCAGCTAACTTGCTTTCTTGCCCTTTTGCTTTCTGCCATGGGAGGACACAGCAAGAAGACCCTCACCAGACACTAAATTTTGGTGCCTTGATCTTGAACTTATCAGGCTCCAGACCTGTGAGAAAATAATTTTCTGTTCTACATAAATTACACAGTCTCAGGTATTCTGTTATAACAGCACAAAACAGACTAACACAGTAAGTAACCAGACAATGACAGTACTGGGTAATAAGTACTTCCATAAGAAATAAACCTAGGGTGCTGAGAGCAGGGAGAACCAGAGCCCAACTCAGCCTGGAGTTCAGACATGAGAAGTTCTCAGGGATGGCTTCCTTGAGGGAGTCTTCATAATTCTTCTCTCAATTATAATGCAAATGCTTTTTATAAATCCTGACACTTTGTCCATCAAACACTACTAAAAATTTTAATAAGCAGCTCTACTCAGTCTAGGCAGTTTATTTCTTTCCTGACATGCCTAAGGTACCCTGAACATCCACATCCCATAAAATGAGAAACAGATATTTCATTTGGCTTCTCGTAACAGTGAAAATGAGAAGAGTTCAGAGAGCTCTCTCTTTCAATCTCAAGATCGGAATGGGTGAGGGCTGGTGGCTATATACAACACTTTGTGGTCCCCCTTCCCCCAGTGAGTTACTTTCCATGCTGTACTGTAACTGCTTATTTGTTTGTCCTTCACCTTCAAGAAACCAAGCTTTTTGAAAGTATAATTCTTTATCTTATTTACCCCACAGTATTTCCCAGCTACCCCCAGTCAGACCTAGATCCTAGAACAGAGTAAACGTTCATTAGATTGTTCTGTTGAATAAATATTTTATGCTTTTGCATTTCTTCCAGATTTTAATCCTAACTTTGCCCCTACACTTTGGAGCAGCATTTCCAAGCTTTTTTTCATATATTAGCCATATGGAAAATGAAAGTATTTGTAAGGCACCCTTGGGTAAATGGGAGAGGCTGCTCCAGGCTGCAAGCTGTAAACCCCAGGCCCTGCCTGATCCCCTCAGAGCCCACCTTCCATACTACACTCATACGTTCCACAAAACATAGAGGATCTGTAGAAGGACATATCTGAAACTCATTCAGTACTCATCACTTGAGAAGCTCTTCTGGTTTAGATAAATTAAAAGGTGAGAATGAAACAGGTTAACTTTCTTCCACTTAGCTTTTTGTAACCTAGCTCTCCTTCCCAATATTTTGCAGTGTTTTTACTATTAACTTTCAGTTTTTAAAATATCTTTTTTGGAACCCTTGTGCATTGCTGCTGGGAATGTAAAATAGAGTAGCCCCTGTGGAAAACAGCATGGCAGTTCCTTAAAAAATTAAACATAGAATTATCATGTGATCCAACAATTCTACTACTAGATATACACCCAAAAGAAACAAGAGTAGAGACTTGAGCAAATATTTGTACACCCATGTTCTTAGCAGTATTATTCACAACAGCCAAAAGGTGGAAGCAACCCAAATGTCTATTGATGAATAAATAGATAAATAAAATGTAGCAAATACATACAGTGGAATAGTATTCAGCCTTAACAAAAAGAAGTTTTGATACATGCTACAATATCAATAAAACTTGAAGAAATTATGCTAAATGAAATAAGCCAGTCACCAAGGGACAAATTTTGTATTTTTCTGTTTACATGAGATGCCTAGTTAAATAGTGGTTTCCAGGGGCTGGAGGGAATGGGCAATGAGGAAGTTATTGTGTAGTAGTATGAGAAGTTTCAGTTCAGGAAGATGTAAGAATTCTGAAGATGGATAGTGGTGATGGCAGCAGAACAATGTAAATGTACTTAATGTCACATCTGCACATATAAAAATGGTTAAAATGATAAATTTTATGTTATATATTTGTTACCACAATAAAAGAAGCATATCTTTTAAGTGGCATTACTAAAACATTTAAAATGATAATGATTATTACTGTATCTATTTGTGGAATGATTAATGGAATGCTCGGATGCACTGTTATATGACCAGACATCATGGAAAGATACTTTGTTTCTCATCTTGCAAAGCAGAGATTTGTCAATAAATGTTCATTAGTCCCACCCCCAACCCCAGCTCATCATTACCACCACCAGTGTCTGTTGTCCAGATGGCTCTCTGACATTTCACACATTATGCAATTCTCAAGTCATTTCAAAATGGATCTCAACTTGACTTCTTTGTCATAAGCACAGACTTATACACTTTTTTCCATTCTCACTCTTGCCCTAAATTTTTAATAAATTGTGATTGATTAACATTTAAATGCAAATGCAAAAGCCTTGATCGACTTGCACTTACACTGATCAATGCTTCCAAGAAATGCAAAGCTCCAGTCTCTTGAAGATGGATCATAGTTTTGGACTGACAGATTTTCATAGTATGCCTAGCATTAGATTAGCACTTTTCTCATGATGTGTTTACACAGCACAGCACAGAATTTCACATAACTTGATTGGCCTGTTCTTTTGCTCATTTCACGCCCAGCCTTTCCAATGTAAAAATTACACATTGTTTTTTTTTCTCACCCAGTTTCTATGCTTTCTGTCTCACCTTCATCTTAGATGCTTGATTTAGAGACCCATTTCTCATTCTTTGATAAGTATATCAAATTGCTGACAAATTAAAGATGTAGTCTTGTTGGGAGTGAACAGAGGCAATTTTACAGTCACAAAGAATGGTACAGTCAACCCATGAGAAATTGTCAGGAGCATGAGCATCGTAGGCCTAAAAACTATGTTTAGCATTGCAATCTTTCTAAAACAACATATATAATTGCAGCAAGGTAATTTGGAGCTTATATGTACTTTAATTCTCTCACCATTGTAGCTTCAACCCCTGTTACACTGCCTGGCACACAGTAGGCCTTCAATTCCACTCCACAGCACCATCTTCTAAATCAGTAAATGATGAGGTGCTTAGCACCCAGAAATAAGGTGCTTAGTAGAAATAAATGTAAATAAGTAAGAAGTTGATTACAATACTTTCTACTTCACTGAGACCTGGCCCTGAGGGGTTAGGAACAGTCCTAGGAAGAATTAACATCCACATTGAAAAACAATAATAATGATAAGTGGAAGAGGATAAAGAAAGGTTGAGCTTTGTCCTGGGGCAATGAGAAGCTATTAAAAGTTTTTAAGTAGGAAAGAGATATGATCATATTTGTATGGAAAGATCTGCAGATAGGAGATGAGATCAGACCAGAGAGAGAGAGAGAGAAATTTTTGAATCTAGTTGTTTTTTCAGTAAAGTTTTGGATGATAAAATTTTGGCTATAGAGAATTCCTAAAGGTTCACTGTATTCTGAATTTAATTGTGATCTATCTCTGACCATAAATGACTTTAAACCCTAAATGACACCAAACTAGACTTGGCCTGCATCTAATGTATCAAATCAGTTCCTAGAGGGACTCTACTTTCTAGCTCCTTCTGGGAATTCCTTCCTGTATGTTCCATAGATGCCTCAAACTCAACATGCCCAAAACCCACATCCTTTTTCTGTCCCCTTTCTCTCCTTGGCCACTGCTATGCATCCTATATCCTTTATTTTTAGTAAATGGCATTTCTTCTCTACCATGCCTTAAAAGCTAGGAAATTTTACTCTCATGGATTTCTCTATTTCCTTTACCATCTGCATGAATGCACCATACCATTTTACCTCCTACAAACCTCCTAAAATCCTTCCCTCTTCTCTGACCTCATTGATTATGCTGTAGTCCAGGCCCTGTCATCCTTTACTTTGACTATTATAATAGCTGCTGCCAGGCCTCATTCTGTCCAGTCTCTCTACCTGAAATTCCTTGCCATTTACTGTTGCTCCATTGAACTTTCTCATATGAAAATCTGATCATATCCTTGCCCAGTTTAAAGCCCTGCAAATATTGGAGCAAATTAAAACCAAATTTCTTCATGTGGCTCTTGACCTCCTACCACCATCTCTTCTCACACCCGACTTTGGCATGCTAGCCCTAGTCACCATCGTTGATTGAAAATCTCTTAAGCAAAATGTCAAACACCATTTTCAATGTCATTTTCCCTGTTACTGGGCAAAATTAGCCACTGTCTTGCTCTGTGCTCCAATAGCACTTGGTGTATGTTTGGCTCTGACAATATTGCTTTGGATGGTAATTATTTACACACCTGCTTTTCCTCCAAATCCTAGGTCTTAACTCTGGTTGCATTGGCTTTGGGATGTTTTATGGGTTTCAAAACTCAAATTGCATGCAAAATTCTGTGTGCAAGTGTGGGTGTGCACATGCAGGCAGTTTTCATCAGCACTCAAAGGGGTCCATGACCCCAAAAAAGTTAAGTGGCCCTACTGCCCTAGACTGTGAACTTTTTAGGGCATAGAACATGTTGTGTTCTTCTTTGTATAGCCAGCTTATTGAAGAGTCTGATCTCAGTAGGCCATAAACATGAAACAGTTTTATTTTTCTCTAATCCTTACTTTGAACTAGATTCTGTCAAATCTGCCTTTCCTGCTCTTTAACGACATCACAGACAGATCTTACAACTTTCTAGCCTCTTTCAGTTATTAAAAAACCAGTTCACATGTTTGGCTCCCGATTCAAACAAACCAATTCTAAGAAGACACTTTGAAACAATCAGGGCATTTGAATATGGACTAGTATGAAAGAATATCATGAAAGTAATGTTAATATATTTGGTATAATAATGAAGTTGTGGTTATATCTTTTTTAAGTGCCAAAGCATTAGAGATGTGTGTTAAGTATTTTCAGATAAGAACTAGAAAATATTTGAAGTTCAGTTTATAACACTTCAAAAAAATGGTGGGAGCAACAGATTAAGCAAGATTGACAAAATGTTAATGAGTATTGAAGTTGAGGAAAGAGTACATGGGTAGCCTTAATGAAATTATTTCTACTTTGTGTATATTTGAATTTCTAATAAGCACTTTTTTCTAAACTCAGTTCAGTCAAATTTAAAACCCCACTCTCATTCATATTCAATGGTATGCTGGTAAATGTTTAACAACCAGCTCTACAGAAAAAAAAGGAAAAGAAAGTCCTGATTTGTATCATTTGCCAATTTCTGTGGCTTTAATTCTTCTACCATGGTCAATTTTAAGCTGACAATATAATGCCACTGAATGAAGAGTTGGAAGGAGATGAGCAGTAGCATGCTATTTTGCAGTATTTCCACCACTTACAGATACAGTAGATGTAAATAACAGCATAAAGTAAATGTAAAATGTAGTAAAAAATTAAGAAGTGATGAGCCTTGAGTATGTATTGCCTTTGTTTTAATATTATTTATTTAAGTGTATATGAATATAATTTATTTTATTTTATTTTTGTTTTTGTAGAGACAGGGTCTCACTATGTTGCCCAGGCTGGTCTCAAACTCCTGTCATCAAAGCAATACTCCTGCCTCGGCCTCCCAAAGTGCTAAGATTACAGGCATGAGCTTCTGTACCCATCTTATTTTTTAATAATGACTGTTTAATAAGTGACTCACAAGATTCCTGAAAATTTAACAATCTGCTCTCAGGAACTGGTGCAAGCCAGATTCAGAACATCTCTGTAACATCCTTCCCTTTTTCAATTGGTGAATGCAGCAATAGTTGAGGACCACTGCTTTAATGTTAATTGGCATAGCCCCATTGCTTACTCATTACTGTGAGCATGCCCAGCTCCTCTTAATCGGGCATAACCAGCCAGGAAGAGGGAGAAGCAAATAAATTACCCCCTTTCCTTCTATCACTCTCCACTCATGCTTCTCTGAATCCTTGCTTCAGGATTGCCCCTGGAATGACACATCAACGTATTTCCTATCATTTTAAACCCTGTGTTTCCTTCAAAATAGTTATGCACATAACTACAATGTTTAATAAGTGCTTCCATCTCTCTTAAAAGAATCACTTGATTGTTCATGGGTTATATTGTAAAGCAAGAGGGTGAGAGGAACTTTTTTATTCCTAATAAATACTGTTAAGAGTATTGATGCCTTAAACTACTGAGTGAGCACCCTCTTGGCTTAAGCTTCAGTACGATATATCCATCCATTATTTATAACCATTTAAAATTTTTAAGTAGTCCAATCCATGGTGTTACTTACACTTATCTTTTCTATGTTCTAAATCGTGTGGCTTCAGTTTAACAATGAGAAACATAATATGTATTTTCATATCCCAGCTGAGAAGACTAAATTTTCACCACTTTTACATACACTTTACATAGAAGGAACAATCACAACAGAGTAATTCTAGCACAGAATTTTATCATAACCAAAACAAAAAATATTGTTTAACAGTATATACTGCACTTCCTGTAATCTTTACTCAACCTAAAAGCACAAATTTACATGGATTTTCAAGGTACAAATCCTGAGATTGCACCCCTAAGCCACTTGGCTTATAAAACAGATGACTCCTTTCTGTAAATATTAGGCTACACTGCCATAGTCACAGAATAATAATGCTGGAAGGAAATTAGACAGTATATTATCTAGCCTACCTCTTAATGCCCAGAGAATTTGAAAGTTGACACATGCATGCACACGCGCGCACACACACACACACACACACACAATCACCCAGCTAGTTAATAACCAAAAAAATAACTAGGCCGAGCACAGTGGCTCATGCTTGTAATCCCAGCACTTTGGGAGGCTGAGGTGGCAAATCATTTGAGGTCAGAAGTTTGAGACGAGCTTGGCTAACATGGTGAAACTTTGTCTCTACTAAAAATACAGAAATTAGCCAGGTGTGGTCCCACATGCCTGTAATCCCAGCTACTTGGGAGGCCGAGCCACGAGAATCACTAGAACTTGGGAGGTGGAGTTTGCAGTGAGCCGAGATCATGCCACTGCACTCCAGCCTGGGTGACAGAGCAAGACTCCATCTCAAAAAAAAAAACAAAAAAAGAAAAAAGAAAAAAAAAAACCCCTAATATTTATTGAGCATATATATATATCCTATATGTATCATATATAGAGGAGTTTGAGTATATATATGATATATATAGGAGATATAGGAGATATATATCATATATATGGGAGTTTATAAAGTATATATATATCTCCTATTTATATCATATATATATATGATATAAACTCCTATATATATATATGGGAGTTAGATGTAAAAGATATAGAACTTGTATAAGTTTCAGTGATTCAGAACTAAAATAAGTGATGAAGCTCCAAAATGATCCATATATATGGGAGTTTATTAAGTATTAACTTATGTGATCACTAGGTCCCGTAATAGGTTGTCTGCAAGCTTGAGGAACAAGAAGAGCCAGTCCAAGTCTCAAAACTGAAGAACTTGGAGTCCAGTGTTCCAGGGCAGGAAGCATCCAGCATGGGAGAAAGATGTAGGCTGGGAAGCTAAGCCAGTCTCACCTTTTCATGTTTTTCTGTCTGCTTTATATTTGCTGGTAGCTGATTAGATGGTGCCCACCAGGTTAAGGGTAGGTCTGCCTTTCCCAGCCCATTCAGTCAAATGTTAAGCTCCTTTGGCAACACCCTCACAGACACACCCAGGATCAATACTTTGTGTCCTTCAATCCAATCAAGTTGACACTCCGTATTAACCATCACAGATAGGTAGATAAATGAGTGCCCTAGGAGTGTGTGTATATATATATGTGTGTGTGTGTGTGTGTGTGTGTGTGTATGTATATATACACATAAATATATGTTTATATATATGAATTTATATATATATGAGTATATATATATGAATTTATATATATATGAGTTTGTATATATGAGTTTATATATATATATGTTCATATATATATATATATATATCCTATTAGTTCTATCCCTCTAATACACTACCCAGTCAGAGAACCCTAATACATTACCCAATCAGAACTTAATCACTCTCACTTTATGTACACTTCTAACAGCTTGTCTTTATGGGTTCCAAGACCACAGCAGACTATAAGCAACATGATTTTATTAGGGAGAGGACCTACTTAAATCAATATACTATACATTGATAGTATAAAAGTGAAAAGAGTTATTATGTATGGAATGTCTGCAATATGAAAGACAATTAAGAGTGGATACAAACACAAGAATCATAGCAGTATAGGAAAAATCACGTAGAAGTAAGCAGCCTTGTATGTTCTGATGGCTCTTGAGTGTATCATTCCTTTACAAAATAATCATCAATATGCATAATGATGACCTTGAGTCATCAAAAAAAGGTTAGATGTTTGGCTCTCTCTAATTAAGAAGGCAGCAAAGTGTGCAATCAATTTTAGAAATATTTTCTTATTTCTAAATGCCTAAAATCTTCAATAAATTTTAAGCAAACCATCTGTTATCTAAAATTACTTATTTTAATTCTGAATCACTGAAACTTATACAAATTCTACATCTTATTCTTCAATCTCCCTTACTCCATTTATATAAAGCCATGAGGGTGGGGTCCTCATTATTGGATTACTGCCCTGTAATAAGAGACCAGAGATCTTCCTTCCCTCTCCCAGCCCACCATCTGAGGATATAGCAAGAAGGTTACCATCTGCAAGCCATGAAAAGAGCCCTCACTAGAACCCAACCATGCTGACAATCTGATCTTGGACTTCCAAGCCTCCAGAGCCATGTGAAATAATGTACTGTTATTTAAACCACCCAGTATGATATTTTGTTATGGAAGCCTGAGTAGACTAAGACACAGATATTTCCCAGTACCACCCCCAGCAACTATTGTTCACCATTTTCTGTCATTCCCTTAGGAAAGGGTTTCAAGTTTTCACCTTTCTACCCTTAGGACAGCATGAGAAGGAAACCTTCCCCCCTGGGAGGAAGAAGGACAGAGGAATGAATGATAAAGTTGTCATTCCATATTTATTTTATTTTAATCAACTCCTTGCTCCAGCAGTATTTTGCTCTGCTATGACATTTTCTCTGCAGACACTATCACTAGCAGTCTGAGCCTCTGCAGTAAAAAGGCTGGTAATAATTATTTCTAAATATCTTAAGAAAGAGGAAAGAACAATACTTAAATCATAGACAGAGATAGACAAATACTAGTGTTGTTGATTAATAAGGCAAATTTCCACCAAGGATATCAGTTTTTTCAAATATGATCAGATAATCCTAAAAAGGGTTTTTTACTCCTAGAAGGAAAACAAAGTTAACATTGGAAGAGCACAATGAAAAGAAACGAAAGTTCAACCCAATACGTGACTTAGCCCAGAATTAGGTCATAGAGCACTCAGGGGGAGGCTCTAAGGGTCACAAGGGAATGGCTGTGTCCAAGTCAAAACTGAGAATTAAGGAGTCCCCATTTTGATTGAATCTCATTGGGGCCCAAGATTGTTGAATGCTGGCTCTGAAAAACATCCAAAATATTACCAAAACAATCTGTTGATAAGAAAACTCACTGTGGTAAAGGAGGACACTGTCTCTCTTTAGAGGCACTGTCTCTTGACAGTCCTAGTAGCATCTCAGAAGGGAAAGGAAAAAGTTGGGATATCTATTGAGATTTTAGGGTCTGGTTTAAAGCAGATCTTTCAATGTGAGGACTTGGTTACAATTGAGAGAGGGGCTTCATATGATCATTTAGGATTGGTAACCACAGCAAAACAGGTATTTTGAAGTGAGTAGTTCTGAGGATCTTGGGGTACAAACTGTCTTTAATACTTTCCATTATAGAGTTGACACGTGATATAGTTTGGATGCTTGCTCCCTCCAAATGTCATGTTGAAATTAATCCCCAATGCTGGAGATGGAGGGACTGGTGGGGAGTGTTTGGGTCATGGGGACAGATCCCTCAGGAATGGCTTGGTGTTGTCTTCAGAATAGTGAGTGAGTTCTTGCAAGATCTGGTTGTTTAAAGGAGTATGGCATTTCCTCTTCTTCCTTCCACTCTCCTGTGACACCTGCTCCCCCTTCACCTTCTGCTATGATTGTAAAATTCCTGAGGCCCTCACCGGAAGCAGATGCTTGTACAGCCTGCAGAACCCTGAGCCAATTATTTTGTTTGTAAATTACCCAGCCTCAGGTATTTCTTTATTGCAACACAAAAACAGCCTAATACAACTTCCAGAAAGTTTCTTAAATGAACAATAAAGTTATTTGTAACTTTTATCTTCTAGGACAAGAGCATTCTGGAATGGTAATGTTATATCGATGACAACTGTGAATAGTTTATTAGTTGTTTTCCCATTGCTATAAAGAACTATTGGAGACTGGGTAATTTAGAAGAAAAGAGGTTTAATCGACTCACAGTTCCACAGGTTTAACAGGAAGCATGGCTGGGAGGCCTCAGCAAACTTACAATCTCATGACAGAAGGTGAAGAGTAAACAAGCACATCTTACTGCGGCAGAGCAGGAGAGCGAGAGAGAGCACGAGGAGAGGAAATGACACACTTTAAAACCATCAGATCTTGTGAGAATTCACTTACTATCATGAGAACAGCAAGAGGAAAATTCACCCCCACGATTCAATTACTTCCTACCAGGCCCCTCCTCTGATATATGGGTACTACAGTTCCAGAAGGGATTTGGGTGGGGACACGGAATCAAACCATATCAGTAGTAAAATAGGCATAAGCCATGTAGATGGTTTTCATTCTCCTTCTGTGATGCCCTTGATTGTATTCAGTTATATATAAGTCTATCTTCTTCTCCCCTACCTTCCCCAATAATGCATAAACGCTTTCAGAGCAGAGCTTATATCTGCTCCTGAAATATTGCTTGTTGTCTTTTCTGTCCTACACATTGTTTTAGCTTCAAAATCACCATCATCTCTAAGATATATATATATCTTCTATAAGTTTCTATTATAATTTTCACCACTTCTATAGATAAAAAGCTGCGAAACCAGGTAATGAGGAACACCAGTTGTGGGTTTTTCTAAATGAAAAATTAAGAAAACTAAAATCATTTTAGAGTTCCAGAGTCTTTTCAATGTAATTCATTCTGAGCATGTATGTTTTGAGCTAATTTTAACATAGATGGATTGTTAAGCCTTTTCAATGGTTTGCAAAACAGTGCTAAAATAAGATAGCTTGGATATGTAAACGTGCACTGTACTTTTTCCACAATACTAAGTGTTTAAGAATCACAATTGTAAAAATTCCATTTCAGTGTGTCTTTATTTTTATTACACCAGTTTGTCATCAGCAAAACACTGTGAAGTTTCCTGAGGACAGAAGAGTTCCTCAGCATTTGAAAGGTCTCAGAAAGAAATGTTTTTAATTATCACTGGTATTATTTCAGATCCTATGTTAGTCACCAGTGCCACCATTGATGACCTTCCCCATGAATCTCCTTTTGTGTCTTATAAAATACTTTTCTCTTTCAGAAACCATGTTGCTCTTCTTTTACTCACTTTCCTTGCATTTTATGTGTCATTTCATTAAATATTATAAGGAAGGGAATTTGAGGTAAATTATAACTTAAAAAAAGGTTCTTAGAGACATTACTTGAAGCTACAGTAAGAAAGCTCTGTGAAGACAGCGATGACACAACAGTGATCAGACATTTTGACTGCTGTATTTACCACACCCAGCATTGTACTGGGCATACTGGGCATTTTTTCAATTATTTCCAAAGCCCATTTCACATTCCAGATTCAAAAATGAGACCCCTGGGTGACTGTGCAGATGAGAATGTGAATTCTCCTACTTCACATTATCACTCAGTGACCCCTCATTTCTTTAGGTAATCTGTTTGGGTCTCTTTTGTGGGGAGTCTCAGGCATGGTGGTAAGCCAAATGAGAAACTATGCTCTCCACAGCTGTCAGATGATGGATTCTAGTGTCTCTGGAAGGCAACAGAATACTGTTATATGGAAACATGTAAATCCAAATTGACCAAAACATGCCCCTGGCTCTTAACATTTTCTTTTGTTTTCAGATCATGATCTGCATCTTTATAAGTGTTCCAGGGAAAAGACTAAGAAATGCAACCTCAAGAGATACTAGAGATAAGGGTGCCTTTTATCCTGCTATTAAAATTTTGAATGGTTTAACTATAGTTAGGTGGATAAATGCCTACAACTGTATTTCCCAAAATGTGGTAGATACTAGTCAATACATGTATAAAAAGGGTAATTTCTTTACATACATTTGAGAAAGCTGGATTAAACAAAATTAAATAGATTTCTTGACTGCAGGATTTCTAGTCCCTTTACTAAGTTCTGAGAGTCATACAGTATACAATCCTTTCCCAGTTAATGCGTAAAACAGAATACTTTTTCACAGAGTATTTATCAGGATGAATATTCAAGGAAAAGCCATTGGGAAACTTAGGGCTGTAGAATTAATATCAACTAACAAATGATTCCAGCCAGTTTTCATCCATCTCTTATCAAAAGCAGATACAATTTATCTTCTCGTATTGATATTTTCCACCAAATTCATGGGACTAAATCCAAATGTATAAAATGAGCTATATACCTGTCCCTCACCATTTGCTAACCAAGGGAAAAAAGGATATGCATGTTAGATAGCCCAGGACACATGCTTATCCCTAATATCACCACCTCTTGTAGGGTGGGAAAGGCAGTAGGGTCAGCCCCTCCACATGGACTAAGTGGAAAATAATTGGCTACTACATTGTCATAATAATACCTACTTTATATGATTGTCAGGATTAAATAAGATAATGTATTTGAAGTACTTTAGTACAATGCCTGGCTCATAAGGAGTGGGGAAAGTGGTAACTGCTATAATCATAACAACAATATCATTACACCCTTTCTATCTATGTAGGGCATAGTCATCTGCAGACCTTCTAATCTAATGCAACGGATTCCCAACTGACCTATTTCAAGAAGCCTCTCTGATAATTCCTCAGATTACATTGAAAATATCTTTCAGAAATTCTTATCTGAGTATGCCACTCCTCTGCTATTTATAAAACTCTTTATAAAATAGAGTTAAAATCTTGAGCACAGAAAGTTCTCTCTGCTGACTGGTAAAAGTCTACCTTTCTAAGTTCATCTTCCACCACTTACCTGGTTCGATGGTCTCTACACTTTAGGTCCACTGCACCTCTTATCCCTGAAGACATCACATACTGTCATCCATGCATCCATTTATTCCTGTCCTCTGCAATGTGCTTCTACTGTTCTCTCAAACTGGGATACGTTTCCCCAGACTCTAGTGCAGAAAGTCTTTGAGGCCAACTCAATTACTACCTAGATCCCAGTCAGACTTAATCACATTCGCCTCTCTGCTTCCACAACATTGTTACTGCTCTTAACAGCACTTCTCACACAACCTTGTATACAGTTACTTGTGCAAGTGTCTGTTTCCATGCATTACTCAGGACTGTCCATCACAGGTGATAGAAACATTATTTGAACTTGCTTGGGGAAAAGTATACAGATTACATTTAAAAGATCCTGAATCACTCAGGTAATGCATAGAATATATCCAGGTAGCTCTCTTCCATGGTTTATCAAAAGCAGACAAAATTATCATTTTTTAAATAACTAAACTCCAAAAGAGCAGAGAGAAACCCAAATTTCCAGAAAAAAATCACAACCACGGCAAAAACACCACCAGAATTTCATTTCAAAGACAAACTCACATTGGTTTCTCTCTTTGAGTGGGATTTTCTTTTCTCTCTGAGGCATATCAAGGTGTAATTTACATATAGGAAAATAGATGCTTTCTCATGTACCAATCTATGAGTTGTGGCAATCACATATAGTCATGTAACCATCATAAACAAGATATAAAAATAATAAACACATATAGTCATGTAACCATCATAAACAAGATATAAAATAATTCTATCACCCTTCAAAACTCCTATGCCCCTTTATAGCAAAACTCTACCTGCAGCTCCAGGCCCTGGCAACCACTAATCTGCTTTCTGTCCCCATAGTTTTATCTTTTTCAGAATGTCATATGCAGTCACACAGTATGCATCCTGTTGAGTCTGACGTCTTTCACTGAGCATAATACATTTGAGATTTATTCACTCTATTCCATGCATCCAGAATTTGTTGCTTTTGCCTTACTCCACTAATCAGGATCTCTTGTATAATGTTGAATGGGAGTGATGCAAGTGGACATCACTGCTTTTGTTCCAATCCCAGGAGAAGAGTATTCATTATTCATTATTAAGTATGATATTAGCTATTATGTTTTTCATAAATGACCTTTATCAGGTTGATGAAGTCTCACTGTATGCATAGTTCACTGAGAATTTTTGCTAACGTTGCTATTGTTTTAAACCATGAATGAAAATTGAATTTTGTAAAATGCTTTTTTAAAATCCATTGTGAAAATTATATGATTTTTCTCCATTAGTCTGCTGATTTGATGAATTACACTGATTTTTAAACATTACAACAGTTTTGCATTTCCAGGATAAACCCCACTTGGTCATAACATATTATCCTTTTTACATATTGTTGGATTCTATTTTCTAATATTTTCTTGATTATTTGAACATCTGTTCATGAGGGATATTGACTTTTGGTTTTATTTATTTGTCATATTTTTGTCTGGTGTTGTTATCAAGTTAAAACAAGTTAAGTGTTCTCTCTTCTATTTTCTGGAAGAGTTTGTGTAGACTTGCTATTTCTTTCCTAAATGCTTAATAGAAAGGTTTTTAACTATAAATTATGTTTCTCTAATAGGTACAGGACTATTAAGGTTATCTATTTATTTTTGTGTTAGCTTCAATAGTTTTTGTCATTCAAGGAGCTTACCCATATCATCTAAATTATCAAATACGTGGACATATATAGAGTTTTTGTAATAATCCCTTATCCTTTTAATGTCTATAGAATTAATAGTGATGTTCCTTCTTTCATTTCTGATATTCATAATTTTGTGTTTTCTTTTTTTGCCCCTTAGTCTGGGAAGAGGTTTATCAATTTTATTGATCTTAAGAAATAATCTATTTTTGGTTTCATTGATTTTCTCTATTTTTCTCTGGTTTTTAATTTTTTGATTTTCACTTTTATCTTTACTTTTTTCTTTTCTTTGTTTACTTTGAGACTTAATTTAATCCTCTTTTACTAGATTCTTAACATCTAGATCATGGATTTCAGATCTTTCTTTTTTCCTAATGTAAGTGTTTAATTCTATAAATTACACATGTACTACTTCTTTAGATGCATCCCACATGTTTGATACATTGGGTTCTTGTTTTCATTCAACTTAAAATACTTCTTGAGCTGAGCACAGTGCCACATGCCTGTAGTCCCAGCTACTCAGTAGGCTGAAGTGGGGGGGGTCACTTGAGCCTAGGAGTTCAAGACCAGCCTGGGCAACCTGAGAAGATGCCATTTCTTTAAAAAAAAATTATATCTATGTACATATATATTTTTCTCTCTAATTGCCTTTGTGACTTCCTCTTTAACCTATGGATTATTTAGAAATGTATTGTTTACCTTCCAAAATATGTGTTGATTTTCTACATATCTTTCTGTTATGGATTTTTTTCTTTTTTTTTTGCTTAATTCCATTATGGTCAGAGAATATACTCTGTATGATTTCAAATCTTTAAATTCTTTATAGCCAAGAATATGATATACCTTTATGAATGTTCCATGTGTATTTAAACAGTATATATATTCTTCTATTGTTGGGTGAAGTATTCTATTAATGTCAATTCATTTAAGTTGGTTGATAGTGTTGTTCATGTCTTTTATATCTTTACTAATTTTATATCTCTTTGTTATCTCAGTTACTGAGAGAGTATTGAGTTCTCCAGCTATGATTGTGGATTTATATATTTCTGCTTCTAGTTCTATCGATTTTGTTTCATGTAATTTGAAACTCTATTGTTTAGAGTTTCAGGTATATATACATTTGAAATTGTTTTGAGTTCCTTCAAGGCCTCCTCACTCACAGAGATCATGAGCAGTGCCAGATCCTGACTTTCACATTTTGGCTTCTACCAACAGATTGACTGTCTTTCCCAGGAAAATTTAAAAACTGATTCAAACTGACCATTTATGTTTTTACTCGACCCTTGAGCAATATTGTGACAAGGTATTAGGTTGGTGCAAAAGTAATTGTGGTTTTTGCCAGTAGTAAAGTCTATAAGAACACAGCATCTACTCCATAAATGGCACCATTGGAATGAAGGAAGGAGCAGTTCACAGGGGAGGGATACTGGGAAGATAGTACCACAGTTTTCCACCATACTATCTGTTTAATTATAACATGCTGAAATCATTGCAGCTATCATGTTAGTCATTTTTATCCTAAAAACAATCTAGCAAAATATTCAACATAGAAAGGTTGGATGATTGCTTACAGCCAACTTCTCTCTTTGCCCAACCCTGTTTCTTCTCTCCCTCCTCCGATAGATGTTAATCCTGAGAGTGTTTTATTCTGTGTAGTGTATACTTCCTGCACGTTAATTTCCATCTCAGAGTCTGCTTCCCAGTAAACTGACTTGCAACTCAATCCCTTTCAAGAACCAAATAAAAGATATGACTAGAAAAAATTACCACATAAACATTCAATTTTATATAAATTTAGGACATCCACAACACCCTTTTTCTCACGATGGATCATAAGACGACAGTTTAGCTATTTCATTTTGTAAATAAAGAAAGTTATTCCCAGAGATACTTGTAATTTGCCTAACGTTATATAATGACTCAATAGAACAACTAAGACTACATCCTATTCTCTAGTCACATACATTTTTCACCATCTTGAGAAGTTTGGGGCATTTAACTATTTCTAAATTTTTAATTATTCGAATTAACCTAATAATTGTGGAAAATACATCATGTTCCAGGTATCATGCTTAATGTCTATCCTCTGTTATTTCATTAAATTTCAGAGGAAACTTTTGAAGCTGACACAATAATGCCATTTCGTAAATGGCAAAACTGAGGCTTACAGGTGTAACTTTTCAGAGATAGCACAAGAGCCAAGATTTGGATTCAGTAGTCTTTATAGAACTGGTTCTACTAATAGAATACTGTACACACACATTGGAAGTGTTTTGGGGTACAATACATTTTATTGATTTTGCCATATATTACAGATCTATACAACAGGAATCTTGCACAAAATCTGAAAATGTGAAGTCATTTCAAATGATTGGTTCATTAGCTCAGCAAACAACACTTATCAAGTGCTTACTATGTACCAGCAGCTTCAACAATGACCAAAAAAGGCATGGTCTCTGACTGTAAGAAATTTATAGTGGCCGGGCACAGTGGCTCACGCCTGTAATCTCAGCACTTTGGGAGGCTGAGGCGGGCGGATCACGAGGTCGGGAAATAGAGATCATCCTGGCTAACACAGTGAAACCTCATCTCTACTAAAAAATACAAAAAAAATAGCCAGGCGTGGTGGCGGGCACCTGTAGTCCCAGCTACTCGGGAGGCTGAGGAAGGAGAATGGTGTGAACCCGGGAGGTGGAGCTTGCAGTGAGCCGAGATCGTGCCACTGCACTCCAGCCTGGGTGACAGAGCGAGACAACTTCATCTCAAAAAAAAAAAAAAAGAAATTTACAGTCTAGCAGGGATACAGACATTAAATTATTATAAGTGTAATTTAGTTTAATTCATGCCAAGTTTCATTTTTGTATCACATTATGATAAAGTATACAGTGTTTTAAAGGCATTTAATAGGGGGACCTAAAATAGAATCAGGAGGTTAGAGAAGACTTTCCTTAGGGAACAGCATTCAGGTTGAGAATTAGAGATGAGTTCAGTGGATTGAGGTAGGATAATACATTCAGTAGATAAAATAGGAATACGAGAGATAGGTCTATTTTTTAATGAAGAATAACCACATATCTGGGTTCTTAGTAGTTTTGACTACCCTTGCCTCCATCTATTCTGTTTTGAGTATGTTTTATTTTGTTTGTACTATGTTTTTACCATGTTTGCTCTCTCTTCTTTAGTTCTGTAATTATTCTCCTTGATGAATGAAAATGAAGTATTATTAGTAGTTCTCATTTTCTTTCTGGTATAAGCAGTATTAGTAGTTCTCATTTTCTTTCTGGTATAAGCATGCAGGCAAATGAATGCTGAAAGGTAGAAAGTTGACACTTCTTTACTTTGTGAACTTTTTGGCTATGCCCCACTGTGTGTTCTGAGCCAGTGTGTGGCATGGCAGCTGTGTTGTGGCCTCAGAGGACAGTGACAT